>NC_000002.12:202035072-202338102 GCF_000001405.40 Homo sapiens | reverse complement strand
AAGTCATCCTGTGTATAGTAGGTTTAGAGAAAGATAAATTTTTTGCAAGGTGGGATCTCTCATTTGAGTTTCCCTTTATTTTTCAGAAAGAATGAATTTTTAAAGCCCCACAATCTTCTACACTGCTCCACCACTCCATCCTTAGCCCATGAGGTGCTTTTAGGCCTCATTCCCCTTGGGGACAGACTTATCTCTGAGGACTTGATTAGCAGATCTGTAAAAGAGAGATAATATTTGTCCTGCTGACTTCACGTGGTTAGAGTGAGAATCACAGGAAATTTAATTAAAGAAAATTAGAGGCAGGGCGCGGTGGCTCACGCCTGTAATCCCAGCTGTCAGGGAGGCAGAGGCCGGAGGATAGCTTGAGCCCAGGAGTTTGAGACCTGCCTGGGCAATATAGCGAGACCCCGTTCTCCACAAAAAGGAAGAAAAAAAAAGACAAAACAAAAAAGAAAATTAGAACTGTAACTGCCTTTAGCTACCATCTAGGCCCACCCTGCATTTTACAGATAATGAAACTAAGGCCCAACCAGTGTGGTGGCACACATCTGTAGTCCCAGCTACTCAGGATGCTGAGGCAGGAGAACTGCTTGAAGGACAAAGGCTTTTTTCCAACTGTGGTTCCACCCTTTTGTTTGTCCCTTTCTTTGTCCTCTCCATTCAGCAAGAGAAGGGATGGCCAAAGAGTGAGGATTGTGCTTGAGAGGTTTTTATGGACCTAGAAGTGGTGCCCATCACTCTTGCTCACATTCCACGGGCCAGAACAGTCACATGGTCATACCTAACTGCACTGGAGGCTGGAAGAGGGACTCTGGCTGTAGGCCAGGAAGAAGAAAAGAACACAGTCACTGGTGAGCACCGACAGTCTTCACCACATATAAAACAATCATGTGATGCCAACATTAGCTAAGTCAGAATTTATTTATTTTTTCTTTGGAATTCCTTCAGCAATTACATACCCTCTATATCATAATTTTGTCACATTAAATTGTATATTGCCTTAGATTTAGGTCTTCTGCCTCCATTTTTACATCATAAGCAGGGATCATTCTTCAGCTGCTTTGGTTTTTACCACAATGCAGGCTATAAGGTAGGCACTATAAGTAAATTTAAAAATCATGCTGAATTATTTCAGTAAAGACTTAGGAAGCTGGAATTTGCAAACCTTTACAGTCTGGAAACAAGCTTGGTTTAGTTGCTATGGCACAAATTAATGATTTAAATATATACAAGGATGTTTATAATCACACAAAAAAACAGTAGAAAGGGAGTTAAATATCCATTAAATGTATATAGTGGGGCAGCTATGCTCGGGGTGTGATTGGCGTTGGTTGTGTCGGGGTCTAGTGGGCAGAGAAGACTCTTGGCCAGGCAGATGGCTTCTTGGTGGCAGAGAATGGGGACCTCCGTGCACCGGAGATGTCTCCAGCACCAGGAGCAGCTGGAGGATGCAAGGAGCTGCAGCCCGTGACCAGCCATCAGGAGAACTCCGCGGGTCCCTGGGGTCCCTGTGCAGACAGTTCCAATGGAGGCTGCCTCTGAGAGCCATCAACCTCAACTTCCGTGCAGGCCCTTCCTGCAAATGCTTGGAAACCCCAGAGCCAGGGCAGCAGGGCCTCCAGGCTACGGCTCACTCAGCTAAGAGTGCCTTGGGTGCCATGTCCCAGAGAATCCAGGAGTCCTGCCAAAGTGGCACCAAGTGGCTGGTGGAGACCCAGGTGAAGGCCAGGAGGAGGAAGAGACGGGCACAGAAGGGCAGTGGCTCCCCAGCTCACAGCCTGAGCCAGAAGAGCACCCGGCTATCTGGAGATGCCCCTGCCCACTCAGCCCACAGACCCCTGGGAGAAGGAGCATAACTGCCTCTCCGCCCGGATAGGCTCCCATGCCTACCCATTATGACAGTCGATGCAGGAGGCTGCCTTCTGGAGCCCCTACTCCTCAACAGAGCCACTCTGCTCTCCCAGCCAGTCTGGCAGTGACCTAGAGCCTATGGGGGTGGGAATTCAGCATCTCCAGAAGCTGTCCCAAGAGCTAGATGAAGCCATTATGGCGGAAGAGAGTGGTGACATCATCTCTCTCATTCATGGCTGAGTAAGTGGCCTGCAGGAAACAAGCCTTGTCTGATTGCCAAGGCTTCATACCCAAGGATGTCTGTGCTTCCCCATGAGCTTCCTGGAGGAAGCCCCCAGGAGTCATCAGTACCCCTGGGCCACTGCTAACAAGGACCTGACTAACAAGGAGCCCAGAGCCCCCTGGCTCTGGCCACATCTGGATCCATCAGTGACTGCCTGCCATAGCCTGAGAGTGTCTTGGGGAGACCTTGCAGAGGTGGGGAGAATTGTTCCTTCCACTTTCCCAGGGGACTCTTGAGCTTAGAAACTCATCATACACTTGACCTTGAGCCTTGTATTTGCCTCATCTACAACGTGAAGTGCTAGCATCAGATGTTAGAGAGCTCTTAGCTGTGTACCCAGGTGCCTGGTTGTTGGGGAGTCATCTGCAGAGTCACTCACCCACTGTGTTTCCGGTGCCAAGGCTCTTGGGGGCCCCACTCTCATCCCTGCTTTCCCTACCAGGGACTCGTAGGAAGGCATAGGAGATATTTCCAGGCTTAAGACCCTGGGCTCACGGGTACCTATGTATATGCTAAATGCAGAGCACTGTGGGTGTGCCTGTTCAAGAACAATTTTTGCTCTTTGTAAATTATTTAAGAAACCTGCTTTGTCATTTTATTAGAAAGAAACCAGCATGTGACTTTCCTAGATAACACTGTTTTCTCATAATAAAGACTGTTTGCATTAAAAAAAAATGTATATAGTGACGTGGGAAAGCTCTAACAATATATTGGTAAGTGGGCCGGGCACGGTGGTTCATGCCTGTAATCCCAGCACTTTGGGAGGCCAAGGCGGGTGGATCATGGGTCAGGAGTTCGAGACCAGCCTGGCCAACATGGTGAAACCCTGCCTCTACTAAAAATACAAAAATTAGCCAGGCATGGTGGTGGGCGCCGGTAATCCCAGCTACTCGGGAGGCTGAAGCAGAGAATTGCTGGAACCCAGGAGGCAGAGATTGCAGTGAGCGGAGATCGCGCCACTGCACTCCAGCCTGGGTGACAGAGCAAGACTCCATCAAAAAAAAAATTTATATATATATATGTATGTATACGTATTTACATATACATACATATATACACATACATATATACATTTTATATACAAATATATATTTTATATACATATATATGTATGTATACATATATTTGTATACATATATTTATATGTTATATATGTATATATTATATACATATATTTATAAAATATATATGTATGTGTATATATGTATATGTATATACGTATATGTATATACATGTATATATGTATGTGTATATATGTATGTGTGTGTGTGTGTGTGTGTGTGTGTGTGTGTGTGCCTCAGGATGCTGAGGCAGGAGAATTGCTTGAACCCGGGAGGCAAAGGAAGAGGTTGCAGTGAGCCGAGATCTTGTCATTGCACTCCAGCCTGGGCAACAAGAGTGAAACTCTGTCTCAAAAATATACATATATATGTAAGTGATATGCAGAGTCACACACACTAGAAAGGAGAAACGTATAGCAAAGTATTAATAGTAATTATCGGCCGGGTGTGGTGACTCATGCCTGTGATCCCAACACTTTGGGAGGCTGAGGCAGGATAATCGCTTGAACCCAGGAGTTTGAGACCAGCCTGAGCAACATAGTGAGACATCATCTCTACAAAAAGAAAAAAGGAAAAAGAAAAAAAAATTAGCTAGGCATGGTGGCATGCACCTGTAGTCCAAGCTACTCAGAAGGCTGAGGGCAGAGGATTGCTTGAGCCTGGGATGTCAAAGTTGCAGTGAGCTGAGATTATGCCACTGCACTCCAGCCTGGAGTCAAAAACAAAAGCAATTAACGGCCAGCCAGGGTGTCTCACGCCTGTAATCCCAGCACTTTGGGAGGCCAAGATGGGTGGATCACCTGAGGTCAGGAGTTCAAGACCAGCCTGACCAACATGGTGAAACCCCGTCTCTACTAACAATACAAAAATTAGCCAGGTGTGGTGGCACATGCCTGTAGTCCCAGCTACTCAGGAGGCTGAGACAGGACAATCGCTTGAACCCAGGAGTCGCAGGTTGTAGTGAGCCGAGATCGTGCCACTGCACTCCAGCCTGGGCGACAGAGCAAGACTCAGTCTCAAACAAACAAACAAACAAAGTAATTATCACTGCATAATGAGATTATGGATACTTCCTTCCTTCCTCCCCACTTTGCTTCCCCTCCCCGCCCCTCCTCTTCCATTCCTTTCTTTTTCTTCCTTTCTTCTCTCTCTCTCTCTCTCTCTTTCTCTCTTTCTTTCACAGGGTCTCACTATGTTGCCCAGGGTGGAGTGCAGTGGCTATTCACGGGCATGATCCCACTCTTGATCAACACAAGAGTTTTGACCTGCTCTGTTTCCAATCTGTGTTCACCACTCCTTAGGCAACCTGGTGGTCCCCCGCTCCTGGGAGGTCACCATACTGATGCTGAACTTAGTGCAGACATCCAACAGACATAGCATACTACAGTATAAACTCCTAGGCTCAAATGATCCTCCTGCCTCAGCCTCTTTAGTAGCTGGGATTACAGATGAGTACCATCATGCCTGGCAATTTCTCCTATTTTTTATCTGAATTTTCCTACAATGAATCCAGATTATAAGTGTAAATTTTTTTTTGAGACAGGGTCTTGCTCTGTTGCCCAGGCTGGAGTGCAGTGGCATGATCACAGCTCACTGGCCTCTACCTTCTGGGCTCAAGAGATCCTCCCACCTCAGTCTCCTGAGTAGCTAGGACTACAGGCGCATGCCACCACAGCTGGCTGATTTTTGTATGTTTTTGTAGAGACGAGGTCGCACTATGTTACTCAGGCTGCTGTTGAACTCCTGAGCTCAAGTGATCTTCCTGCCTTGTCCTCCCAAAGTGCTAGGATTACTGTTGTGAGCCACCTCGCCTGGCACAAATGTAATTTTTTTTTTTTTTTTTTTTGAGACGGAGTCTTACTCTGTTGCCCAGGCTGGATTGCAGTGGCACGATCTCGGCTCATTGCAAGCTCCGCCTCCTGGGTTCACGCCATTCTCCTGCCTCAGCTTCCCGAGTAGCTGGGACTACAGGTGCCTGGCACAACGCCCAGTTAATTTTTTTGTATTTTTAGTAAAGATGGGGTTTCACCATGTTCGCCAGGATGGTCTGATCTCCTGACTTCGTGATCCACCCGCCTCGGCCTCCCAAAGTGCTGGGATTACAGGTGTGAGCCACCACACCCGGCCCACAAACGTAAATTTTTTAACAAGTAAAATAATCGAGGTAATTAAAGGTAAATCATAACTCATTATAATGGCACAATCAGATCAGGGAAACATTATGTTTTAAAATGACATCTTGGCAACTGGGTGCGGTGGCTCACGCCTGTAATCTCAGCACTTTGGGAAGCTGAGGCGGGCGGATCACCTGAGGTCAGGAGTTCGAGGCCAGCCTGGCCAACATGGTGAAACCCCGTCTCTACTAAAAATATAAAAATTAGTTGGGATAACAGGTGCCTGCCACCTGTTGGCTGTTATACCAGCTACTCGGGAGGCTGAGGCAGGAGAATCACTTGAACCTGGGAGGCGGAGGTTGCAGTGAGCTGGGATCATGCCACTGCACTCCAGCCTGGGTGACAGACTGAGATTCTGTCTCAAAAAAACTAAAAAAATAAAATGACATATTTTCTGGAATCACTGGAGGATTGCCACTGGAGGATGCCAAGTGCATGTATGTAATGTTTTTTGGGGTTTTGTTTTTTGCTTTTTTGTTAGAGATGAGGTCTTGCTATGTTGCCCAGCCTAGTCGTGAACTCCTAGTCTCAAGGACTCCTCCTGCCTTGGCCTCCCAAAGTGCTGGGATTACAGGCATGAGACACCGAGTGCAGCCCCATGTATGTAACATTAAAAATAAAGTGCCTCCAAAGATAAGTGATTATCTTTCATTTGTATGTTTTTAACATTTTACAAGAATGTGTGCATGTCAAAGAGATGCAAGGACCAACTTGAAAGAGCTCCCGATGGCCAAAACTGGATCAATTTGAATAACAAAATAAACAACATAGTATTGGATTATAACCCGAAGTATCAAATGAGTACAGTTGTCCCTTGGTATTCACTGGGGATTGGTTCCAGGACCCCCAAGGATACCAAAATCTAAGGACGCTGAAGTCCCTGAAATAAAATGGTGTAGTATTTGCATATAACCTATGCACATGCTCTTCTATACCTTAAATCATCTATATGTTAATTATAATACAGAATACAATGTGAATGCTATGTAAATAGTATTTATACTGTATTATTTTAAAAATGCATGTTAGTTGGCCTGCACGGTGGCTCACGCCTGTAATCCCAGCACTTTGGGAGGCCGAGGCGGGTGGATCGCAAGGTCAGGAGATTGAGACTATCCTAGCTAACATGGTGAAACCCCGTCTCTACTAAAAATACAAAAAATTAGCCGGATGTGGTGGTGGGCGCCTGTAGTCCCAGCTACTCGGGAGGCTGAGGCAGGAGAATGGTGTCAACCCAGGAGGCAGAGCTTGCAGTGAGCCAAGATTGTGCCACTGCACTCCAGCCTGGGCAACAGAGCGAGACGCCGTCTCAAAAAAAAAATTCATATTAGTTTTATTTTTTTTTTATATTTTTATTATACTTTAAGTTTTAGGGTACATGTGCACAACATGCAGGTTTGTTACATATGTATACATGTGCCATGTTGGTGTGCTGCACCCATTAATTTTTTTTATTTTTTTTATTATACTTTAAGTTCTAGGGTACATGTGCACAATGTGCAGGTTTGTTACATATCTATACATGTGCCATGTTGGTGTGATGCACCCAATAATATTTTTTTTGAGATGGAGTTTCACTCTTGTTGCCCAGACTGGAGTGCAATGGCATGATCTTGGCTCAGCGCAACCTCTGCCTCCTGGGTTCAAGCAATTATCCTGCCTCAGCCTCACATAGCTTGGATTACAGGCATGTGCCACCATGCCCGGCTAATTTTGTATTTTTAGTAGAGACAGGGTTTCTCCATGTTGGTCAGGCTGGTCTCAAACTCCCGACCTCAGGTGATCCTCCCACCTCGGCCTCCCAGAGTACTGGGATTACAGGCGTGAGCCACTGCGCCCGGCAAAAATGCATATTAGTTTTAAATGTCACATTGTTTTTTTCATTTTCTGGGTTTTTTTATTTTTTATTTTTTTTGATTCGTGGTTGGTTGAATCTATGGATACAAAACCCATCCATAGATACCGAGAGCTGACTATAAACATGAGTTCAGGCTGATATAAATACATTAATGAATAAAAATTATTATTTTATTTTATTTTATTTTATTTTATTTTTTGAGACTAGGTCTTACTCTGTCACCCAGGTGGCACAATCTCAGCTCACTGCAACCTCAGCCTCCTGGGCTCAAGTAATTCTCCAGCCTCCTGTGTAGCCAGGACTACAGGCACAAGCCACCAATGCCCAGCTAATTTTTGTACTTTTTAAAATAGAGGCAGGGGTCTCGCCATGTTGCCCAGGCTGGTCTCAAACTCCTGAGCTCAAAGCCACTCACCTGCCTTGGCCTCCCAAAGTGCTGGCATTACAGGTGTGAGGCACTGTGCCCAGCCATTAATGAATAAAAATTAATCGAGAAGAAGAAACTACTCTTTCAGACAGAATAACCCCATTTAATATATGTAGATCTGGCTGGGTGCAGTGGCTCACACCTGTAATCCCAGCACTTCGGGAGGCCGAGGTGGGCGGATCACCTGAGGTCAGGAGTTCGAGACCAGCCTGGTCAACATGGTGAAACCCCATCTCTACTAAAAATACAAAAATTAGCCAGGCCTGATGGTGCGTGCCGGTAGTCTCAGCTACTTGGGAGGCTGAGACAGGAGAATCACTTGAACCTGGGAGGTGGAGGTTGCAGCGAGCCGCAATCGCACCATTACACTCCAGCGTGGGTAACAGAGTGAGACTCCATTTCCAAAAAAATAAAAAAATAAAAAAATGTAGATACTCCCGCTGGGCACGGTGGCTCATGCCTGTAATCCTGGCACTTTGGAAGGCTGAGGTGGGAGGATCGCTTGAGCTCAGGAGTTGGAGATCAGCCTGGCCAACATGGTGAAACCCCTTCTCTACTAAAAACATAAAAAAATAGCCTGTGTGATGCATGCCTGCAGTCCCAGCTACTTCAGAGGCTGAGGCAAGAGGACTGTTTGAGCCCCGGAGGTGGAGGTTGCAATGAGCTGAGATCAGGCCACTGCACTCCAGCCTGGGTGACAGAACAAGACCTTGTCTGAATTTTAAAATAATAACAGTAATAATGTCTGTAAATACTCCCTTTTCCAGGAAATGAACTTAATTCCCTCCCAATTCCCTTTCTACCTTTTTGAGGGTAGACTAGACTTAGGGGGAGTTGCTTCCAAAGAACAGATTACAGAAAAGGAGAAACAGTAACTTTACAATGGAGAAAGCTGGCAAACCCTGCCTTAACCAATCAGTGAAGGTTAACATTACCAGTGATGCCATGTGTATGTCATCTACCCTGATATGATGAGAAGGGCTCTTCAGCTCTGAGGTGTTCTTTCTGAAAACCCATAATCCCAATCTACATGTGAGGAAAACACCAGACAATCCAAATTTGAGGGACATTTTACAAAGTATCTGACCAGACATGATGACTAAATGTAACGTGGTATCCTGGATGGAATCTGGAACAGAAAAAGGGTCATTAGGGAAAAACTATCTGAGCAAAGTGCCAAGTTTAGTTAATAGTAACAGAACAATGAATGGAATCAAATGTACCATAGTAATATGTTAACAAGAGAAAATGAACAAGAGCTATATGGAACTTTCTGTACTATCTTTGCATCGTTTCTGTAAATCTAGTATTATTCCAAAATAAAAAGATTATTTAAATAATTCTTTTTTTTTTTTTCCCGAGACGGAGTTTCGCTCTTGTTGCCCAGGCTGGAGTGCAATGGCGCGATCTCGGCTCACAGCAACCTCCGCCTCCCGGGTTCAAGCCATTCTCCTGCCTCAGCCTCCAGAGTAGATGGGATTACAGGCATGCACCACCACATGCGGCTAATTTTGTATTTTTAGTAGAGACGGGGTTTCTCCATGTTGGTCAGGCTGGTCTCGAACTCCAGACCTCAGGTGATCTGCCCGCCTTGGCCTTCCAAAGTGCTGGGATTACAGGTGTGAGCCACCGTGCTCGGCAATTTAAATAATTCTTATAGAAAATGGGAGAAAAGGTAATTATTTGGAGGGAGCCGCAGGGTAAAATGCATTTTTTTTTTTTTTGAGATGGTCTCGCTCTGTCACCCAGGCTGGTGTGCAGTGGCATGATCTCAGCTCAGTGCAATCTCTGCCTTCTGGGTTCAAGCGATTGCCCTGCCTCAGCCTCCTGAGTAGCTGGGACTGCAGGCACCTGCCACCACACCCAGCTAATTTTTGTATTTTTAGTAGAAATGGGGTTTTACCACATTGGCCAAGCTGGTCTCAAACCCATGACATCAAGTGATCTGCCTGCCTCGGCCTCCCAAAGTGGGATTACAGGCGTGAGCCACCATGCCTGGCCTAAAATGCACTTTTGAGTAAATTATTCCTCCTTGAAAGTGGTCCTAACAAGAGATACAGAGGCCATGAGGCTGAGGTCCCCTGGGAAAGGATCTCTTAATTTTATAAACTGTGTTTTAGGGCAAAACATATTGGCATTTGGTCTGTGAAATCTAGGCTAAGCATTGATGAGGAGATTTTTAGAATGCTCGCATAAGCAACCTAAGGGCCTGCCTGTCCTTGCCTGCGGCTTTATTTATGTCTTTCTTTTCTGAGAGAAGGTGGGATTTGACATCTGAAGGAACATTTTCCCACTGATTTCTCATGCTAGCCTGGGGCCTCCCAGAACCAGGAGGGTGAGCCTTCACATGGCTCTGGATTTGGGGAGGGCCAGCAGGCACATGATTATGCAGACAGAGCTTTCTGCACTTTCCCTTCCTCCACTTGGCAGCACAAGGACAAAGTGCTGAAGATAAAAGGCTTCCATTAATACCAAACCACTGGAAGTCAAAGAGATTTTTTTAGCTATGGTTAGGTCACAGCCACAATTTCTCTTTTCCTTCCTTCCTTTCTTTTTTCTTTCAAGCATGTTTGTGAATCAAAGTCAGGATTTTGACTCCCCTGGGCTATTTTCCAGTCCATACTCTAGGAGTGCAGCAAAGATTCAGACGCAGTTTTAATGGTTTCCAAGGATGAGGAGAAGCAAAGGTGTTCATCCCTGGCAGCTTCTTTTCCAGCTTCCAGGGAAGGGAGGGACATAAAGAAGTAAGAGAAACTCTCCAATGCACCATCATTGTTCCATACTTCATAGACATTTACTTTCTTCATTCATCATTTTATTTTTATTTTTTTGGGGGGATGGAGTTTCACTCTTGTTGCCCAGGCTGGAATGCAACGGTGCAATCTCTGCTCACTGCAACCTCCACCTCCTGTGTTCAAGTGATTCTCCTGCCTCAGCCTCCTGAGTAGCTGGGATTACAGGCACCCGCCACCATGCCAGGCTAATTTTTGTATTTTCAGTAGAGACAGGGTTTCACCATGTTGACCAGGCCAGTCTCAAACTCCTGGCCTGGTGATCCGCCCGCCTCGGACTCCCAAAGTGCTGGGATTACAGGCATGAGCCACCGCGCCCGGCCCATTCATCATTTAAGGAGCTATCTCCACTGCGCATGAGGGACTCACCCAACTCTTTTTTTTTTTTTGAGACAGAATCTCACTCTGTTGCCTAGGCTGGAGTGCAGTGGCTGCGATCTCTGCTCACTGCAACCTCCGCCTCCCACGTTCAAGCAATTCTCCTACCTCAGCCTTCCAAGTAGCTGGCATTACAGGCACACACCACCGTGCCCAGCTAATTTTTGTATTTTTAGTAGAGACAGGGGTTTCACCATGTTGGCCAGGCCGGTCTCGAACTCCTGACCTCAGGTGATCCGCCTGCCTCAGCCTCCCAAAGTATTGGGATTACAGGCATGAGCCACCACGCTGGCCCCAGACTCACCCACTCTTAACACGTGGAGCTCATCAGCACTGGTCCGCTTCCTTCACTAATATACTCTCTGTTCACAGTCTCCTTCCTTGTTTGTTTATGACTTCAGAAACGATTTATTGAGCATGTCTTTTTTTTTTTTTTTGAGACAGTTTTCACTTGTTGCTCAGGCTGGAGTGCGGTGGTGCGATCTCAGCTCACTGCAACCTCTGTCCCCCTGGGTTCAAGCGACTCTCATGCCTCAGCCTCCAGAGTAGCTGGGACTACAGGCGCCTGCCACCACACCAGGCTAATTTTGTATTTTTTAGTAGAAACAGGGTTTCACCATGTTGGGCAGAGTGGTCTTCAACTCCTGACCTCAGGGAAATCCTACTGCGTTGGCCTCCCAAAGTGCTGGGATTACAGGCATGAGCCACTGCGCCCGGCCCTGAGCATGTCCTCTTATACTGAATGAGGTGCAGGAGATGGGATGATGCAGAAGAGGAAATAGATCCTGCTCTTGATTGAGGGTGATGCATAAGACCACACAGATCCTGCTCTTGGAGGTTTACCGTCTACCGGAGGAGGCAGACATGGGTAAATAATTGGTATGCTGAAAAGTTTTGGATAGAGAGATGGGGCAACGTTAGAATGATGGCTGGGGAGGGCTCCTTTGAGGAAGTAATACAAGTACTCCAACCTGAATGACAAGGAATGAACCCTGTGAATTGGAAGAAGAGTATTTCAGACAGAGGGAGACAGAAGTCCTAAGGCCTGGAGCCAAGAATGAGCTTAAAGTGCTCCAGAATCAGAAAGAAAATCTGTGTGGCTGGAAGGCTGTGATCAAAGAACAGAATGAAAGGAGATGAGGCCAAAGAGATAAATAAAAATAAGCAGGCTGCATATTTCAGGGATGTTGTAGGCCCTAATGAGGAGTTTTCATTTTAGTGTCATGGGAAGACATTGATGAGTTGCAACCAGGGAACTAACATGATTGATTACTTTTTTTTGGAGTGGTAACTTTTCCCATATACCCTTTACTCAAATTCACCAACTGTTTACATTTTACCCTCATTCCTTTCATAATTATCTCTTTCTCACATGCACACACACCACACACATTTTATATACACAGTTTTTTCTCAATCATTTGAGAGTAAATTGCAGATGATTGTGTCCTCTCACTCCTAAATACACTTCACGTATGTCCTAAAAACAAGGATATTCTCTTAGATTGTCAAAATCGGAAAATTTAACATGGGAACAGCAGTACTATTATCTTATCTGTAGGTCATGTTCAAATTTTAATTATCCTAGTAATGTTCCTTATAACTACTTGTGTCCTAGTCCCAGATCCACTTCAGGACAAACACTATATTATTTCTTTTTTTTTCTTTTTCTTTTTTTTTTGAGACAGAGTCTCACTCTGTCACCAGGCTGGAGTACAGTGGCACGATCTCGGCTCATTGCAACCTCTGCCTCCCGGGTTCAAGTGATTCTCCTGCCTCAGCCTCCTGAGTAGCTGGGACCACAGGTGCGTGCCATCACGCCAGGCTAATTTTTGTATTTTTAGTAGAGTTGGGGTTTCACCATGTTGGTCAGGATGGCCTCGATCTCCTGACCTCATGATCCTCCCTCCTCGGACTACCAAAGTGCTGGGATTACAGTCATGAGTCACTGCACCAGGCCACTGTATTTCATTATTATCTCTTTAGTCACTTTTAATCTAGACCAGTTCCTCTGTCTTTCTTTGTCTTCCCAACTTTGACCTTTTCCTCAACCCCTTTTTGAGACAGGGTCTCTCTCTGTTGCCCAGGCTAGAGTGCAGTGGGATGATCATGGCTCACTGCAACCTCAACCTCTTGGGCTCAGACTCCTGAGTAGCTGGAATCACAGGCATGTGCTACCATGCCTTGCTGATTTTTAAATTTTTTTTTGTAGATATTAGGTCTCACTGTCTTGCCCAGGCTGCTCTCAAACTCCTGGCCTCAAGTGATCTTCCCACCTGAGCCTCCTAAAGTGCTGGAATTCCAGAGGTGAGCCACCACCCCCAGCCAACCTTGACATTTTTAGAATGCAGTCATTCTGTAGAATGGTCTTCCATTTTGGTTTGTCTGATGTTTCCTCGTGATTCTAACCAGATATGCATTTTTGTCAGGAAAACCACAAAACTGATGTTGTGTTCTCTTCAGTGCATCATGAGGAGGCACATGATGTTGGCTGGTACCAGAGACTCATACATAAAAAGATAATTTGAGGCTGGGCACAATGGCTTATGCCTGTAATCCCAGCACTTTGGGAGGCTGAGGCGGGTGGATCACCTGAGGTCAGAAGTTTGAGACCAGCCTGCCCAATGTGGTGAAACCCCGTCTCTACTAAAAATACAAAAATTAGCCAGGCATGGTAGTGAGCACCTGTAGCCCCAGCTACTTGGGAGGCTGAGGCAGAAGAATCTCTTGACTCTGGGAGGTGGAGGTTTCAGTGAGCTGAGATCGCACCACTGCACTTCAGCCTGGGTGACAGAGCAAGACTCCATCTCAAAAGAAAAAAAAAAAGGTAATTTTAATGTAAGTGAGGAACGGATTGCAGGGTAATAAGAATTGAAGCAGAGGGATCAAGAAGGAAGAAGCCATTTCAGTGGTCCAGGAGAGAGATGATCGTAGTTTATAACAGGTTGGTAGCAGTGGAGATGGTAGAAGGTGATCAGATTCAGTGTATATTTACAGCAGAGCTGCTCAGTTATTCCCACTTCCCTAGTTCTCTGCTCTCTAGTCCATGGACCCATTCGTGCTCTCTCTTTTTGGCCCTCTCTTGTCTTTTCCCCCTCTGCACCAACTTATATTCCATGGCCCCTGACTTCACCCACTCTCTTGCCAATATCCTATACTCCTTTGCCCCTCTGTCTTTTCATTGCATCTGCCTGGCAAGCCCTGGGCCTGGATGACTCCAGCTTTTTGCTTTCTAGCTACCCACGCTTGGGCTGTTGAATGCTGCTGGATAAAAACCCACACCTGGGCAGACCAGCGCCCCTCCAAATTCACAGACACAACCCTTCACAGTGGCTATTTTCAAGCCTTCTCCTCAGGTCCCCAATGCCTCATGTACCCTCTTACTTTCAGCAGATGATCTCACTCCTTTCCGGAAAAGACAGAATCCAACTCCCACTAACAAATGGCAAACCCATCCAAATCCGTAACCCTCATTTTCTTCAGGCATGTTATAAGAGAGTTTTCTTCTCCTTCCTAAATCTAAATGCTGCTCCTGAGCCCTAGATTCTCTTCTCTCATATCTTCTTAGGGACCTCACACCATGCATAAGGTTCTACTATGGGTAAGACTGTGTCAGTCTCACCTTCTTAACTGGCTCCTTCCCATTAGACATGAGCATGCTCAAACCTCTCCCATTTTGTAAAGCAAAACCATCGACAAAAAACATTATCTAGGGGGCACCTATGGTCGCAGTTACATGGGAAGCTGAGGCAGGAGGATCACTTAAGCCAGGAGTTCGAGGCTGTAGTGAGCTATGATAGCACCACTGTTCTCCTGTCTGGGCAACAGAGCAAGACCCCAACTCAAATTAAAACACACACACACACACACACACACACACACACACACAACACAAAAAAACTCTGCCTGAATCCCATTTTCCTTTCCAACTGGTGATCTCACTCTTCTTCTTCTCTGGCAGTTTCTCCACCTCCAAGACTACTTTCCTTCCATCTAGATTGCTCACCCTTTTTCTTTTCTTTTCTTTTTTATTGAGACAGGGTCTCACTCTGTCACCCAGGCTGGAGTGCAGTGGTGTGATCTTGGCTCACTGTAGCCTTGACCTCCTGGGTTTAAGGGATCCTCCCACTTCAGTCTCTCGAGTAGCTGAGACCACAGGTACATACCACCCTGCCCAGCTAATTTTTAAAAAATTTTTTTGTAGTGATGGGTGTTTCACTGTGTTGCCCAGGCTAGTCTCAAACTCCTGAGCTCACACAATCTGTGCGCCCTGGCCTCCCAAAGTGCTGAGATTACAGGCATGAGCCACCGTGCCCAGCTGATTCTTCACCTTCTATTAATATTACCTACCCCGTCAATAGGCAAAGGCCTATTTTCTTCAAGTCTAAACTTAAAAGTAATTTCCTCAAGGAGACATTCCCTGACCTCTGAGTTGGAAAGTCTCTTTGCTAGGTATTTGTGTAGACTCATATACTTTCCCAACATGTCATTCCTTACACTTTGTAAATTACTCAAATACCATCTGCTTTCTCCCCTTTACGCCATGAAAACAAGGACTCTGGTTTTCCTGTTCACCACTACATCTCCAGCATCTGACACAGTGTCTGGGAGACAGAATCAGTAAATAATTTTAAATAATTGCTGAGTGAGTGTAAAATTTTCAGTCATTTGGAAGCTTGCAAGGGTAATAGGTTGTTGAAGTGAATACTATATAATAACAGTGTTTTTTTGGAATCCAAAGGTTTCTGTTAACTGTGCATATGGATGGCTAAATTAGGAGATGAGCAGCAGGTGAAGAACTTGCCCCGACAGTATTGGACACTCGGAAATTGGGAAACTGGCAAATTTCTGGCCTTATTCTTCAGGGTAGCTAACTCCCTACTCAGAGCCTCTTCAACAGTCCAAACTGGCTCACTCTATTGTAAATGTCTGTTTCAGGCCTTCGTTCAAATGCAGAAGCTTTGGGGGCACAGTTTGGACTAGGAGTTTTACTCCCTTTGGACTGGGTTCATTCCCAGGCCCCTACCTTCCACAAGACTATGATGGATCATCCTCCTGGGTCACCTCCTTTTCTCTCTGACCCTGGTTCTTACTGTGGAGTCGTGGTTATAGGCAGCAAAGACTGAATGCCTTAAGTACTAGGACTCTGAAGTTGCATGGTCGTGGTTCCAATCCCAGCTCTTGCACTTTCTAGCTAAGTGACCTTAGACAAAGTAGCTAACCTTGCTAAGCCTCTCTGTCCTCTTGTTTTGCACATGCCTCAATTTACAGTGGTGTTGTGAGGAATAAAAGAAAGAACGAGCACTCTTAGCACTATGCCTAGTACACACCAAGTACTCAATAAATGTTACCTGTTATCATCAGTATAGCAGAATGAGAGTGGCTCTGTCATCTGGGAGCACCTTCTCCCTCCACAGTTTCCTCAGACTGTAAGGAGAAGTGGCACCAATGTTAGTTGAGACTAATTACCCACTTCCAAATAACCCTTCCTTAGATTCTAAATTACAAGGTATATTCACCATCATTATATCTGGACACCTCTGTAACCAACTCATTTCGGAGCTAGGCTGTACCCCTTTTATTTCTGGAGGCCTCTAGAATTCAACCCTCAAACATAGACACCTGACTTCAAAATGACTAAACATGACTTCACACCTGTTTTTATTGGTTTCCCTGAAAATGACAACTTTCAGGTGTCCAGCGGGTAGTACAATATTAGCTGACAGAGACACTGGGCACCCTGCATTGGGGAGCCCAGTTTTTAGTTATGCAAATGTAGACTCTTGAAATAAACATGTTTCATATTTTTTCTTTTTTTGAGACAGGGTATCGATCTGTTGCCCAGGTTGGAGTGCAGTGGCACAATCATGGCTCTCTGCAGCCTCAGCCTCCTGGGCTCAACTGATCCTCCTGCCTCAGTCTCCGAAGTAGCTGGGTACACAGGCACACACCACCATGCCCTGCTGATTTTTTAATTTTTTGTAGACATGGGGTCTCACTATGTTGTTCAGGCTGGTCTTTAACTCCTGGGCTCAAGCAATCCTCCCACCTTGGCCTCCCAAAGTACTGGGGTTATAGGCATGAGCCACTGCACACAGCCTGTTTTATATTTTCTTAAGTGCTAGACTTCAGTCTTAGAAAGAATGGGTCAGAGTGTGACTAGTATGATTTCTGGAAGAGAAGAGCTAACAAGGAGACTTAGTGATCCGTGGGATGGTGGTGAGGGAGACAGAGGGTCATGAACTCCTAGGTTTTGAAGTGAACAGTAGGTGACAGTGAAACAGGTTTAGGGAAGACGGAAAATTTTATTTTTTTGGCACATAGTGTGTTTGAGTTGTCCGTGGGACATAAAAGTGACAATACTGTGTATACAAATGTTTTATATATGGACCGGGCATGGTGGCTCGTTCCTGTAATCTCAGCACTTTGGGTGGCCGAGGTGAGTGGACCACCTGAGGTCAGGAGTTCCAGACCAGCCTGGCCAACATGGTGAAACCCCATCTCTACTAAAAATACAAAAACTAGCCAGGCATGGTGGTGTGCACCTGTAATCCCAGCTACTCAGGAGGCTGAGGCAGGAGAATCGCTAGAACCTGGGAGGCAGAGGCTGCAGTGAGCCAAGATTGCGCCATTGCACTCCAGCCTGGGCGACAGGGTGATACTCCATCTCAAATAATAATAATAATAATAATAATAATAATAATAATAATAATAATAATAATAATGTTTTATATATGGTCATAGAAGAAAATTCTGGAAGGACATACACCAAATTTTTAATAGTAATTATCTCTGAGTGGTAGAATTATGGGTGATTTTAATTATCTTTTAATATAAATATTTGCTATGACTAAAATGTATTGGCTGGGCATGGTGGTTCAAGCCTGTATTCTCAGGGCTTTAGGAGGCTGAGGCAGGAGGATTGCTTGAGGCCAGGAGTTCGAGACCAGTCTGAGTAACTCAGCACTGTATCCTGGGCAATACAGCAAGACCCCTGTCTCAAAAACAAAAAACAAACATACAGGCCGGGTGCAGTGGCTCACACCTGTAAATTGCAGCACTTTGGGAGGTCAAGGTGGGCGGACTGCCTGAGCCCAGGAGTTCAAGACCAGTCTTGGCAACATAGTGAAAACTCGTCTCTACTGAAAATACAAAAAATTAGCTGGGCATGGTGGCAAGTGCCTGTAGTCCCAGCTACTTGGGAGGCTGAGGTGGGAGGATCAATTGAGCCTGGGAAGTCATGGCTGCAGTGAGCCATGATCACACCACTGCACTCTAGCCTGGGTGACAGAGTGAGACCCTGTCTCAAAAACAAACAGACAAAAAAACACCAAAAAGGCTGTGTGCGGTGGTTCATGCCTGTAAATCCCAGCACTTTGGGAGGCTGAGGTGGGTGGATCACTTGAGGTCAGGAGTTTGAGACCAGCCTGGCCAACACAGTGAAACCTCGTCTCTACTAAAAATACAAAAAAATTATCCAGGTGTGGTGGTGTGCACCTGTAATCCCAGCTACTTTGGAGGCTGAGGCAGGAGAATCGCTTGAACCCAGGAGGCAGAGGTTGCAGTGAGCCAAGATTGCACCATTGCACTCCAGCCTGGCAGACAGAGCGAGACTCCATTTCAAAAAAAAACAAAAAACAAACAAAAAAAACCCACCAAAAAACCAATAAACAAAAATATATTATTTGTCTATAAAGGAGGCATGGGTGATTATCCTGAGGCACCCCTGTGTTGCTCATAGCATCTCTCCTAAATTGCTTGCCCTCACCCATATCCCACTTTGCTTCCTGTCCATTCAAGATTTTCCTGGATTCTGACCTCAGGACGTTTTTTTTTTTTTCCCCACTTAGCGACTCTCTTAATCCTCACATCAGACTTGGCCTTGCCTTTTGCCTCTCTTCTAGCACTATCTGGACACTCCCTCTGGCCATGGTGCTGCTGGTGACCCTGAATAATAAGGGAAAGATGCTGGGATACACAGAAAGGTACTCTTCCATCCGGAGTATTATTTCACTGTGTGCAAATTTGTAGGATTTTGGAGAGAAGGGTCATAAATACAAATTAAAGGATTGGAAAAATATGGCAGACTTATGAAGTATACGAAAGGATAAGGCTTATTTAAGATTAAGCTTTCAATTATTTAATTACTTCCTTGAGAGGCCTATAAAATGAGTTAAATAGCCGGGGTGCAGTGGCTCACGCCTGTAACCCCAGCACTTTGGGAGGCCATGGCGGGTAGATTGTGAGGTCAGGAGTTCCAGACCAGCCTGACCAACATGGTGAAACCCCATCTCTACTAAAAATACAAAAAGTTAGCCGGGTGTGGTGGCGGGTGCCTGTAATCCCAGCTACTCAGAAGGCTGAGGCAGAAGAACTGCTTGAACCCAGCGGGTGGAGGTTGCAGTGAGCCGAGATCATGCCATTGCACTCCGGCCTGGGCGACAGAGTATGCCTCCATCTCAAAAAAAAAAAAAAAAAAAAAGAGTTAAATAACCAGCTCTTCTCTACCTGCACTGAGGGAAGACCAAAAGTAAATGGGCTAAAGTTGCAAAAGAAGGGATTCTGCTTAGGTTAGTGACTTTTAAACTTTTGGTTATAGAACCCTTGAAACAAAATTTGAAAGGACAATATATAAAACAGAAAAAAAGGGTACTGGAAGACTGGCATTCCCTAGCCCAGCGAGCTGTCTCCTCAGAGGGCTTCCCAAAACACAGTTTGAAAACCAGTTGTTGGCCAGGCATGGTGGTGCATGCCTGTAATCCCAGAATTTTGGAAGGCTGAGGCAGCGGATCACCTGAGTTCAGGAGTTCGAGATGAGCCTGGCCAACATGGTGAAACCCAATCTCTACTAAAAATACAAACAAAATTGGTCAGGTGTGGTGGTGCACGCCTGTAATCCCAGCTACTAGGGAGGATGAGGCAGGAGAATTACTTGAACCTGGGAAGCAGAGGTTGCAGTGAGCTGAGATCGTGCCACTGCACTCCAGCCTTGGTGACAAAGCAAGACTCCGTCTCAGAAAAAAAAAAAAAAAAAGAAAACCAGTTGTTAAGATCAGGGGCCAACAAACTATATAAAGCCTGCTACCTGTTTTTATACTGCCTATGAACTAAGAATGGTTTTTCTATTTATATATGGATGGGGGAAAAAAGAATAATATTGCATGACATGGGAAAATAAAATGAAATTCAACTTTCAGTGTCCATAAAGAAAGTTTTATTGGAAGACAGCCACACGCGTTTGTTTGGTATTTTGGCTTTTGCACCACAATGGAAGAGTTAAGCAGTCACGACAGAGATCATATAGTCAGTGAAGACTAAAATATTAATTAACTGGTCCTTTGCAAAAAAGTTTGCCAACCTCTGGTGTAGATGAAAGAAAAAATTTTATGATAGTGATTTTTAACACTGAGATTCGTGATCAACAGAGTTTAGATGAGTTCTCCTTTTGGAAGGCACTAACAAAGGCTAGGTTGTGGTTTAAATGAGGTCCTGTCTGTATGGAGGAGAAGTGATTGGCCTTATCCTTCAGGATCCCTGAAAGTTGCTCCCTCCCAACCCTGGAGGCTGTGGTTTTACCCGTGGGCTCCAGCTAGTCGCCTGCAGACGGCTAAAGGGAAAAGGAAGAAGGCAATTACCTGGCAGTGCACCAAATTTTTTCCCCTGGTTTGGAGCCAGAAATTCCTGGCAGATAAAGAAAGGATTTCCTCCAGAATAACACAATTGCGGTAACACTCTGGCCAGCCAGTCCCTAGATTTCACAGGGTGGGAAAACATCTGTGATTTGGGAAGAAGTAAGAAAACTCAATTCCAAGAACTGACAAGAGATTGAGGAAAGCTCTAAGGAAGACTATAAAAAAGAGACAAATCGTCTAGAACAAGGAGAGAAGGAATAGCAAAATCTTAAAATTTGTGCTTTCTTTCAAATCATTACAGTTCATTTAAGATCAAACCAGATCACTGGCATTAACTTAAGCCTACTGTAATACAACACTTTGGTCTCCAATCTACCATTTCACAACATTACATTTCTCTAATAGAGAGTAAACAGGTGGAAGCTGGAATAATTCTGTCCCTATAACTCTACTGTGATTCTAGTTCTTCTGCTATAAAATGATAGTTTAATACTTTCAAAACCATGCGGTGATTTCTTAGCCTGAAGTAGAAAGAATAGTAATTGGGGCTAAGGGAGAGCTATGTACAGGGAACTGATGAATCTCAAATAATCTGTTCATTTATACTTTACACTTTCTACTTTGTTCCCTACTGGAAAAGCCTTGGGGATTACAGTGGTGAAGCCACAAAACTATATATATACCTCATGATTTCTTCGAGGAAAAAAACAAACAACAAAACAAATAACTGGTATCCTAGCTTTAGATAAAATGTATTTGGTAGTTTTTGCCTATAGCTTCATTTATTTTACATTTTTAAAGCATGAAAATAATACATGTGAAAATAACACAGGCACTTTTTTTTTTTTGAGACGGAGTTTTGCTCTTGTTGCTCAGGCTGGAGTGCAATGGCACAATCTTGGCTCACCCCAACCTCCACCTCCCGGGTTCAAGAGATTCTCCTGCTTCAGCGTCCTGAGTAGCTGGGACTACAGGCATGCACCACCACGCCCAGCTAATTTTGTATTTTTTAGTAGAGATGGGGTTTCTCCATGTTGGTCAGGCTGGTCTCGAACTCCCAACCAAAAGTGATCCGCCCGCCTCAGCCTTCCAAAGTGCTGGGATTACAGGTGTGAGCCACCGTGCCCGGCCAGGTACATGGTTTTTAAAAAATGAAACAGGTCGGGCATGATAGTTCATGCCTGTAATCCCAGCACTTTGGGAGGTCAACACAGGTGTATTGCTTGAGCTCAGGAGTTTGAGACCAGCCTGGGTAACATGGTGAAACTGTCTCTACAAAAAATAGAAAAATTAGCCAGGCTTGGTGGTTTCTGCCTGTAGTCCCAGCTACCAGGGAGTCTGAGGTGGGAGGCTCACTTGAGCCCGGGAAGCAGAGGTGAGCTCGTGCCACACACTCCAGCCTGGGTAACAGTGCCAGACCCTGTCTCAAAAGGAAAAAAATATATAAAAATGTAACAATACAGAAAGAAATGAAAAGCAAACATCTTCACATCTTCCTCCCCATTCTCTGATCCCCAAATCTCTAATCCCTTGCCCCAAAGGTGGGAACTTGTTAATAGCTTTTGTCTGTTTGTTTTGTTTTAAGACAGGGCAACTCCTGTTGCCCAGACTGGAGTGCAGTGGTGCGATCACGGCTCATTGCAGCCTCGACTTCTGAAGCTCAAGTGATCCTCCCACCTCAACCTCCCGAGTAGCTGGGACTACAGGAGTGAGCCATCATGCCCAGCTAATTTTCTGCATTTTTAGTAGAGACAGTGTTTCACCATTTTGGCCAGGCTGGTCTTGAACTCCTGGGCTAAAGTACTCTGTCTGCCTTGGCCTCCCAAAGTCCTGAGGTTATAGGTGTGAACCAGCCTGATAGCTTCTTGTATATGGAACAAGAAGGGGAAGAAAAAAAGAAAAACATACATATCCTTTCAAAAATTTTACACAGATGGTTTCACACTGTTCTGCATTTTGCTTTTCCCACTAAATAGTCTATCCAGGAAATATTTTTGCATTTTAATTGCTGAATTTTTTGGAAATAGAATTATTTACTAGCCCCATTTATCAGATTTATATATACATACATACATATATATATATATACAATAGTATAAAGAACATTCTTGTACCTATATCTTAGTGACTTTTATGACTAGATTCCTATACTAAACTAGCAGTATAATCGCCTGGTTAGCATTTTTACTCTAGCTATTAGCAAAATATCCTTCCAAAAGCTTCCACAAATTTATACTCTCACCTACAATGTATGTCTGTTTCCCTACACTCTGGCCAACACTGGGTATTATTATTACTTAATTTTGGTAATTTGGTAAAGTTGTTCTTATGTTTATTGATGATCTGTATACCTTTTTTCCTTTCTATTTCAGAGACAGACTTGCTCTGTCGTCCAAGCTGGAGTACAGTGGCGCTATCATAGCTCACTGTAGCCTCAATCTCCTGGACTCAAGGGGGTCCTCCTGCCTTAGCCTCCTGAGTAGCTGGGACTACAGGTGTGTTCCACCACACCTGGCCTGTATACCTTTTCTTCTTCTTCTTTTTTTTTTTGAGACGGAGTTTTGCTCTTATTGCCCAGGCTAGAGTGCAGTGGCTCAACCTCGGCTCACTGTAACCTCTGCCTCCCGGGTTCAGGCGATTCTCCTGCCTCAGCCTCCCAAGTAGCTGGGATTACAGGCGTCTGCCACCACATCCAGCTAATTTTTTGTATTTTTAGTAGAGACGGGGTTTCACCATGTTGGCCAGGCTGGTCTTGAACTCCTGACCTCAGGTGATCCACCCACCTCAGCCTCCCAAAGTGCTGGGATTACAGGCATGAGCCACTGTGCTCAGCCCTACCTTTTCTTCTTGAGCTGCCTGCTATTTGTAATTTTCATTTTTTCTTATTACCTTGTTTAATCCCTTTACATACTAAAGAAAGTATCTGTTATATTTTGACTATTTTACAGTATTTTTGCCATACAAGAGTAATGTGGTCAATTTTATCAATTTATTTTTATTTTCTGAATTTCATGTTATATTTTAGAAAGAACTTACTCATCCCATAATTATAAATTGATCTCTCTCTTTTAAGGCCTAAACAGTTTAATTCTTTGTTTATTAAAGTAGATTTGTTCTTTTTGCTTTGTTTAGTTTGGTTTTAGGTTTTTGTTTTGCTATGTTAATTCCAAAGGTCAAAAAAACAATGAAAAAGAAAAATATTTTTGACTGTATCACAGGAAGATATATTTGATTCAGCAATGAATTCAATTGTTTAAAACTATGTGGGCCAACATTTTGTGCAGCAAATAAAATATTTTTACACCCAAATGTGGACCAAAGGCAGACAGTTTACAATCTCTGATCTATGAGCTCAAGAATACTAATTTCCCTCCTCACTTTTGAAAATGTGACTGTTGAAAACATTTCCTCAGGCTGGGCGCAATGGCTCATGCCTGTAATCCCCACCCTTTGAGAGGATCGCTTGAACCCAGGAGTTTGAGACTAGCTTGGGCCACATAGGGAGATCCCATCTCCACAAAAAAATATAAAAATTAGCTGGGCGTGGTGCTGCACACCTGTGGTCCCAGCTACTGGGGAGGCTGAGGTGGGAGGATCATTTGAGACTGGGAGGTTGAGACTAAAGCGAGTCGAGATCGCGCCACTGTACTCCAGCCTGAGAAACAGAAGGAGAGACCCTGTCTCAAAAAAAAAAAGGCCAGGCGCAGTGGCTCACACACACCTGTAATCCCGGCACTTTGGGAGGCCAAGGTGGGTGAATTGCTTGAGCCCAGAAGTTTGAGACCAGCCTGGGCAACATGGCAAAATTCCATCTCAACAAAAAATACAAAAATTAGCTGGGCATGGTGGCGTGTGCATGTAGTCCCAGCAACTAGGGAGTCTGAGGTAGGAGGGTCACTTGAGCCAGGGGAAATTGAGGCTGCAGTGAGCCATGATTGTGCCACTGCACTCCAGCAAAAAAAAACACAAACAAACCAAACAAAACAAAACAACTTTTTTTTTCCTCTAAGATTTTCTTTTTTTTTCTTTCTTTTTTTTTTTTTGAGACGGAGTCTTGCTCTGTCGCCCAGGCTGGAGTGCAGTGGCGTGATCTCGGCTCACTGCAAGCTCTGCCTCCTGAGTTCATGCCATTCTCCTGCCTCAGCCTCCCGAGTAGCTGGGATTACAGGTGCCCGCCACCATGCCCAGCTAATTTTTTGTATTTTTAGTAGAGACGAGGTTTCACCATGTTAGCCAGGATGGTCTCGATCTCCTGACCTCGTAATCCACCTGCCTTGGCCTCCCAAAGTGCTGGGATTACAGGCGTGAGCCACCACACCCCACCTAAGATTTTCATTTTAGAGGAAACAAAGCAAAATGTCTATTAGGTTGTACCACATGGAATGATTTTTATAGGTCAAAACCAGTCAAATATTGGCAGTTTCATGTGGTTCAACCTAATATAATTGCCTAAACGTTACAAAAGTTTATTCTTTGTCTATGAAGTCCAAAACAGATGTTCTTCATCTGTCGGTAGCTGTCCTTAACAGTACTGGTGATTCAGCATCCCAGGTTTCTTCTATCTTGTAACTTCTCTATCTTTAACAAATGACTTCCAAGGTCATGATATCTGCCACACTGAGACAGAATGGGGGATAAGGCATTGAGGAGTGTACTGGGGGAGTTTTATGGAACAGGCCCCCTAGTGATGTAATCGCTGCCACCCACAACCCTTTCGTTGGATAGAGCTCATCCCATGGCCATACCTAACTGCAAGAAAGGCTGAGGAATATTCTAGCTAGCTGTGTGCACAAAATTAAGAGAAAATGAGGCTGGTACATTCTTGCATCTTATTTTTTTATGTAGAATAAATTTCGAGGAATAATAATACAATATATTTGATCAGTTTACAAGGAATTTGTGTTTTTGAGTCAGAGTCTCACTCTGTTGCCCAGGCTGGAGTGCAGTGGCGCCATCTCGGCTCACTGCAACCCCTGCCTCCCAGGTTCAAGCGATTCTCCTGCCTCAGCCTCTTGAGTAGCTGGGATTACAGGGCTGTGCCACCACACCTGGCTGATTTTTGTATTTTTAGTAGAGACAGAGTTTCACCATGTTGGCCAGGCTGGTTTTGAACTCCTGACCTCAAGTGATCCACTCGCCTCGGCCTCGTAGAGTGCTGGGATTACAGGCATGAGCCACTGCGCTTGGCCTGTGCATTTTTTAAATCTGAGTTTCTAAGAGCTCTACAAGATAAACAAAAAATTATTACCATTTTATAGCTGCAGAAACTGAGACCGAAAAGGCAAGGTTGACTTGTCTAAGGACATGAACTAGTAAGTAGTGAAATCAGCTTATAACAGCAAGCATATTTTAAATAGTGCCATTTGGCTTATGCAGCACTTTCACGTATATTTTCTCTGACCAGTAGTGCAGGGCTCTTCCCATCCTGACAGTCGGCTTGTGGCCTCTCCATCATGCCCAGCTGGTTATTAGCATGTTGCTGGCCCAGCAGATTTTAGGCTACAAATAGATGTATTTGTTGTCTGACTGATTCTTTTCCTGGAGTCAGGCACATTTACCCTTGCTAGAAACCAAGCCCTCCCTGCTTCCTGGCTCAGGTTAAGAGGCAGTTTTATGAGGCCCTGAGAAGGCACATGGCTACCTCCTTACACTTGTGTGGCACAGAAGAGCTCTCCAGGTGAGTACTAAATTGCCAAAGCTTAAAGGATGTGGAAGGGCAATTTTGGGGTGGGGAGACGGGGTTACAAGGGGATGCAGCTGTAGTCCCAACTCTATTACCTGCCAAGGGGTGGGGCTTTGCTGCTTTTTTGTTTTTTGTTTTCCAGAGACAGGGTTTTGCTAGGTTGCCCAGGCTAGACCCGAACCCCTGGGCGTAAGTGACCCTCCTACCTCACCCTCCTGAGCAGCTGAAACTATAGGCAAGTACCACGCCACTCAGCTCTTTCGGCTGTTTTCTATTTTCTTCAAATGTGTAGTATTTGGTGGTTAGTAGAGAAAGGGAGAGGAATGATTTCTGTTTCATAAACTCAAATTCAACTTCACAGCTTCTGTGTTCCTAATTTCCATAATTCTCATCTTCTATGGCAATCTCTAACTGCTGCTTCCCCACATTCCCCCCTCCTCAGTCATTTATTTAAATGAGAACATGCCTTCTTCATCAGGAGCGTTTGAGGTCTGAGGTTCACTTTGTGAATTCTCTGAGGTCATCAGCTACTGCATCTTTTTCTTTTGAGCTTTCCCTGCTCACAAGTGCCTGGCCCATAGTGGGTGTCCCAAATACTTGCTGGCAAGAACTTTGCAAGGATCTTGGAAGTTTTCAGAGAGAAAGAACTCAGAATTAAAGCAAAATAAATAGCATGTTTCTGCTTTAAAAAATAAGACTTTATGATCATTTCAAGCATTCAGGAATAAAAAGGGAGAAAATAGTATGATGATCATTCATATACCCCCACAACATATTTCAACAACTATTAACATTTTGCTGTATTTGCTTCATCTATTTATATTCATAATCTCTGCCGAAGCACTGCAAAACAAATTATAGACATCAGGATACTTCCTCCCAGCAGCTTGCATCTTTAAAAACTAAGGACAGACCGGGCGCGGTGGCTCATGCCTGTAATCCCAGCACTTTGGGAGGCCACGGTGGGTGGATTACCTGAGGTCGGAAGTTCAAGACCAGCCTGACCAACATGGAGAAACCCCGTCTCTACTAAAAAATACAAAATTAACTGGGCATGATGGTGGGCACCTGTAGTTCCAGCTACTCAGGAGGCTGAGGCAGGAGAATCGCTTGAAGCCGGGAGACGAAGGTTGTGGAGAGCTGAGATGGCGTCATTGCACTCCAGCCTGGGTAACAAAAGTGAAACTCCATCTCAAACAAAACAAAACAAAACAAAACCTAAGGACAGCCGCCGCAGTGGCTCACGCCTGTAATCCCAGCACTTTGGGAGGCCGAGGAGGGCGGATCACGAGGTCAGGAGTTTGAGACCAGCCTGACCAACATGGTGAAAACCCATCACTAGTAAAAATACAAAAATTAGGGCATGGTGGCGCACACCTGTAATCCCAGCTACTCAGGAGGCTGAGGTTGCAGTGAGCCAAGGTCGCACCACTGCACTCTAGCCTGGGCGACAGAGTGAGACTCCATCTCAAAAAAAAAAACAAAAAGAAAACTAAGGACATTATCCTACATGACCCTAGCAGCCTAATCACATCTAAAGGTAATTATAGTTCACTAAAGTCATGTAATATCCAGTTTATATTAGAACTTCCCTAACTGTTCCCAGAACATCTTTTATGTCTTTCATGTTTTGAAATCAGGTTTGAAATCAAGGTTTATACATCGCATTTGACCCTTTAAGTTCCTTTTAATCCAAAACAGTGGTCAGAAAATTTTTCCAGTAAAGGACTAGATAGTAAATATTTCAGGCTTTGCAGGCCATTGTCCTTTTTAACACATAATTGTGCTGTTGGAGCATATAGCCATAAACAGTACGGACACAGACAGAGCTTAAAGGAATGGGCATGGCTGTGTTCCAATAAAACTTTACTTGCAAAAACAGGCTATGGGCTGGATTTGAACCTCAGGCTGTCCTTTGCCCACCTCTGATCTAAACAGCCCCTCTTCCTCATACCCATGTTTAAGAATAATTTTTTTAAGAATTATATATATATTTTATATATTTTTTGAGACGGAGTCTCGCTCTGTCGCCCAGGCTGGAGTACAGTGGCATGATCTTGGCTCACTGCAAGCTCCGCCTCCCAGGTTCACGCCATTCTCCTGCCTCAGCCTCCCGAGTAGCTGGGACTACAGGCGCCCGCCACCACGCCCGGCTAATTTTTTGTATTTTTAGTAGAGACGAGGTTTCACCGTGTTAGCCAGGATGGTCTCGATCTCCTGACCTCGTGATCTGCCAGCCTCAGCCTCCCAAAGTGCTGGGATTACAGGCGTGAGCCACCGCTCCCGACTTAAGAATAATTTTTTAAAAATAGTTCTTTAATCTAAGCAATCCATACACATAGTTTAGAGACTGAGACGACTGCTACTAAGATATAATGAAACGAGTAGTCCCTTATCCCCCATGCCACCGTTAATTCTCAGGATGTAATTCCTAAGAAGCAATCACGATGTAATTCCTAAGAAGCAATCACGATGAAATCCCCGCACCATTTATTTATTTTTATTATTTATTATTATTTTTAAAGACAGGGTCTTCCCTTTTCACCCAGGATAGAGTGCAGTGGCGCAGTCTCAGCTCACTGCAGCCTCGAACTTCCTGGTCTCAGGTGATCCTCCCACCTCAGCCTTCCAAGTAGCTGGGACTACAGACGCACACTACAATGGCTGGTTAACTTTCTTTTTTTTTTTTTTTTTTAACAGAAAGGGTTTTGCCATGTTGCCCAGGCTGGTTTGGAGCTCCTGGTCTCCAGTGATCTGCCCACCTTGGCCTCCCAAAGTGCTGGGATTGCAGGCATGAGCCAATAGGCCTGCCCCTCTCCCGCATTTTTTTTTTTTTTTTTTGAGATGGGAGTCTCACTGTGCCCAGGCTGGAGTGCAGTGGTGTGATCTCGGCTCACTGCAACCTTCGCTTCCCGGGTTCAAGCAATTCTCCTGCCTCAGCCTCCCAAGTAGCTGGGATTATAGGCGTGTGCCACAATGCCCGGCTAATTTTTGTATTTTTAGTAGAGACAGGGTTTTGCCATGTTGGCCAGGCTGGTCTTGAACTCCTGACCCCAAGTGATCCACCCGCCTCCGCCTCCCAAAATGTTGGGATTACAGGCGTTAGCCACCTCGCCTGGCTCTTTCCCCTACGTTCTTAATTATTCGACTTTAACGTTGCACATTTTGGATCTGATTGTTTCCTATGATGCTTTTTCTGTAAACTGAAACCTAAAAGACCAACGCTGAATTAAATGTGTAAACTTTCAATAAAAGAAATTGCTTTCGGCCGGGCGCCGTGGCTCATGCCTGTAATCCCAGCACTTTGGGAGGCTGAGGTGGGCGGATCACCTAAGGTCGGGAGTTCGAGATCAGCCTGACCAACATGGAGAAACCCCGTCTCTACTGAAAATACAAAATTAGCCAGGCATAGTGGCACATGCCTGTAATCCCAGCTACTAGGGAGGCTGAGGCAGGAGAATCGCTTGAACCTGGGAGGCAGAGGTTGCAGTGAGCCGAGATCGTGCCATTGCACTCCAGCCTGGGTAACAAGAGTGAAACTCCATCTCAAAAAAAAACAAAAACAAAAACAAAAACATTGCTGTCTAAAAGAAAAGAGCAGGCCTAATGTCTTTGGAATACGCCAGCACACTGGGTGCATGTATAAAGGTCTCTGGGTCTGAGTCTTCATTGTATATAGGTGATTTCCTGGATTCCTTTTAACTCTAAAATCTCCTATTGCCCTGACAACAGATCAAATTTTTGACGAATGTGATGTCATGCTCCTTGCTGTCTCATTTACAGCCATTAGCTCTTAAGTATTGTGACACTTTGAGTAATCAAGGGCTGTAGTTTTTATGAGAGTTTGTTCAGCTTTGGTTACTTTTATATAGGATACATTCATAGCTATCCTAATAACAGTTTACCTTCCAACTTTGAAGGCTGCATTTGCTGCTATGACATAGGAGTTGGTATGCAAATGGATGTCTTGACCAGCTGAAATACTAGGGGCCCTTTGTCTCAACACTGTAGGCCAGGAATTTCCAGGCAGCCACTTCCAAAGCTACTGCTTGGTGCCTTGCCAGGTTTGGGGGCTTGGTTTAAATCAAAGTAGCAGATACCAGCCTCGGGTCCCCAGGCTTCGTGAGAAACCTCTAGTGAGCTGCTATTCCAACCTATCTCCACAGGGGTAGCAAGCACAACTCACTGCTAGACTCAAACTATTTTTTCCAATGACAAGATTCCAATTATCTTCAGGCTACTAAAATGTTCCAAAAGCTGGGCGCAGTGGCTTTTGCATATAGTCCCAGCTACTCCAGAGGTTGAGGTAGGAGGATCACTTGAGGCCAGGATTTCAAGATCAGGGCAACACAGTGAGACCCCCATCTTTAAAAAGATAAATATTTCTCTATTTACACAAATACTCTTTGGGTTAGCAGCACAAGGCTAGGTGGGAGCGTATAATCTGGAAGATGATTTCAATACTGTACTGATAAATGGAATCTTCTTGTACATCATGGACCACAGAATTGTGAGAGGAAAATCATCCAGGTTTAAAGCCAGTAAGTTCAAATTAATATTTTAAAACATTGTTTACTACTATACGAAAAACTGCTAGTGAGCAGGGGACTGGAATAGATGCTAATAAAAAGATGATTATGAGACGGTTCCTGACATAGGAGCTTTCTCTTAATGCTATTGGAGTATAGGAGTGTAAATTACGACATTCTTTTGGAGGCAAACTGACATTATTTTACACTTATATCCCCTTTGACATAGTAATTCTGTATCTAAAAATTATCCTATGGAAATGCAAATACATGAAGATAAATAAATGTTCAAAGGCATTCACTGCAGCCTACAAAAAAATCTGGAAGTACTCAAAAATACTAAATAGAAAAACTTGGATATGAAGATATGGTGAGTCTAGTATAAATAAAAATTTAATGATGCTAAATTGATAATTTTCTCTTTCAACTAGTCATATCAGACTCCTTAAAATTTTAGCTAAAGTAAGACTAAGAAATGCTCAGCCCCATGCACAATGTTGGGACTAGGGCATGAATTTATCTTCTCACTGATATTTTTCAGATGATTTTGCATTGCATGTACACTTTTTGCTGTATGTTGTGTGGTGCTTTAATTCTGGTATTGTTCTCACAAACTTTAATAAACAACACAATGGGGCCAGGCGCAGTGGCTCACGGCTGTAATCCCAGCACTTTGGGAGGCTGAGGCAGGTGGATCACCTCAGGTAAGGAGTTTGAGACCAGCCTGACCAACATGGTGAAACCCCATCTCTCCTAAAAACACAAAATTAGCCAGGCGTGGTTGTGCATGCCTGTAATCCCAGCTACTCAGGAGGCCGAGGCAGGAGAATTGCTTGAACCCGGGAGGCAGAGGTTGCAGTGAGCCGAGATCGCGCCATTGCACTCCAGCCTGGGCAACAAGAGCGAAACTCCATTTCAAAAAAAGAAGAAAAAAAATGCCTAAGTTTTTTCCCTTTTATTTAATACTAATTATACATAGAACACTTGCAGTATCAGCAATTAAGTTTGTCCCTTCAAAAGCAAATTCTTACGGCCAGGAAACAATGCTACTAATTTTTTCTTGTACCCATTCAAGCTTGCATTATCTATGTAGGGAGAGCATTGACCTGATTGTCTAGCCCTCTGGGGCTCCTCAATTACCTACAGTGCAACAGCACAACTGAGGCCTGACGCTGGCTTTCTGGTGCTTTTCATGTTGCCAAAATGGGCAGGCCTGACTTCTTGACCATCAATTTAAGTTTGGTTTTAGTTTGGAGAACTATAGGGTTAGGCAAGGGAGTCCTTGCAGTACAGTGGTCCAGGTGCTGTCCCCCAACCATCAACTGGAATCTGTAACAAATGGAAATTCTTGGGCTCTACCCGATACCCAGTAAATCAGAAATTTACTGTTTAAAAAGTTCTCCAGATGTTTTAGGAACTATTGTAATTTACAGTTGACCCTTGACACATACAGATTTTCTTCTGCCTCTGCCACCCCTGAGACAGCATGAGTAACACCTCCTCTTCTCAGCCTACTCAACTGAAAACAAGTATGAAGATCTTTATGATCATCCACTTCCACTGAATGAACAGTATTTTCTCAACACTTTTTTCTCTAGCTTATGGTAAGAATACAGTAATACATAACATAATGTGTTTTGAGTTTGTTATTGGTAAGGCTTCTGGTCAACAGTAGGCTGTTAGCAGTTAAGTTTTGGGGGAATCATTAAGTCATACGCAAAATTTTCAACTGTGCAGGGGGTCAGTCCCCCTAGTCCCTTATTGTTCAAAAGTCAACTGCACTTCTTTTAGAAATTTTTTTAAGAGACAGGGTTTGCTCTGTCACCTGGACTGGAGTGCTGTGGTGTGACCATGGCTCACTGCAGCCCCAACCTCCTGGACTCAAGCGATCCTCCTGCTTCAGTGTCCCAAGTAGCTAGGGGTTAAATCTTGACTTTACCACATAAACCTCTTCACAAGCATTATCTCACTTATTTCTCAGAGAAATCCAGTTTCAGATAAGCAAACAGGTTCTGAGAGTTTAAGTAATTTATCCTAGTACTTTGCTACCATGCACATGGACCCTCATCTACCACCACCTGAGCTTGTAAAAAATGAGGAAATCTTGGGCTCCAACCCAGACCTGCATTTTTTTTTTGCTCTGGTGGCACTAATAGAGCATCAGATTTGCATTTTATCAAGCAAGGTCTCTAGATAATTCCTATGCACACTAGCTAGGGTTTGAGACATTTGGCCCTACTCCATGTTATCCTAAAGGGTACAAATACAGCTGGGATAAAGGATGAGCCTGAGCCAAGTCTGAAAATGGCCATTGAGAAGCAACAGATGGATCAGAGAACCCTTCACGGGCAGCAAATAAATCTTTTCTAAAAGAGCCCTGGAACAGAGCGCCAAAGTTGGAGGAGAGAGGACAGCTCACTCAAGGGCCTTGTAATTGTGCTGAGGAGCCAGAAGGCAATGGACAGATACAGCAGTTTAAACTGGAAGATAGAAATTTACATTTTTGAAGGGAAATGGAGAATCAGTAGGTTTTCAGCAGAGTTTTGTGGTGCAGCCACAGAAATTCTTCAAATTTACTAATAAAAACTAGGCATATAAAATTCACCCGAGTTTCCGATTTCAAACTAAGTTCACAAGGCTCTTCATTAGAAGTGTTTCAATAGTACCAAGTAGAACAAGAACCTACCTTTTGGTTAGTTTTTTAAATAGTTAAACCTTCAGCCCTTATGAGAGGTGGTTGCTGTATGATTTAACTATGCTTTCTCTGGGCCTGCAGAAGACTATTCAAATAACTGGAAGTTTATTATTTAGGTTTCTCAAAAACCTACCTTGTTTTGCATGTAAACCTTTTGACTATGCAGCTGGGTAGGTGGTTAGGCCTTTTTCATCAAAAGTCGGTCATAAACTAAGTCTGTTTTGTCCTAAATTAGGAATGTATCTGCGGTACCAGTGGGTGATGCGAAAATGACAGTGTTCTCCTGGGAACAAGATAACCAGCTTTATTATGTAATTTTATCTAGGGATGGCTGCATGTATTTTATCAACATTTACTTCAAGCAAATTAAATTTGAAGCCTAGTAACATCTCTGAAAGTTTATGTCATTTCATTTTCTACAAACCAGTTGGGAGAGGTAAAATTGACCATTATCTGTGATTTACAAATGAGGAAACCAAAGAGGGGCTGTTGACTTGAAAAGCAGAGGTGGAACTCAAAAGCCATAGTCATTCTAGTTTCCATCCACCAACAGCTTTTACTGAATTGGGCTTTAGTATGATGTCTATGACATACACAAACTGGCACTTTTTTTTTTCTTATTTTTTCCCTATTCTCCATTCTTTATGATCACTTTGTACAACCTTTAAAAAAGTCACTTCAGGCTGACTACTTTAAAAACAAATCAGGGTTTTAAGAATTATTTTGGTATGCCTTTTAGAATTGCAAACAGTAAAGGGAGGGATACTGTCTCCCACCCTTTTGAACTAAAAAGTTTTGCTCACCTAATTTAAAAATTTGAATAAGAAACAAATATTTATTTAAATAAAGAGGTAGAAAGATTATAGGTGGAAAATAAAAAGTAGTCCAAAAAGGCAAAAGAAACACATTAGAGTGGGGTCTTGAATTGGTCCACTTAATCACTGACTTCCAAAAGATTAAATTTCAAAACAACTCTCACTTTTCAGTTATAATTATCAAAACAATAATCATCACATGGCAAACTACAGAAAGAGCCAAAGATTCTCTACCTAAGATATAAAGAGATCACAAAATTGTCTTAAAATACAAAGAAAATTTTATTTGTATATCAAAGACTCTAAGAAATGATGACATAAGGTTAACAGAGTTGATGTCAAGACAAATAGGTTTGAAGTTATAGATGATAAATCACTTTGTCTTACTGAACCTTCCCTTGATTACGTTAGAGAGCATCCCTGGTATGCTCCCAGTTGAATCTTAAGCATGATGTGTGTCCGGGTGATATAATCGTAATTCCTTTCTGTTAATCCTCGTTCTCTCTCTTTTTTTTCTTTTTCTTCTTTTTCTCTGGACTCTGAAAATAGCCAACAAGAATGCTTTGAAAGAGCTGAAATTGTATGGGTGAGTAATCACATTGAAAATATAAAAACCCCACCTATAAAAAAAGTAAGCTTGAGCAAATCATACTCCTCCCCTCAATGCAAACTTGATTTTTAGTAATAAATTCTAGATTTGGGAAATGGCCTTTTATAATATAAATACAACAAAGCCATTTCACTTTTACCTCTCCATCAATGAAAACCATTTTTTAAAATGCCTGCTCATTTCTGATATAGAAAATAGATTGAAATATAGAGAACTGGCCCCTCCAAGTGAAAACCGATAATTAAAAACAAACATACAGCAATTGCTGTGCTGGTACATGGTTCTTCCTCAGAAAGTGGTTCTTCCTTAATGTGTTTCTTTTTACCCCTTTTCTTCTTCTTCTTCACAGATGTTTCTTCTTCTTCTGCCACTTTTTCTTCTTCCTCTTCTTCAACTGAATAGGGTAAGTGTAAAGGCACAACAAATTAACACTGTATCAGATCTCATTCCTTCCAAAAACGTTTGAGTCCTAGTTTTTTTCTGTCATTCTCATCAACTACCCAATGTTTGTTTTGTTTATTTTATAATTGGGAAGGTTCTCCAAGGCCTACCACTAACTTTAACGAATGATATAGATAGAGCTCAGAGCAATCTTCTCACGATCATGAAGTCATGTATAAAAATCAGGATTAAAACAAAGGTCATCTGATCTCCAATCATTATTGGGAAGAAAGTCAATTATATTAGAAATGGTTAAGAGCTTGCACTCTGAAGTCAGACGGCCTGGGTTTAATCTACCTGCTGCAACCCTGAAAAATTGTATTTACCCTTGGTGAAGCTCCCTATCTATAAAACTTAAGAATGTCTTATCTTACTGGACTGTTACTGATTTAAAAAGATGATGCATAGAAAGCACTAAGTATAATGCTTAGCACACATTACAATAAGGACTCAACACATAGCTATCATTAGACATTCAGTGACCAGCTGGGTGCAGTGGCTCACGCCTGTAATCTCAGCACTTTGGGAGGCTGAGGCGGGAGGATCACTTGAGGTCAGGATATCAAGACCAGCCTGGCCAACATGGTGAAATCCTGTATCTAATAAAAATACAAAAAAGTTAGCTAGGCATGGTGGTGCATGCCTGTAATCCCAGTTATTCAGGAGGCTGAAGCACGAGAATTGCTTGAACCCAGGAGGCGGAGGCTGCAGTCAGCCAAGATCACGCCACTGCACTTCAGCCTGGGCGACAGAGGGAGACTCTGTCTCAAAAAAAAAAAAAAAAAAAAAAGAAAAAAAAAAGAAAAAGAAAAGAGAGAGAAATTCAGCAATTCAGCAACCAAATAATATTCATGTCAGACTCTGTACTAAACAATTCGAGCAAGGCACAAGAGGCAAAAATATTCGTTTCCCTATGAATCTTTTTTATTTTAGTGGCAGAGTGGAGACATAAATGATACATTACATAATAGATATTAAAGTGGTAAGAATAAAAATAAAGCAGGAAGGGGAATGTTGGAAAAGGGCAGTATATATGGCCATTTTAGGCAGAATGGTCGGCAAACACCTAGAAGAGGTGAGGGAGTGAATGAATGATACATGTATCTTGAGGGAAAATAGTCCAGGTAGAGTAGAGCAGATGCTTAAGTCGTAAGGCGTTTTGGAGGGCAGATGGGATAAGTGGATGGATAGTAGGTTCAGGAAATAGCAAGCAGGCCAGTATGGCTGGAACAAATTTAGATTTAAAAAGCTAGTGGTGGTTCCACTGTGGCTACTACATACTTTCAAGTGGAACTGAGAGGATTTGCTGTCAGACTAGATTGAGTTATGAGAAAAAAGTCAAGGTTGATGGCCAAAGCAACTGGAATTGTCACATATAGAAAATGGGAGAGGACTGGGCGTGGTGGCTCATGCCTGTAATCCCAGCAGTTTGGGAGGCCGGAGTGGGTGGATCACAAGGTCAGGAGTTTGAGACCAGGCTGGCCAACATGGTGAAACCCTGTCTCTACTAAAAATAAAAAAATTAGCTGGGCGTGGTGGTGCGTGCCTGTAATCACAGCTACTCAAGAGGCTGAGGCAGGAAAATTGCTTGAACCTGGGAGGTGGAGGTTGCAGTGAGCCAAGATCATGCCACTGCACTCCAGCATGGGTGACAGAGCAAGATTCTGTCTTGGGGGTAAAAAAAGAGGGGGGAAATTGTGGGATGAAAAATTGACAAATAAATTGGAAAAGCTTATTGGATACACAATTGAGGATACAAAGGACAGAGTTTGGTGCCTCAAATGCTACTAGTGGGTTTAGGGATCTCCTTACTTTTCAATAAAAAGAAGCATAAAAGTTAAATAAATTGTTTGTTTTCTCTATCAAGTATACTATCCACATTTGTAGATCATATACTTTTGACCACTAAGCTACTTAGAAACCAAGTTAAAGCAATCATTGTGTTAATGCTTTACTCTTCTGCTAGACTTGCTAGTAGGTGTTCAATAAACCCAGGTGTAACTAATAATGGGGCGCCTGCTTATCAACTTCACAAGACAGCCTAGTTAACTGGTGAGCACCTGTTAGATATTGTAACTATGACGGCAGGCTACCAGTATGTATTCCTTCCAGTCCGCTCCGTGTAAGAGAAACAATGAAGAAAATCACTGTTCCATCAATTCTGTATTCATTCTTAACTATAAAACAAAAAATTTTCAACAACCAATTTAGAAAACACGTTCCTTTTTTCTCTTAATTCTCCAAATAGTTCATGTAGGAGAAATGAAGTTTTGGAACTCTTAGTAAAATACCTAATTTGACTAAACTTCTCACATTTCCTCTGTGCAGTCTGATAAATTTAACAATATCATATTCCCAGAGAACATAATGGCATTATTAAAACACCATTAGCGTTCAATGAGCAGTTTTATAATAAAGTGGGATGGCATGTACTTTTAAGACTCACAAAATCCACAGTTCTAAAGAAGTGAGTATAAGTTGTGTTAAAAAAAAAATTCAAACTAACCTTTAACTTTAATCTTGGCTTTTTTGGCTTTCTTTTCAGTAATTTCATCCTCTTTATCTACCTGTTCTATTTTGCGTTTTTTAGAACAGGTTGGAAGTGTGGAGTCACCAGAAGGATCGTAAGTCTTCACTTCACTGAAAGACCCAAAAAGTTTTAGAAAATCTCTAACAAGTATCTGGAATTGAAATAATTCTCAAGAGATAAAGAAAATGCCATTAGATAATACTTACATAAGCACACAATGTTGTTTCATTTTAGTGGCTTTGGGGTAGTTTATGAAGACTAATAGTTTCCAAAAGTTAAAGGTATTAATATTTTTCAAGTAGGTCAATCACATTCAAGAGATGTGGTGAGCTAAATGAATTCTGATTTAGTAATCAATGTAGTTACTATGGTACAGGAAAACACTCAATCAGCATGGGGGAAATGAAAGGAGAAAACGTCTTCACACCTAACTAGAAAGTGAAAACTGAACCATCCAACTTTCAGAACACTGCTCAATGGGGGAAAAAAAAAAAAAAAAAAGCAGAACAAAAAATCTAAACCAAGCTTAGTATAGAAGTCTTCATCACAAGATCACAAGAACAAGAAAGGATACAAATACATGCACATGGAAAAGATTCCATAGAACCCAACATTTGCTTTTGTTCTAATGTAAGCAGAAAGAAAATACTGAAATGAGTGCCTAAAATGTGAATGGATGCTTTAAGTGCATATGTTTAAAGTAAAAAGTACTAATTGCACAGGAACATTAAAAAAATTGGTTCAAAACAAGCTAAAAAATGTTCTGTTTTTTAAGCAGACCTGTAAGCTGAATGACTATTTAATTTTTTTAGGTTAAAGACATTTATAATTTAAGAAACAAAGAACCATGTTTGTCAACTAGAGATAATAAGTTATAGACTATAAATATTGCAGAATGTATGGCTATTGTAGAAAGCTTGGAAAATTCACAAAAAAGAAAATGTGAATGCCCACAGAAACACATTTGATTTCTTTCCAGAAAACACTAAATTATACTTAAATATGTATTTATAATTGGTAATGTTCTATATATTAATTACTCTCCTCATCCACTTATAAGATTTTACTATTAAAATTCTTGAAGGAGGCCGGGTGCTGTGGCTCACGCCTGTAATCCCAGCACTTTGGGAGGCCAAGGCGGGCGGATCACGAGGTCAGGAGATCAAGACCATCCTGGCCAACATGATGAAACCCCGACTCTACTAAAAATACAAAAATTAGCTGGATGTGGTGGTGTATGCCTGTAATCCTAGCTACTCGGGAGGCTGAGGCAGGAGCATAACTTGAACCGGGGAGTCAGAGGTTGCAGTGAGCCGCAATCGTGCCACTGCACTCCAGCCTGGCAACAGAGACAGACTGTCTCAAAAAAAAAAAAAAAAAAAAAAAAAAAATCTTGAAGGATTATGACTCCTGAAAGTATAATTTATTGGGTTAATGACTAGGAACATTTTGAAGAATCTTGATACATACTGTGAAATGGCTTCCTAGAACAGCTGTGCCACATTCTACCTGCATCATCACAACCTCACCAGCATTGAGCATTGCCTCAAATAATAACCCAAATACCCCTCCACATACAAATCTTTTGTTAATCTGATAGTTAAGTTTGAATGCTTTGTCATGCCTCAGCCATCTTTAGACTTGTTTTCTGTCTTTATACTTTTTACAAAATAGGTTTCTGTAGGGATTAACTCTGAATGAACTTTTTTTGAGACGGAGTTTTGCTCTTGTTGCCCAGGCTGGAGTGCAGGGGCGCGATCTCAGCTCACTGCACCCTCCGCCTCCCGGGTTTCAAGCAATTCTCCTGCCTCAGCCAGGTGCCCGCCACCACACCCAGTTAATTTTTTGTATTTTTAGTAGAGATGGGGTTTCACCATGTTGGCCAGGCCTGTGTTGAACTCCTGACCTCAGGTGATCTGCCTGCCTCAGCCTCCCAAAGTGCTGGGATTACAGGCATGAGCCACTGTGCCCGGCTGAGTGAACTTTTTGATAAAGAACATATTATAGAGGAACTTTAGATTAAAAAAATTTACTATCAATATCTGGAAATGAATAAATTAAATATGTATATGAATGAAAACTAGTAGAAGTTAATGCGGAAAACTAAATGGCATGGAAAAAAATTAGGGGTGCACAACATGGTTAACTACAGCTAACAATGTATTATATTCTTGAAAATTGCTAAGTAGATTTTAAGGTGTCCTCACCACAAAAAAAGTACATAAGACAATGCATGTTAATGAGCTTGACTTAATCATTCCTCAATGTGCACATTTTCCAAAACAACATACACACAATAAACATACACAATTTTGGTCAAATAAATAAATTTGAAAAAACTATGGGCACATCAAGGTGAAGTTTACAATAAAAAATTACTGTCAATAATTAACATTTAAAAAAACTATTCACCCCATCCTCACTTAAATGTACTCACCTTTTGTGTTCATATTTTTCTGTTTTTGCTAATGCTTTTCCTGTTCCACTTATTTTTCTTATCTAAGAAGAAAACGAAAAATTACAAATACACTTCTAAGTCATAATCTCTTTATAATACACTATACAGTCTAGTGAATCAGTGGGCCAGCAAACAGCAATTTCTGCTATTTTTTGTTTTGTTATTTTGAATAGCATATCCTAATGGCAAATGCAGTTGGATACATCAATTCTTGGTAAATAATAGCAATTGTTAACAGTAGGCACAAAAAGAATACTTTAGACATACTAATAAGTATCATAAAACTGTTTAGCAGATGAAGTTAATAAATTTACTCAGTTTATTAACTTTTGACAAGTAATACTTCTGGAATAGGCATGATGTAGTTCTTACCCCTCTGTCTTCCAAAGTTCTCAACCTGGCCTCTAATTTGGCTCTGTTCTCAACTCCCATTGCAGAACTTGAATCCTCACCAAAAGCATCATAACGGATAGCCAAAACGGTTTTGGCTGCCAGCATTCGAGAAATCTAATAGAAAAACATGAAGAACTATATTCCATGTTCAGATGTAAAATCCTCAATAACTTGGATGTTTTAAAATCAGGAGTTATAAAACTATTATGAATCATACAATTCAAATCATCCATCGTATTTCAACCTTTGCCACAATCTAATGGCCATATATCACCACCAACACTTCTGTGGCTGAAAAGATTTTACAGCAATTCATGTCAAATATTAGCTCAAACTAGGTTTTTTTAAAAAATATTTTTAAACTTTAGTTTCTACTCAGTGACATTAGTTCTGTGCTATGAGGTCACTGAAAAGAAGTGCATCTTTTTCCTCGTAACAATCTTAAATATGTGCGGGTTCTGGCCGAGCGCGGTGGCTCACGCCTGTAATCCCAGCACTTTGGGAGGCCGAGGCGAGTGGATCACGAGGTCAGGAGATCGAGACCATCCTGGCTAACACGGTGAAACCCTGTCTCTACTAAAAATACAAAAAATTAGCCAGGTGTGGTGCCGGGCGCCTGTAGTCCCAGCTACACTGGAGGCTGAGGCAGGAGAATGGCGTGAACCTGGGAGGCAGAGCTTGCAGTGAGCCGGGATGGCACCACTGCACTCCAGTCTGGGCGACAGAGTGAGACTCCATCTCAAAAAACAAACAAACAAACAAACAAACAAACAAAAAAAAGCGTGGGTTCTTTTTCAATCTAATTAACATTTTATTTTATTGAACGCTTTATTTTCCTCCACCACTCTGCTCTAAATTTTATCAATTTTCAGTTTAGATCTGTTAAACGACACATCTTTCAAAAACATTGAAAGTACTTAACTTGTCTAAGCCTCAGTTTCATCATCTGCAAGATAGAGATACCTACATCTCATAAGGCTACTGAAGATTTAGGACAGGCACAGGTGCTCACACCTGTAATCCCAGCACTCTGGGAAGCCGAGGTGGGTGGATCAGGAGGTCAGGAGTTTGAGACCAGCCTGGCCAACATGGTGAAACTGGTCTTTACTTAAAATACAAAAATTAGCCGGGCGTGGTGGCACGTGCATGTAATCCCAGCTACTCAGAAGGCTGAGGCAGGGAGGCAGGAGAATCGTTTGAACCAGGGAGCTGGAGGTTGCAGTGAGCCGAGATCAAGCCACTGCACTCTAGCCTGGCGACAGAGCGGGACTCCATCTCAAAAAAAAAAAGTTTAGTGACTTCTCTCAAAGTGTTTTAGCATAATGCATATGCTATTTTTTATGATTCGTAAATGTTAGATTTTTTTTTTGCTGCCAGAGATAGTATTTTCAGTGTGCCAACCACAGGGAGATTCTAGGGGGGAAAAAAATACTAACACAATGGAAGAAACTGGCTTTAATCCAACCAATAACAGTTTCTTCTAACCTTATCCTTCAGTGTACACAAAGCACTTTTTATTTAAATAACTCACCATTCCCTATTTAACAAGAAAGAGACAATAGAAGATTTAATGTGTACTACAGAGTAGAAGAAAAATGGGTTGTAAAAAATGAAAAAGTCTAACCTCAAAAACAAAGCAAAACCCTATAACACACCTTTCCTTTGTGTTTGGGACTTGTCTGGCCCACGAGTGAAGCATGATAAATGAGACCATACTTAGGGGTATCCCGTCTAGATTTGAGGGCTCTGAAAAGTGCCTTTTCAGCTCCAAGAATCTGAACGGTAGAAGCTGCATGCTTGGCCAAATTTAAAAGAGAACCTACAAAAGAAAAAAGTTACAAAGAATGCACCTCCAAATATATGAATGTTCCACGTACTGAAACAAAAGACCTATAGAATTATTACAGCCACCATAATAAATAAAAATCACATATAATATAGAATTCTATAATCCAGAATTCCCTAAAAATCTTGATGTTTCATTTGTAATTCCTTCATTAGCACAAGCAGGTTTGCAATGAATGCCTAGGACAAACTGAAGGCTAAGCTTATTAAGTTCAATGTTTCTATTCACCTGAGAGATGGCAGTACTATTCTAAATTCCATTAGTATACTACAGGAGTGACATAAATGTCACACACACGAACACTAATCTGGTCCCTGCTTTCTGAGATTGTATCAAATATTCTATTGCTTTAGATATGAAAAAGCCTACAAATAAACACATTTATTAGGAAGAGATATTCCTACAAGTATCTATTAATAGTCCCCTACCTGTGCTTTCACTTTGTGTGGTAAATTACCTGTGGTTAACTGCAGTCTGAAAATATTAAAAAGGAAATTCCAGAAATAAATAGTTCCTAAGTTTTAAATCTCTTGCTATCCCACTCAGCTCCCCCCAGGACATGAATCATCTCTATCTACCCATTAGTCACTTTCGTAGCCCTCTCCGTTGTGCAGTACTGCAGTGCTTATATTCAAGTAACCAATGCACAAAAATAGTTATGCTTGCATTTTTTTTTTTTTTTGAGATAGAGTTTCGCTCTGTTGCGCAGGCTGGAGTGCAGTGGCGCGATCTTGGCTCACTGCATCCTCCGCCTCCCGGGTTTAAGCAATTCTCTGCCTCAGCCTCCGAGTAGCTGGGATTACAGGCACCCACCACTACACCCAGCTAATTTTTTTTTGTATTTTTAGTAGAGATGGGGTTTCACCATCTTGGCCAGGCTGATCTTGAACTCCTGACCTCGTGATCCACCCTCCTCAGCTTCCCAAAGTGCTGGGATTACAGGCGTAAGCCACCACACCCGGCCCTGCTGGCATAGTGTTATAACTGTTATATTATGACTGTTGTTGATATCCTACTGTACCTAATTTATAAGCTAAGCTTTATTATAGATATGTATGTTTAGGAAAAAACAGCATATACAGTATAGGATTCAGTACTATCCTCTGTTTCAAACATTCTTGGAGGGGGGAGCTTAGAATACATCTCCATAAATAGCTGGGGACTATTGTTATCAACATGCTGCTTAGTTGGATATGCTGTATAGAATATTTCCTGTCAGAAAACAGACTCTATTAATACTATGAACTTAAGCACTAGACATAGTTTTAAAAGTGTAACAAATACATAGTTCTTTTTTTTTTTTTTTTTTTGAGATGGAGTTTCACTCTTGTCACCCAGGCAAGCAATGTCACCACTGCTGTGTGCAATGTCACAATCTTGGCTCACTGCAACCTCCACCTCCCGGGTTCAAGCAATTCTCCTGCCTCAGCATCCCGAGTAGCTGGGATTACAGGCTCATGCCACCAAGGTTGGGTAATTTTTGTGTTGTTAATAGAGATGGGGTTTTATTTACCATGTTGGCCAGGCTGGTCTCGAACTCCTGACCTCAGGTGACCCACCCACCTCAGCTTCTCAAAGTGCTGGGATTACAGGCGTGAGCCACCACGCCTGGCCAACAAATACATACTTCTATTAACCCCTGCCATTGCTTACTGCTACAAGTTTAGCTATACCTATGAAAATGGGTAGAGACAATGAAATCATCTGATCTTATAGCTGAGGGCATTTGAATGAAACCTTTGATTAATGATGCAGCTAAAGGAGTTACGCCAGGCCGGGCGCAGTGGCTCACGCCTGTAATCCCAACACTTTGGGAGGCTGAGGTGCGCAGATCACCTGAGGTCAGGAGTTTGAGACCAGCCTGGCCAACATGGCAAAAACCCTGTCTCAACTAAAAATATAAAAATTAGCCAGGCATGGTGGCAGCACATGCCTGTAATCCCAGCAACTTGGGAGCCTGAGGCAGGAGAATTGCTTGAACCTGGGAGGCAGAGGTTGCAGTGAGCCACTGCACTCCAGCCAGTGCAACAGAGTGAAACTCTGTCTCAAACAAAAAAAAAGGAGTTATGCCATTTTAAACACTCTGATGCAGATGATATAATCTTTTTTGATGAATTATAACAATGTCTCCAAGTAACATAAAAATGATGAATCAGTACTTCATTGTATTTGTAGGTATTCAATTACATAGCATTTTAATTATAGCATATCATCCTTATAATACTGCCATACACATATACAAAGTTTTATTATAAATCAGTTGTTGAAAATATTTTTGAAAGTCAAATATATTACATCCTCACACTCAATAGTGAAACTAAGGTAATCAATCAAGGGCACAAATCCTCTACAGTGATTTCTTTTTTTTTTCTTTCTCTACAGTGATTTCTTAAAACTGTATTCAAATCTAGGTCTAGTGAGTTTTTATTATGAAAATGTTAACTGTTTTATCCTCCTGCATTCATCCGATTGTTCTAATTAACCCTAACAAACTTCTAACAATGGACCACAAGTGTCTCAGAAGAGGTAGTGACTAAAGATGCCTTCATTATCCAAAAGGAAATCAGGCAAACAAATAGAAATCATCATTGAACACTTGGCCCTTAGTGATCTCCCACATATCATCTACTTTTGTGTTATCAGCTAAAATTTCTTTAACAGCTGTAGTTTAAAGATGTAAACAAAATCCTAACCAGAAAATACTTCAAACACTCATATTTACAAATTACATTAAAACCATCACCTGCATGAGCAATAAGCCGTGCTCCAACTAATTCCCCAACCATGACTGTAACATTGGGTGCAATGGCCATCATTCGATTTTGTAGATATTCATAGAGCTGGGTTCGATATTCAGAGATTTCAATCACCTAGTATAAGGAATAAAGTTAAGTCACAAATATCATATGAGTAAAAACAGTAAAAATTCCTGTCTAAAACACTGGAGCCCTCAATTATGAAAGAGCAGCTACACAACCCTGGGTACTGGGTACATCACCTATGCCTAACATCAGTTTTCTTTTTTTTTTTTCCCAGGCTGGAGCGCAGTGGCGCAATCTCAGCTCACAGCAATCTCCGCCTCCCGGGCTCAAGTGATTCTCCTGCCTCAGCCTCTGGAGTAGCTGGGACTACAGGGGCCCGCCACCACGCCCAGCTAATTTTTTGTATTTTTAGTAGAGACAGGGTTTCACCATGTTGGCCAGTATGGTCTCTATCTCTTGACCTCATGATCCTAACATCAGTTTTCTATAAGATGGCTGTAATGAGGACTTCGTTATATAATGTATGTAAACTACTTGGTCCACTGCCTGAAAATCTTAGTCAGCGTAACTGTATTTTTAAAAGATTCTAAGCAGCCCAGGCACAGTGACTCACACCTGTAATTCCAGCACTTTGGGAGGTCGAGGCAGGTGGATCATGAGGTCAGGAGTTCAAGACCATCCTGGCCAACATGGTGAAACCCCGTCTCTATGAAAAATACAAAAATTAGCTGGGCATGGTGGCACGTGCTTGTAATCCCAGCTACTCGGGAGGCTGAGGCAGGAGAACCGCTTGAACTGGGACCTGGGAGGCAGAGGTAGCAGTGAGCCTGAGAACGTGCCACTGCACTCCAGCCTGGGCTACAGGGTGAGACTCTGTCTCAAAAAAAAAAAAAAAAAAAAAAAAAAAAAAAAAAAAGATTCTGAGCAATAAACATTTGTATCATGCTCTTTTTAATTCCTATATGGCTACCTTCAAATCTGAAAGAAAAAAAAATCACAAGATATAGACATAAGACTCAGAATTAAAAGGCTCAATCCATAATTGTCTGCCATCCTTTTTTTTTTTTTTTTTTTTTTTGAGATGGAGTTTTGCTCTTGTTGCCCAGGCTGGATGCAATGGTGCCATCTCGGCTCACTGCAACCTCCCCCTCCCTGGTTCAAGCGATTCTCCTGTCTCAGCCTCCCGAGTAGCTGGGATTACAGGTGTACGCCACCACGCGCAGCTAATTTTTGCATTTTTAGTAGAGATGGGGGTTTCATCATATTGGTCAGGCTGGTCTCGAACTCCTGACCTCAGGTCAATCCCTGACTCGGCCTTCCAAAGTGCGGGGATTACAGGCGTGAGCCAACGCGCCTGGCCTTCTCTGCCATCTTAATTGATTTTTGGTTAATTCATTATTCAGACGATGATTGTAAATTACTTCCTTTTAATATGTATTTCCCCCTTTTAAGTATACAAATCATGATGGCATCAGATGAGGTAGTGACTGAACACCCTCATATTTATGTTATCAGGTGAACAACAATAAGTGTAAAAATCATCATTGCCATCAGAAAAATTAGTACTATAGAGCTGGTAACACCACAACTAGATTCTCCAGGAGTAAAATTTACCTGGGTGCAAAGATGCAGAATATTGCAAATATCTTCTTCTGAAACCTCTGTTCCCATTGATATCTCTGCAGCTGCTTTCACTTCTGCTTCAACTTCTTCTGGCAGCAACTCAGAAAGCTTGGCAGAGGCATAGTTCTTCCTATCGCCTATGGAATGTTTGCAGAGGATGAGGGAGAATCACTCTTCAACAAATTATATAAAATCCAGCAAATAGTCAAAAGAAAAAGTAGAAAGCCAATGAAAAGGATGCCTAAACAAAACAAAAAAAATGAAGAAGTTTGACCTAGTATAACAGTTTTCCTCATTTAAGGGTTTAAGTTTAGACATTAAATGTCTCCCCACCACCTTCTTCCAAAAAATAATCAGAGTAAAAAGAGGACAAAATATGCCACAACACTTATTACAGAATATAAGTGGCAAAAATTTAAAAAAGACAGGACTAATAATAATGTCACAGACAATTTTATACTGAAGCTGGGGCCAGTAATTCGTAAGGCAAGTAAACCATCAATCAATCAAGTTCCTCTGTACGTTAACGACAATCAACAATCAAGTTCCTCTGTATATTAACAGTACAGACGGCAATACTGCTATTTAGCATTAGGTACTAATATCATGTTATAGGCCATCAAAATCTAAGTTAAAATTCATTTTGTTTCTTAAATTTAAGACACTAAACTGCTACACTTCCCAAATACACAGAAATTGCAAAAACCCTGGGAATCTTGCTTAACAAAATGCTATACGTCATGTTTTAGGATGCAATCAAATTCATTTACTTTCAATGCCTTAAAGGATGAACAAATTACTCACCAACTTTCTGTAAACACTTGCAGTATGTTAAATTATCTGAAATAATTTTTCCTAATTCAGGGAAATGCCAGCCATACCATTCTCTACATCGCATAATGTAGTTGTTTAGTTCTTTATCCAAGTCATCTAACAAGGCTGTAGTAGATTAAAAACAAACAAACAAAACTTAAAGGGATTTATTGTGGTAAAACATACACAACATAAAATTTAACACTTCAGGCTGGGCACGGTGGCTCATGTCTGTAATCCCAGCAGACAGGCATATCACGAAGTCAGAAGTTCAAGACCAGCCTGGCCAACATGGTGAAACCCCATCTCTATTAAAAATACAAAAATTAGCCAGGCATGGTGGTGCACACCTGTAGTCCCAGCTACTCTGGAGGGCTGAGGCAGAAGAATCACTTGAACACAGGAGGTGGAGGTTGTAGTGAGCCGAGATCGTGCTACTGCATTCCAGCCTGGGTGACAGAGCAAGATTCCGTCGCAAAAAATTTAAAAAAAAAAGAATAAAAAATAACACTTCAACCATTTTCAAGTGTACTATTCAGTAGCATTAAGTATTCTTATGATGTTATGCAACCATTACCAGGATCTATTGCCAGAGCAATTTTATCATCAGAAACTGAAAAATTCTGTACCCATTAAACAGTAACTCATTCCCACCTTCCCCCCAACCTCTAGTTATCTTTATACTTCTGTCTCTGAGTTCACCTATTTTAGGTACTTCATATAAGCAGAATCATGCAGTATTTTGTGACTATTTCACTTAGCATATTTTCAAGGTTTATCATGTTGAAATATGTATCAGAATTTCATTTCTTTTTAAGGCTGACTAACATTCCACTGTGTGAAGTGGCTGGGTGTACGTTACCCAAAATGCTTGGGACCAGAAGTATTTCAGAGTATTTGCAAACACGTATGAGGCTGAGGATGGAACTCGAAGTCTAAATAGGAAATGCATCTACATTTCACATATACCTTATATACAAAACCTTGAAGGTAATTTTACACAATATTTTAAATAATTTTGTGCATAAAACAAAGTTTTGACGTGTGGTCAGGTGTGGAGTTTTCCACTTGTGGATTTGTGTGGTACCACAAAAAGTTTTAGATTTCAGAGCATTTTGAATTTCAGATTAGGGACATTCAAGCTGCATCCACAATGCAGTTTATCCATTCATCTGTTAAAAGGTATCTGGGTTGTTTCCACTGTTTGGTTTTGTAAATAACACTGTTATGAACATAGGTGTACAAGCAACTCAGTTCTGTTTTTAATTCTTTTGGGTATAAATCTAGGAAAGGAATCGCTGGTTGAGCGCTTTTTTTTTTCTTTTTTTGGAGACAGAGTCTAACTCCATCACCCAGGATGGAGTGCAGTGGTGCGATCTCAGCTCACTGCAACCTCTGCTTCCTGGGTTCAAGTGATTCTCCTTCCTCAGCCTCCTAAGTGGCTGGGACTATAGGCACACGCCACCTCGACTGGCTACTTTTTTGTATTTTTAGTAAAGACAGGGTTTCGCCATGTTAGCCAGGCTGCTCTCAAACTCCCGAGCTCAGGCAATTCACCCGCCTTGGCCTCCCAATGTGCTAGGATTACAGGTGTGAGCCACTGCGCCCAGCCGAATACTTTGTTTTTTTTTTTGAGACGGAGTGTTGCTCATGTTGTCCAAGCTAGAGTGAAATGGTGCGATCTCGGCCCACTGCAACCTCCGCCTCTCAGGTTCAAGTGATTCTCCTGCCTCAGCCTCCTGAATAGCTGAGATTACAGGCGCCTACCATCATGCTCAGATAATTTTTTTATTTTTTACTAAAGATCGGGTTTCACCATGTTGGCCTGATCTCGAACTCCTGACCTCAGGTGATCCACCAGCCTCTGCCTCCCAAAGTGTTGGGATTACAGGCGTGAGCCACGGCCGAATGCATTTCTAAAATAGAAAAACGATTAAGATTTTGATTTTTTTTTTTTTTTTTTAGTGAGATGGAGATTTGCTCTTGTTGCCCAGGCTGGAGTGCAATGGCACGATCAACTCACTACAACCTCTGCCTCCAGGGTTCAAGTGATTCTCCTGCCTCAGCCTCCCGAGTAGCTGAGATTACAGGCATGCACCACCATGCCTGGTTAATTTTGTATTTTTAGTAGAGACGGGATTTCTCCATGTTGGTCAGGCTGGTCTCAAATTCCCGACCTCAGGTGATCCTCCCGCCTCAGCCTCTCAAAGTGCTGGGATTACAGGCATGAGCCACTGTGCCTGGCAGCTTTTGAGCTTTCTAAAAACCATTTAATGACACAGCAGAATACACAACTACAAAGATTGCACTTATGTTTTTAACATTTTCATGGAAAAATACAAATGAATTAATTAACGTAATGTTAATTCTGTGATTCATATAATCTCCAAATAGTCAACCTCCGCCTCCTGGGTTCAAGCAATTATCCTGCCTCAGCCTCCTGAGTAGCTGGGATTATAGGTACACGCCACCATGCACATTTAATTTTTTTTGTATTTTTAGTAAAGACAGAGTTTTGTCATGTTGGCCAAGCTGGTCTTGAACTCCTGACCTCAGGTGATCCGCCTGCCTCAGCCTCCCAAGTGCTGGGATTAAAGGCTTGAGCCACCACACCTGGCCTCCTTTCTCTTTCTCAACAGACAGAATCATAAAAGATAGTTTCAACAGTATGAAAACGCATGAAGGACAGAGCAACAAATCGGACTTTGCATGTACTATACTTACAAATTGCCTGAACAATCATTGTGTCTACTTTATCAGCGCTAAACTTCAATCTATATCGAGACAGGCTGGGAAGAAAGGGGAAAATAAATTAGCAAGATAGCATCTAGGAAAAGCATTTAAATTAACACCTTAAAGTTTTTTTTTGTTTTTGTTTTTACTCAAATCAGCCTGTAGTCAGAGCTGTAATTGGTTTTTCTAAGAAGAAAAATCAGCTAAGTAGAAATGCACCATACGAGAACAGAAAATACACATTAAAAAAAAAAACTATATGTGCTGCTACGACCTTTATTTCTGTAACATGAATGAGTTTATGTATGAATGACAAATAGGATAAGCTGTGTAATACAAAAGTCATATTGGACTGGGCGTGGTGGCTCACGCTTGTAATCCTAGCACTTTGGGAGGCCGAGGTGGGCAGATCACCTGTTAGGAGTTCGAGACCAACCTGGCCAACATGGCGAAACCCTGTCTCTACTAAAAATATAAAAATTAGCCAGGCATGGTGGGGCACGCCTGAATCTCAGCTACTCTGGAGGCTGAGGCAGGAGAATCGCTTGAACCGGGGAGGCAGAGGTTGCAGTGAGCCGAGATCACGTGCCACTGTACTCCAGCCTGGGCAACAAAGCAAGACTCCGCCTCAAAAAAAAAAAAAAAAAAAAAGCCATATTGGTTCATGCAATTTTTAATAGCACATATTAAGCTTTATACTACCAGTTAGGAACTTTGCAGGACTCTTAACATCTGAAAACAGAAAGCTGTGGAGTAACAATATTGTCTGTATAAAAATGTTTTTTCATCTCAGCACAATTAATATTTTGGGCCTAATTCCTTGTTGTACAGGCTGCCCTGTGCATTATAGGACCTTTAGCAGTATCCCTAACTTTTATCCACCAGATACTCATGGCAGACCCCAACCCACCTCCAATTGTGACAACCAAAAATGTCTATGGACATAGACAAATGCCTACTGGGGGGACATCTGATTGCCCTTGATAGGGAACCACTGCTATACACAATGCAGATTTACCCAGGTTTGGATTTTTGACTCAGTTTCACTATTTGTTCTCTCTTAGAAATGCTTATTACAAAGCTCTCCCTAACCTTTGTGCATTTTTGCTCTTAACTCTAGCTTAGCAGCTTCAACCCTTTCAATCTATGCCCACCTTTTAATTTTAAAATAGACCTTTTTAAATTGTAGTGTTTCTTTTTTGTTTTGTTTTGAGACGGAGTCTTACTCTGTCACCCAGGCTGGAGTGCAGTGGAGCAATCTCCACTCACTGCAAGCTCCACCTCCCGGGTTCACGCCATTCTCCTGCCTCAGCCTCCCGAGTAGCTGGGACTACAGGCGCCCGCCACCATGCCTGGCTAATTTTTTTGTATTTTTAGTAGAGACGGGGTTTCACTGTGTTAACCAGGATGGTCTCGATCTCCTGACCTCATGATTCACCTGCCTCAGCCTCGCAAAGTGCTGGGATGTATTACAGGCGTGAGCCACTGCGCCTGGCCTATAGTGTTTCTTTCTCCCTTTTTTTTTTTTTTTTTTGAGATGGAGTCTCACTCTGTCACCCAGGCTGGACTGCAGTGGAGCGATCTCCACTCACTGCAAGCTCTGCCTCCCGGGTTCACGCCATTCTCCTGCCTCAGCCTCCCAAGTAGCTGGGACTACAGGCGCCCGCCACTGTGCCCGGCTAATTTTTTGTATTTTTAGTAGAGACGAGGTTTCACCGTGGTCTCGATCTCCTGACCTTGTGATCTGCCTGCCTTGGCCTCCCAAAGTGTTGGGATTACAGGCGTGAGCCACCGTGCCCAGCCTGTAGTGTTTCTTTTAATATTAGCTTAAAATGTCTTTTGAACTGTGGTAATAATTTTATTAGGATTACTATTTGACAGTACTGATTACAAAGTTGCACAGGTTTTGAGCAACTACCTACCATTATTTTCTTCACAACCCTGTTAACTGTAGTGCAATTCCAAAGTATTAAGCTTTTCATGAACAGATGTATCACAACATAGCAATAATGCCTATTCTAAGGGACTTCTAATGAAATATGATAGGGTTAACATGCAATTAAAAATAGGGAGAAGACTGGGCATGGTGGCTCACCCCTGCAGTCGCGGCACTTTGGGAGGCTAAGGCAAGTGGATCACTTGAGCCTGGGAGTTCCAGCCTGGGCAGCATGGCAAAACCCCGTCTCTACAAAAAGTTAAAAAATCAGCCAGGGATGGTGGCGCACACTTGCAGTCCCAGCTACTTGGGAGGCTGAGGTGGCATTGTTTGAGTCCAGGATGTCCAGGTTGCAGTGAGCCAAGATCGCACCACTGCACCCCAGCCTGAGCAACAGAGTGAGACCCTGACTCAAAAAAAAAAAAAAAAAAAAAAAAATGCCGGGTGTGGTGGCTCATGCCTATAATCCCAGCACTTTGGAAGGCCAAGGCGGATGGATCATTTGAGGTCAGGAGTTCAAGATCAGCCAGGCCAACATGGTGAAAGCCCGTCTCTACTAAAAATACAAAAATTAGTTGGGCAGTAGTGGTGCACGCTTGTAATCCTAGCTACTCGGAGGCTGAGGCAAGAAAATCACTTGAGCCTGGGAGGCAGGGGCTGCAGTGAGCAGAGATCACGCCACTGCACTCCAGTCTGGGCGACAGAGTGAGAATCTGCCTCAAAAAAAACAAAACAAAAACAAAACAAACAAAAAAACACAGAGAGAGACATATTTCTTGCTATGTTGCTCAGGCTAGTCTCAAACTCCTGGTCTCCCAAAGAGTTGGGATTACAGGGGTGAGCCACTGCACCTAGTCCTCTTTGCCTTATTAAAAATCAGAGTAAAGCAATGAAAACACAAATACACACCTATCCCATAAGACCATAGCAGATGAGAGAATTTGGGGGAATACTAAGTAGATGGAGGAGTGGCATGACTTAGCAGAGATAAAGGAGGGAAAGCCCAAGAAACAGGGCATCCAAGATCAGAGTAGTAGAGAATTCCTTTGATGAGGTTTTAAGGTTTTAAGAATCCAGACAATAGAGCCAGACTGCCTGGGTTCAAATCCTGGCTTTACCACTTACCAGCTGTATTGACCTTGGGCTTCAGTTTCATCTGTAAATGAGGATATTACTATCATCTTCTTCATAAGGTTCTGATGTGGTTCAAATGAGCATTTGTAACATTCTTAGAACAGATCTATGTTAAGCGCTTATCAAATAAAAGTAAGTTGACTTTATTTTCCAGTAATTCTCACCTGTGAGCCAATCCAAGACACATAGCTGCCATTTCACGTGGTTCTACCCCAGGGATTAATCCATCCATTTGTGAACGAATTCCTCTCATAAGTTCATTAACAACAGGACTATGGATACAACTGAGATTCAGCTTTTCCTACAAGAACATGAACATCTATATTAAATTAAAAAAAAAAAGACTTTCCTGAAGTTGTTATTATTATTTTTTGAGACACAGTATCACTCTGTCGCCCAGGCTGGAGTGCAGTGGCGCAATCTTGGCTCACTACAACCTCCGCCTCCTGGGTTCAAGAGATTCTCCTGTCTCGGCCTGGGATTATTGCAGGCATGAGCCACCATGCCCAGCTAATTTTGTATTTTTAGTAGAGACGGGGTTTCACCATGTTGTACAGGCTGGTCTCAAACTCCTGACCTCAAGTGATCCGCCCGCCTCATCTTCCCAAAGTGCTGGGATTACAGGCATGAGCCACCGCGCCCAGCCTGAAATTATTTCCTAAATATTAAAGTGGCACTAATTTAAATATACGCATTTCTCAGTTGGACAAGAAGCATAATTTCCAGTGTGTTTGTAGAATACTTGACTGTATCACTGGTGGAAGTAAAAACTGATACAAGCTTCCAGAAGACAGCTTGGCTATATAAATTAAAAGCTATAAAAAGATTAATATAATTTGACCAAGTAGTTGGTTTAAGGAGATCTTTTACTACCTGTTATTTAGCTTCTTTTTAAAATTACAGGTTATGCCAGGCGCGGTGGCTCACGCCTGTAATCCCAGCACTTTGGGAGGCCGAGGCGGGTGGATCACAAGGTCAATAGATCGAGACCATCTTGGCCAACATGATGAAACCCCGTCTCTACTAAAAATACAAAAATTAGCCGGGTGTGGTGGCAGGTGCCTATAGTCCCAGCTACTCGGGAGGCTGAGGCAGGAGAATCACTTCAACCCAGGAGGCGGAGGTTGCAGTGAGCCAAGACTGAGCCAATGCACTTCAGCCTAGCGACAGAGTGAGACTCCGTCTTAAAAAAAAAAAAAAATTACAGGTTGGGCGTGGTGGCACATGCCTGTAATCCTAGCACTTTGGGAGGCCAGGGCGTGTTGGCGGGCGTCTGTAATCCCAGCTACTTGGAAGGCTAAGGCAGGGGAATCCCTTGAACCCGGGAGGCAGAGGTTGCAGTGAGCCGAGATCATGCCACTGCACTCTAGCCAGGGCAACAGAGTGAGACTCTGTCTCAAATAAATGAAATAAAATAAAATAAAATAATTAGCCAGCATGGTGGCATGTGCCTGTAGTCCCAGCTACTGAAGAGGGAGGATTGCTTGAGAACAGGAGGTCAAGTCTGCAGTGAGCTGTGAGACTGCGCCACTGCACTCCCAATTAGCTGGGACTACAGGCGCCTGCCACCACACCCGGTTAATTTTCTGTATTTTCAGTAGAGACAGGGTTTCACTGTGTTAGCCAGGATGGTCTCGATCTGCTGACCTCGTGATACTCCTACCTTGGCCTCCCAAAATGCTGGGATTATTATAGGTGTGAGCCACCGCGCCCCGCCCGAATTGTTCTGCTTTCTGTATTTGGGAGGCTATTTTCCTAGTCTTTCTTTCCACTCTCACATTTTATTTCATCTCCAGCAATACACCCCTACTAAAAGTTTTCTAATAAATATATTTCTAAAAAATATAAGGACCCCATTTTCGTTGGAAAAAAATGTGGCTAGACAAAAATATGGCATGATATACATAGAACATTAACATTATATATGGGTAGCAGATTTGTTAAAGTCAATTTTTATCATTTTTTGTTCTTCTATATCTTCTAGAACAAATAGGTATTACTTATTTGCTCAGTTCAGCTGATGTTAGGGGAAATCCATTATCATGTAGCTTAGAGAAAAGAAAAAAATGTATTGAGAATTTATGATAAGCAACTTATTGCAAAGGCTAGGCTTTGTAGTTGGTATGCTGTGAGATCTGACTAGCAGGCATGACCAAAAATATCGTGACTTTACCTTTATGACCCCTCCTAGTTTAGCATCAGCTACTGCCAGCGGTTCATGGGCTTCTTTTACTATTTTCTTCAGAACTTTTTTCAGCTGCTTATTGATTTTGCCCTCCATCAGAGCTGTGAATGCTTTTCAAGAAAAAGAAAAACAAAAGCATTAACTCTCAAATTTTTAACTTTGAGACCTTGCCCTAGTTGACACTTAAAAAAATAAAATAGGCCTTTCAAAGGGCTTGAATTTAATGTTACTTCTGAAATGAAATGATATATGTTTTATAAGTTACATGTTTCACAATTTCATTTGATCTTCCCACCCTCATTTTTGCTACAGAGCCAGGGGTAAAATCAGGTCCAGGGTTTCTTTCCTTCTCACAAGAATCTTCTCATGAACTCAAGGGAGAATCATGAAATCTTAGAAACAATCTTTTTGGGAAGACAAAACAGACTCACTTTCCTTTGTCATTTCAAATAGACTGTCCTGAAATATCCTAAAATCACATCAAAACTAGTAAAAATGAGTGTAATCATTTTCAAAGTTCTGCCATAATATAAACATGTTTGAGTGAAGGCCTTAGCTTTGCTTGTATCTCCACTTGTACACCTCCAGCAATGTAAAACTTAGTAGCAAAGGCTGCCTATTCTATTTTGAGACCGCTGGTATTTCTGGCAAGTTCTAAATCAGCTGCTTTATATTTCTCACCCTTCCTTAGACCTATATTCCCTTTTTCTGGACCCACACGAACTAATACCTCTTCTGAAATTTATCTGACATTTGACTGAGGTAAAAGTATGCTTGGGTTACCCAGGCATGGTGGTGTGTACCACCAGCCTGGCCAACACGGCGAAACCCTGTCTCTACTAAAAATACAAAAATTAGCTGGGTGTGGTGGCATGTGCCTGTAGTCCAGCTACTGGGGAGGCTGAGCTGGGACAATCACCTGAGCCCAGGGAGTTCAAGGCTGCAGTGAGTCATGATCATGCCGCTGTACTCCAGCAGCCTGGTGACAGACCCTGTCTCAACAAAACAAAAACAAAAAACATAAAAAGTATGCTTGGGCTGCGCGTGGTGGCTCAAGTCTGTAATCCCAGCACTTTGGGAGGCTGAGGCTGGCAGATCACCTAAGGTCAGGAGTTCGAGAGACCAGCCTGGCTAACATGACGAAACACTCTACTAAAAATACAAAAATTAGCTGGCCCTGGTGGCTCACGCCTGTAATCCTAGCTACTCGGGAGGCTGAGGTAGGAGAATCGCTTGAACCCAGAGGTGGAGGTTAAAGTGATACCGTGACATTGCACTCCAGCCTAAGTGACAAGAGCAAAACTCCATCTAAAAAAAAAAAAAGAAAAAGAAAAAGAAAAGAAAAATGCTTGGCAGGAATGAAGGTCTATCAACAATTTCCAAGGTCAGGCAGTTTGTGCTTAATAAGTCAGGTCTTGCTCTTCCCTCCTGATCGTATATCCATTCGAATTATGATCAAATGGATAATCCCAGCACTTCAGGAGGCTGAGGTGAGCGGGTCACGAGGTCAGGAGATGCGACCATCCTAGGCAACATGGTGAAACCCCATCTCTGCTAAAAATACAAAAATTAGGTGAGCGTGGTGGCATGAGCCTGTAATCCCAGCTACTCAGGAGGCAGAGACTACAGTGAGCTGGGATCGCGCCCCTGTACTCCAGCCGAAGATCAGTATCAAAAAAAAAAAAAAAAAGACTTGCAAGTTGAAAACACAATCAAGAATAAAAATAAACCACTTCATGCAAATAGCATATATGAATGTCTGAGACCAATACAAATTCAACATCACACCCCAACAGACCCTATTTCTTTATTTAAAAAAAAAAAATGATGGCCAGGCACGGTGGCTCATGCTTGTAATCCCAGCACTTTGGGAGGCCAAGGCGGGTGGATCACCTGAGGTCAGGAGTTCCAGAGCAGCCTGGCCAACAGGCAAAACCCCGTCTCTACTAAAAAATACAAAAATTAGCTGGACATGGTGGTATCACCTGTAATCTCAGCTACTTTGGAGGCTGAACCCAGCCTCCTGGGAGAATTACTTGAACTCAGGAGGTGGAGACTGCAGTGAGCCGAGATCATGCCACTGCACTCCAGCCTGGGTGACAAAATGAAACTCCATCTCCAAAAAAAAAAAAATCTTTTTTGAGAGGGGGTCTTGCTATATTGCCCAGGCTGATCTTAAATTCCTGCCCATCTTAGCCCCTCAAAGTGTTGGGATTACAGGTGTTAGTCACTGTGCCTGGTCTCATCAAACTCTAAGGCTATGAGGTTTAAAATGTACACTGTGACATTTACAGCCATTTAGTTGTGGTTCTGTCATGTCAAAACTGCCTTATAATAGGCAGTGAGAACTGAATTCCCAGGGGAAGGATTCTGCTTTCTTAATTAGCTGATGTTCATTTAACTTTCTGGTGAAAACAGATAGGAAAAGGCATTGTAAATGTTTCTATGACAGCATTCCTGATAAAATTCACTATTTTCATTCATTTTCCCCAAAATATTTATTATAAACCTTCTATAGCTGTATACTTTGCTAGCGTCTAGGAATTTGACAGTACAGAACAGTCTCTGCCCTCATGGAGCTTAGACTGGGGGGAATTGACTTTAAATTCTCAACTACTATGGCATTTTGTCCATTTACTGTACACTACTTAATTTTATGTTATTTTCCAGAAGGAGTCTCGCTCTGTTGCCCAGGCTGGAGTGCAGTGGTGCAATCTTGGCTCAGTGCTATCTCTGCCTACCAGGTTCAAGTGTTTCTCCTGCCTCAGCCTCCCGAGTAGCTGGGACTAAGGTGTGTGCCACCACACCCGGCTAATTTTTGTAATTTCAGTAGAGACGAGGTTTCACCATGTTGGCCAGGCTGATCTTGAACTGACCTCAGGTGATCCGCCTGTCTTGGCCTCCCAAAGTGCTGGGATTCCTGGCATGAGCCACCGCACCCAGCCTTATTGTACATTATTTTAAATAATACAAAGAAGCTAGGTAAATGAATCTGGAAATACTGCTTAAATTTCAAGTTTTATCATCTGTAACATAGAGATGATGGTTATCTGCCTCACAGGATTCAAGAATTAAATAACAATTATGAAATCATAAGCATAAATCTGACAATCAGTATGTGCTCAATATATTAGGTATTAATAGTAAAAACCTGCTTGTTTGAGCAAAAGCTTGGCTTGTCCATTTAATACAGTTTAATAAGGACTGGCCAGATATATCCCAAGCAGATTAAAGATCGTATGCAAAAAGGAATTCAGAAGAGGCTACTTGAGATCAGGACTAGGAACTGTTCATATCCCAGTCTATGTCAACAACACCCCCTAGAGTTTGAATACAGCTAACACAATCTTGCTTGGAATCTTACCAAATGTTTACCCATACTTAAAAGCTGTGATGAACAGGCTATCTTTTTAAAAATTCTCCAAGTTAATATTACCACAGTTTTTTTTATGGCTGTATATAACTCTAATTACTGAAGAGTTGGTGAAGCAGCCCTAGAACTATGTTTATAAAACAAAGAAACTGGCCCTATGGGTCTTCCTTCAGCCTACCCCTCTGCCAAGGTTAGGGTGGTCTGTTATGTTCCAGCATGTTTAGTTGGATTCCAAATTTTCAGACAAAAACTGTACCTTTCTCCTGTGGTTATTTAACAAAATTTTTTGCATCTGTCATATTCTTGCCCAGCTTTAAGCCATATTCTTCCTCACGGTCCTTCATTTTCAAACTACACCGCCAAATAGTTGGCTGATTTGTGATAAAGAATTCAGGCAGTTGAAAATTTAATGATTTGGGCTTTATATCTGCTCTTCCTGTTTTCCCTAACACTTAAAAAAACAAAACTGTAAGACCTACTGCAGTCAATTACAGTAAATAAACCCGATCACTCTGTTGTCCCGTGATGAAATCTAGTTGAAGAGTATGAGTCATCCATTCTTCTGAATCTTTTAAAAATAACACCTCTGTCAGTTTCTGTATAACTCTGAATATTGATATGTTTTTTTGAACTAAAAATCTATACCCCCAGAAGAGCTTTTTAAATTATTTTTCAACTGTGAATCCTGGCTGTTCTCAGGATTACAACTCTACCCTTGGATTAAAATGAGGAGAGAGCTGTATACTTGACCACATTACCTTGGTCCCTTGTAGAACACCTTTTACTGAATTGTGCTTCAGCATTATGTTGCTGGTTTCCACAGGGAGATCAACTTAACCACTTCTCACCTCTCCTCACACATGGGGAAAACCAGCCCTATGGTGAAAAAAGCTAACTCAATGTTGTCTCAGTGGTAGTGACGAATGAGTCAGATCACTTAAATTCAGTTCCAATAAGAATGCATCATTGACAACATTGAATAAGGTTAACACAGGCAACTGAAGCAAACAACCTTTTAAACAAGAAAAACAAACGGCTAAGACTTAATTTTTTCAAAAAAGCAAGCTTCTAATTTTTTACTTTACCTGCTAATGCTTCTGCTGTATCCTGAAATTTCTCAAAATGTTTTAGCTTTACTCTAGAATTAAAAAAAAAAGAGATAAACATGTTATTGGGGGCAGTGCGTTGATTCAAAAGCCACATAACTTGGAAAGAAGTGCTTGACTGTTTCCAAAGCACACACCAATAAAACATGCCTACCATTGTGTATCAGGGTGTGAAGTTAGATATTCTTCATACAATTACTAGTTTTTCTAAATGTTAGGCTAGTAATGCTTGGATTATTAAAAGAAAGTTGTAGGCTTTGGAGGAAATTTTGGCCAAGAGTAAAGATGTTGAAGCTTTAATACAAACCCCTGTTGCATAAAGCTGTACAGAGATGACTTTATTATACAGCATAGAATTGACTCAAGAAAACGTACGTGAGTCCTTTTTAGGAATCTCATGATATTCATTTGTCTATCCTGTACAAATGCCATTAAAAAAAATAGCTTATTGTCAGGTCTCATTCTTGTTACATCCTAACCCTTTATGGTTTTTTGTTTTTTTTTTTGAGACAGAATCTCACTGTCACCCACGCTGGAGTGCAGTGGTGCGATCTCGGCTCACTGCAACCTCTGCCTCCCGGATTCAAGCAATTCTCCTGCCTCAGACTCCCAAGTAGCTGGGATTACAGGCATGTGCCTGTGCCACCATGCCTGGCTAGTTTTTGTTTTTTTTTTTTGAGACAGAGTCTCACTCTGTCGCCCAGGCTGGAGTGCAGTGGCGCAATCTCGGCTCACTGCAAACTCCACCTCCCAGGTTCATGCCATTCTCCTGCCTCATGCCATTCTCCTGCCTCAGCCTCCCAAGTAGCTGGGACTACAGGCACCCGCCACCACACCTGGCTAATTTTTTGTATTTTTCGTAGAGACGGGGTTTCACCGTGTTAGCCAGGATGGTCTCCATCTCCTGACCTCATCATCCGCCCGCCTTGGCCTCCCAAAGTGCTGGGATTACAGGCGTGAGCCACCGTGCCCAGCCCCCATGGCTGGCTAATTTTTTTGTATTTTTTAGTAGAGAAGAGGTTTCACCATATTGGCCAGGCTGGTCTCAAACTCCTGACCTTGTGATCCACCCACCTCGACCTCCCAAAGTGCTGGGATTACAAGCGTGAGCCACCGTGCCCGGCCCCCTTTATGTTTTTGAGACAGGGTCTCACTTCACTCTGTCACCCAGGCTGGAATGCAGTGGTGCAATCACAGCTCACTGCAGCCCTGACTTCCCGAGCTCAAAGGATCTTCCAGCCTCAGTCTCCCAAGCAGCTAGGACTATAGGTGTGCACCACCACACCCAGCTAATTTTTGTTTTTGGTAGAGATGGGGTTTTCCTATATTGCCCAGGCTGGTCTTGAACTCCTGGGCTCAACTGATCCGCCTGCCTTGGCCTCCCAAAATGCTGGGATTACAGGTGTGAGCCATCACGCCCAGCCTCAGGGTAGTATTTTATCCAGAAAGAAACATATAGTTGATTCATCGTTGTCTCAGTGGTAGTGACGAATATTGAGTCAGATCACTTAGATTCAGTTCCAAGAAGAATACATCATTGACAACAACGAATCAGATTAACCCAACAAAGCATATAACCCTTTAAGAAGGAAAACTAGTCTTCTAGTTGCCTAAAACAGTGTCATCTTTTTTTTTTTTTTTGGAGACAGGGTCTCACTCTGACACCCAGACTGGAGTGCAGTGGCGCAATCTCGGCTCACTGCAACTTCCGCCTCCCAGGCTCAAGGGATTTTCCTGCCTCAGCTTCCTCCCAGTAGCTGGGATTACAGGCATGTGCCACCACGCCCGGCTAATTTTGTGTTTTTAGGAGAGAGGGGGTTTCACCATGTTGGCCAGGCTGGTCTCGAGCTCCTGACCTCAAATGATCCACCCACCTTGGTATCCCAAAGTACTAGGATTACAGACATGAGCCACCACACCAGGCAACAGTGTCATCTTAAGCAAGGTTTTCTTATCTGGTAAGGGAACATACTAGTGTGGTCCCTTAAATATACATACAAATACGAAGATTTAGGCCAGGTGTGGTGGCTCACGCCTGTACTCCCAGCACTTTGTGAGGCCGAGGCAGGCGGATCGCCTGAGGTCAGGAGTTTGAGACCTGCCTGACCAACATGGCGAAACCCTGTCTCTACTAAAAATACAAAAATTAGCTGGGCATGGTGGTGGGCACCTGTAATCCCAACTACTTGGGGGACTGAGGCAGAAGAATAGCTTGAACCCAGGAGGCGGAGGTTGCAGTGAGCAGAGATTGCGCCATTGTACTCCAGCCTAGGTGACAGAACAAGACTCTGTCTCAAAAAACAAACAAAAAAACCAAAGATTTAACATCTACACTAAGAATGAATCTTCCATGAAATTGTGATGAAAGAAAAAGTAGTTCATGCTAGTTTTGATGTTGCAAAACTCAAAAAGCAGGTTACAACCCCTGTGTGCGGTAAGTGCTTAGTTAAGATAAAAAAGGTATTACATTTGTGTGTGGAAGACACGAAGACAAATGTGTTCCTACTGACAGCAATCACATTTGGTACTATCCGAGGTTTAAAGTATCCACAGGGTCTTCTGGAACATAATCCCTGTGGGTAAGGGGGAGACTACTGCCTTCAAATTAATTGAGATGGCCTATATTCCAAGTAAAACATTTGTAATAATTAGGTTCATACCAAAATTATTCCTGAAACAGATTTCAAAACAGAAAACTACGAATGTAACATTATATAAATCAGGGAAAAATGTAAAAAATAAAACAAGCCCTAAATGTTAACTGCTAAATTATTGATTTCAAGAGTACTTACATTTTGTTTGCTTTCTCTGGAGTTTCAAATTCTTTCCATAAACTATCAACCTCTTGAAGTTTCTTCTCATTTAGAACCTGTAATAAAATGTTTAAATAGTTTTATTTAAATGGTACAGGTGAGGCATATACAGCTGCATTCTTCAAATACAATTTTACATGTAAAATGAAGGTGTAGAAGCTATTTCTTTCACTAAGATAATGAACTAGTTTTCTTACCCTGCATGTAATTTTGGTCAAATTACTAGTTCGAATTGCCCATTTAACAGCTAAATGGAATTCAGATCTAGTCCAGTCAGCTGTAGTACAGTGGCTATTCAGTCTAGAATCTACCTGGCCTCAAGAGATATTCCTGCCCCAGCCTTGGGCCGTAGCTGGAGCTATGGGGTCCTAGGGGGTAGGGCAGGGAACCTTTCTTTTTATTTTTTTGAGATGGAGTCTCGCTCTGTAGCCCAGCCTGGAGTGCAGTGGAGCAATCCTGGCTCACTGCAACCTTCACCTCCTGGGTTTATGAGATTCTAGTGCCTCGGCCTCCTGAGTAGCTGGGATTACAGGTGTGCACCACTGCACCTGGCCGAGAACCTTTCTTTTAAAAGAGCCATTAATCCCTTTACAGTAAAGTATTGTAATCATTAAAAACTTTAATTTGCGCCAAGCATGGTGGCTCACATCTGTAATCCCAGCACTTTGGGAGGCTGAGGCAGGCGGATCACCTGAGGTCAGGAGTTCAAGACCAGCCTGATCAACATGGAGAAACCCCGTCTCTACAAAAAAAAAAAAAAAAAAAAAATACAAAATTAGCTGGGCGTGGTGGCACATGCCTGTAATCCCCGCCACTCGGGAGGCTGAGGCAGGAGAATTGCTTGAACCCGGAGGCAGAGGTTGCAGTGAGCCGAGATTGCGCGACTGCACTCCAACCTGGGCAACAAGAGCAAAAAACTCCATCTCAAAAAAATAAAACAAAAAACAAAAAAAACTTTTGTCTACTTTCAATAGATTATATTCGTTATTTACTGCTATGATCATCCTAACATGAAAGTATTATGGATTTCTCTAAAACTATCGTCAATTGTGAGACACATCTAGATGTGAGAAATTTTTTAAATGCAAAAGAAACATAGGGTACTTTAATCAACAATATACTTATCAACATTTAGGTATATATTCTCCAAGACTTTGAATGTCTGTGCAACACATGTTCATGCATACTTTTAGGAATCACAGTAAATGGCTTTTTTTTTTTTTTTCTGAGATGGAGTCTCACTCTGTCGCCAGGCTGGAGTGCAGTGGCGCAATCTCGGCACACTGCAGCCTCCGCCTCCCGGGTTCAAGCGATTCTCCTGCCTCAGTCTCCTGAATAGCTGGGATTACAGGCACGCACCACAACACCCAACTAGTTTTTGTATTTTTAGTAGAGACTGGGTTTCACCAAGTTGGCCAGGCTGGTCTTGAACTCCTGACATCAGGTGATCCACCTGCCTCGGCCTCCCAAAGCGTTGGGATTACAGGCGTGAGCCAACACACCCAGCCGCCTTGTATTGTTTTGAAGCAAGACCTAGACATTTAATTTTTACCTGTTAATATTTCAGTTTGTATCTATAAAATATAAAGACTTGTTTTAAAACTAGTACTGTTGTAACAACAATGCTAAAGATTGCAATGGTAATAGTTGTATACTATTTCTACTTAGAAATGGAAATTATCTTAAAATGATAAAACTTAAAATGGATTTCTGTATACAAATATTTATCATTACCCTGGCTGAAAAGAAATGATTAAAAATTTGAGACAAATAAAAACTTTGAGACAAATGTAATACAGAAAATGTAGCAATATCTCTAACTTTCTTATTTAGATGGTCTTTATTAGCAATGTTTTCTTCAAGATGTTGCAGTTGGGAACACAATGGTTTTATTTGTCATAGTAATGGTTTTGGCTGACATAACATAGTCTTTGAAGACCTTTGTGTGCTCATGAATTGCCCTGATTTTATCACATTTCCTTTGTTATTTTAACTTCAGTTTTAGAATGGTGATAGTATTTTTTAATTAATTTATTTATTTATTGAGACGGAGTCTCGCTCTGTCGCCCAGGCTGGAGTGCAATGGCAGGATCTCGGCTCACTGCAAGCTCCACCTCCTGGGTTCACGTCATTCTCCTGCCTCAGCCTCCAGGACTACAGGCGCCTGCCACCACACCTGGCTAATTTTTTGTATTTTTAGTAGAGATGGGGTTTCACCGTGTTAGCCAGGATAGTCTCGATCTCCTGACCTCATGATGCACCCACCTCGGCCTCCCAAAGTGTTGGGATTACAGGCGTGAGCCACCCCGCCAGGCCGAAAGTATCTTTTAAATATGGCAATTTTGTTACCCAAATGTTATCTTCAAATATACTTGCTTTTCAGCTAGAAAAAATGTGAATTTTACTCATGAGTCATATCCCCTATTTGATACATGTCCTCTTAAAAATAGTGAACTTCAGTTATGGTTAGCTGCATTCTCTGAACAATTTCAAAAAATTTTAATCAGTGTTTTCAGTATAGTCATGAGACTTGGTGAGGTGTCTCTGGATTCTAAAACTTCATGATATACAAAGTTAGAGCTATTAGTTTATAAATTGTTAATACCAACTCTAGGCTTTGTAGTTGTTTATTGCTTTGTGTGACTCTAAGTTTTTCTAGTTTGGGTTATTTTTACCAACATATCTAATTCAACCATGTGTGATTAAATTTATACAGGCTGGGCACGGTGGCTCATGCCTGTAATCCCAGCACTCTGGGAGGCTGAGGCGGGCGAATCACGAGGTCAGGAGATCGAGACCATCCTAGCTAACACGGTGAAACCCCGCCTCTAACTAAAAATACAAAAAAATTAGCTGGGCGAGGTGGAAGGCGCCTGTAGTTCCAGCTACTCGGGAGGCTGAGGCAACAGAATGGCGTGAACCCCAGGGGGCGGAGCCTGCAGTGAGCTGAGATCGCGCCACTGCACTCCAGCCTGGGCGACAGCAAGACTCCGTCTCAAAAAAAAAAAAAAAAAAAAAATTATACATCAGAACAAACCCCTAAAATCATCTTGTCACTCATCTAAGTTTTATACAACTTGCAACATTGTGTTTCTCTTACTGAAAATAATATATAACCAGACTAGAACTGCGTCTTAATGTGTAGATGTGCTATATTATGGACTTGATAAATAATGCTTATTAGCAAAGTATAGTTTTAAATTTACTAGCTGTGTTGTTTTTCCAGAGACAGGGTCTCGCTTTGTTGTCCAGGCTGGAGTGGAGTGGTGTGGTCCTATGTCACTACAGCTTCAAACTCCTGGCCTCAAGCGATTCTTCTGCCTCGGCCTCCCAAGTAGCTAGGACTATAGGTGCACACTGCGACATCTAGCTCTTTTAAAAATCTTTTTGTAGAGACAGGGGCTTGCTTTGTTGCCCAGGCTGATCTCTAACTTCTGGACTCAAGTGATCCTCTTGCCTTGGCCTCTCAAAGTGCTGGGAGTGCAGGAAGGAACCATGGCGCCTGATCCAGCTGGTTTTTTAAATAAAAATATATGCATAATATCTGTGCATACTCTATTTCACAAAATTTAACATGCTATTCTTTTTTTTTTTATTTTTGAGACGGAGTCTTGCGCTCTGTCGGCCAGGCTGGACCGCAGTGGCGTGATCTCAGCTCACTACAACCTCCACCTCCCTGGTTAAAGCAACTCTCCTGCCTCAGCCTCCCAAGTAGCTGGGATTACAGGCACATGCTGCCATGCCTGGCTAATTTTTTTTTTTTTTTTTGTATTTTAGTAAAGTCGGGGTTGCACCCTGTTGCCCAGGCTGGTCTCGAACTCCTGAGGTCTGGCAATCTACCTGCCTCAGCCTCCCAAAGTACTGGGATGACAGGCGTGAGCCACCACACCCAGCTTATGTTATTCTTTTACACTCCCAATTGACCTGTCATCAATTGTAAGACATCCCAATTTTAGGGATGTTAAATATGGGGGTTGTGCCTTTTAGGATTGAGCCCATCCTATCTAATACTTGGGCAGCTGATACAGAATATTGGTGAGGGTATATGGAATTAAGAATTTTAATCACTTTTTTTGTTTTTTTTTGAGACAGTGTCTCGCCCTGTCACGCAGGCTGGGGAGTGCAGAGGCGCGGTCTTCTCACTGCAACCTCCACCTCCCTGGTTCAAGCGATCCTCCTGCCTCAGCTGGGACTACAGATTTGGCGACACACACCACCATGCCCGGCTAATTTTTGTATTTTTAGTAGAGACGGGGTTTCACTATGTTGGCCAGGCTGGTTTCAAACTCCTGACCTCATGATCTGCCCACCCCAGCCTTCCAAAGTGCTGGGATTACAGGTGTGAGCCACCATGTCCAGCCTCCTCATTTTCATTTTTAATTGATTGCTTGAGACTTTGTGTGGTTTTTGTTTTGTTTTGAGATGAGGTCTCACTCTGTTGTCCAGGCTAAAGTGCAGAGGCTCAATCACAGCTCACTGCAGCCGTGACCTCCCTCCCACCTCAGCCTCCTGCAGCAGCTGGGACTACAGGCAAGCACCACTGTGCCCAGCTAATTTTTTTTCCGCCATGTTGCCCAGGCTGGTCTGCAACTCCTGGGCTCAAACAATCCTCCTGCTTCACCCTCCCAAAGTGTTAGGGTGACAGGCGTGAGCCACTGCACCCAACCTCTATGTTTTGTGTAAATTATTTGATGCTAACTTTTAAGTTTCACTTCCACAGACAATATGAGCAAGTTAATATTTTATGAAACTTGTTTAAATACAGGATAAAACTGATAATTAGTTTAAAATGTGCACTGCTCAAAAAGAAACAAATCCATACACGCAACAAATGTGAAAAAGCTCTTCGGTTAGCTTCAGAAGCATTACACTAAGTGAAAAAAGCCAAACACAAAAGACTAAAATACTACTCCACTTACATGAAACTTCTAGAAAAAATTATGCAAAAAGAAAGCTGAACAGTGGTTGTCTAGAGCAGGACTAACTTGAAAATGGGCATGAGAACTTTTTGCAACAAAGTGTACTATAAAACTGGATTGTAACTAAAACCTATAGGTGAGTTATACAGTATGTAAAGTACACCCAATAAAGTTAGAAAAAATATATTGCTCAGTACTTAGGTTTTATATAGACATTTGGTATGTACATCAAAAATCTTTCTCCAAACCTTGAGAAAATGAAGTGACACAAAATGCTATGCTACACAGCTACACTGTACAATATAACCATTAAAATTCAAGTAAGTTAAAATTCACTTCCTCAGTCCTATCAGTTACATCTCATGTGAAATGGTTATACGTACTAATGGCTACCACATGGAAGAGCAGCTGAAGGAAGTCTGGTATGAGCAAGACTAAAATCTTATGCTGTGTGCCACGTGACACAAGGACACAGGTGGAATTTCTTTTTTTCTTTTTTTCTTTTTTTTGAGACGGAGTCTTGCCCTGTCGCCCAGGCTGCACTGCAGTGGCGCGACCGCAGCTCATTGCAACCTCTGCTCCTAGGTTCAACTGATTGTCCTGCCTCAGCCTTCCAAGTAGCTGGGGTTACAGGCGTGAGCCACTGCTCTCGGCCACAGGCTGAATTTTTATAATATCCTAGAATTAATCACAACAGTTCCTTTACACAATGTCTTTACATTTATATATATATAACCCTGTTAATGAGCAATAACTTTTTGGAAGTGTTTTCCTTTTGAATCGCTCTAAACACATAAGTGGGCAGAACACCGTACCTCATGGCTGTAATCCCAGCACCTTGAGGCCAGGAGTTTGAGACCAGCCTAGGCAACATAGTGAGACTCTGCCTCTTAAAAAAAAAAAAAAAAATTTAGGCCAGGCATGGTGGCTCACGCCTGTAATCCCAGCTACTTGGGAGGCTGAGGCAGGAAAATCGTTTGAACCCAGGAGGCGGAGGTTGCAGTGAGCCGAGATCACACCACTGCACTCCAGCCTGGGCAACAGAGTGAGACTCCATCTCAAAAAATAAATAAATACAAATACAAATAAATAAATAATTAGCCAGGCATGGTGGCTTGAGCCTGTAGTCCCAGCTACTCGGGAGGAGGTGGGAGGATCACTTGACCCAGGAGGCCAAGGCTGCAATGAGCCATGATCCTGCCACTGCACCCCAGCCTGGGTGACAGAGCAAGACCCTGCCTCAAAATAAATTTTAAATACATAAACATGAATTTGTATGTGTACATGGGTTATACATAAAATGTTTTCCTCACTGTAAATGGAAGTTTAAAAAAAACTTCAAGGCCAGGTGCAGTGGCTCACGCCTGTAATCCCAGCACTTTGGGAGGCTGAGGCGGGCAGATCACCTGAGGTCAGGAGTTCGAGACCAGCCTCAACATGGAGAAACCCTGTCACTACTAAACATACAAAATTAGCTGGGCGTGGTGGTGCATGCTGGTAATCCCAGCTACTCGGGAGGCTGAGGCAGGAGAATTGCTTGATCCTGGGAGGCAGAGGTTGTGGTGAGCCAAGATCGCGCCATTGCACTCCAGCCTGGGCAACAAGAGTGAAACTCCGTCTCAAAAAAAACAAAAAAACAAAAAACTTCAAAAAACTTCCTAAAGCATTCTCATCAAAGCATGAATTATATGCATCCAATATAATTTTTTTTTTTGAGACGGAGTTGTGCTCTTATTGCCCAGGCTGGAGTGCAATGGCACGATCTCAGCTCACCACAACCTCCGCCTCCCGGGTTCAAGCAATGCTCCCGCCTCAGCCTCCCAAGTAGCTGAGATTACAGGCGCACACCACCACGCCCAGCTAATTTTTCTATTTTTTTAGTAGAGACGGGGTTTCACCATGTTGGTTAGGCTGGTCTCAAACTCCTGACCTTGTGATCCGCCGGCCTCGGCCTCCCAAAGTGCTGGGATTACAGGCATGAGCCACCATGCCTGGCAACCAACATAATTTTATACCCTAGCATTTTGAAAGATTATGGGAAAGGAAACTAATAACTTTGAACCGTATGTCTACTTTTTTAGGAGATAAAATTCACCATATATCATATTAATTTTACATGTATCTTAATATTTGCCCTTTTAAAGTGTACAATTCACTTTTTAGTAGTGCATTTTCACAAAAATGTGCAGCCATCACTAGTTCCAGAACGTTTGTATGTCTTTTATACTCAGAAACGATCAATGTTAATTCCAATAATTACAAACTAATCAATGTCAACATATTCGAGCTTAACTAGTTATTTCTTTAGTACTAGGTTACATAAACCACAATTTAATCATTTTGAACAGTAACTTGCAGATAAATAGCACTGCAAACTCCAACGGAATACTCAAAGACATTTTCATGGAGGAGGACACTTTTCATTAATAGAAATCAGTAATTCATCGAGACACGGTTGAGTATTTTAGGACCCAGGTCTAGAAATCCGACCATTGATAAGCCAATTCCTTCCTACCATGGGAGACAACCAGTGCACTGTGCAGAGTTGCTCCTCTTCACATCCGGTACAGGACAGTATACTACGGCAATTAACGGTGAAATTCATCGATAGACACTTACAGACCACATTGGCTAAGAGAATTTGAAGCTATGCAGAACTCTACATGGTAATTTAGATAAGATTCCAAAAAGCTGGAGAAAAGTAAAATTGACATGTTTCGTAGCTCTAAAGGGGACTAAGGAGCTTACTTACAAGTTCCTTAAAACACTAATACGGCAATTGCAGATAACTCCAACTAAGGTAAAAACAAGCAAAACTGCCTTTTCGGTTTTAATGATTTTATTGGTTTTCTTAAAAATAACATTTGACGTATCAAATGCAAACTGCGTATTTTCAAATGTCAGAAGTGAAACATGGAGAACTCTGCACCCATCCAGACTTTCTTGCATCCACACCACAAATGGTTTTTTGGTTCATAGCTAAAATTGTATTACATTTATTTTTACCTAGCGTTTTTGCTTTCTACCAACATATATATATGTAGAATATACATAAAAACTTTATTTTTCATTGCTATATTCACAGACCTCAGAAGAGTTGCACCGCACAAGAAAAGGCACTCAATCTCACTCATTCTTCCTAACATCTCAACAGCATCTTGCGATACGAATGTCTTACCATTCAACCATTTCAGTGCTGACGAACTTGTCAAACTTTCCCCACGAAAACAACCAAACCTCAAACTGACATCACCAGCCCAGATGTTTTCCCCTAAGCTTCAAATCTGAAATACTGAACTGCCCGATCTACACAACTGCATTATCAGGTCTAATAGACAACGCAAGCTTCGCACAGCCCAAACCGGAAATCTTTAGTCCTTCCCCAAGAAACTTTCTTAACATCTTATTTAAACCAAAACCCCACATTCAATCTATTAGCCAGTCCTTCCTGTTCTACCTTCACAATTTCTATCGATATTTGTTTCTCTCCATACCAGGCAATTTCATCTTGTCCAAATGAATGCAAAAGTATTCTTGCTGCCGTTCTTATCTCCTCGAGTCTAATCTCCACACAGCAGAGTAACCGTATTAAGACAAATTAGCAGGTCATTCCTCTGCTTAAATCCTTTCGATTGGCCGAGCACGGTGGCTCACGCCTGTAATCCCAGCACTTTGGGAGGCCGAGGCAGGTGGATCGCTTGAGGTCAGGAGTTCAAGACCAGCCTGGCCAACATGGTGAAACCCCGTCTCTACTAAAAGCAAACAAACAAACAAAAACAACTAGCCAGGCGTGGTGGTGGATGGAGGCCTGTAATCCCAGCTACTCGGGAGGCCAAGGCAGGAGAATCGCTTGAACCCGGGAGACGGAGGTTGCAGTGAGCCAAGATTGCGCCACTGCACTCCAGCATGGGCAACAAGAGCGAAACTCCATCTCAAAAAAAAAAAAAATCTTTCGATCATTCCTCAAAACATCTAGAATAAAGTCCGAATTCCCTATAATCTGTTAAATTCTAACACGCCTCCTGCCCACCCCTTCAACGGGAGGAAATAAAATCCTCTAATGCAGAACGGGTCTCCCCAAACGGCGGGGCCACGTGTTACACGTAACATGGCTCTCAGGTGTAAAGGCCTTCTCCCTCCTCCCAGAGCCCGGGCTATAACAGGCACCCACGCTACTCTGAGTAGTTCCGTGCTTAAGTCTTTCCCTCTCCTCGTCTGTCCAGCATCCGCCTTCCCCCTTTAACGGCTCGCTCTCCCACCTACCTTAAAGATGGCGTAACCCACAGACGTTTCAAACAGCACCAACATGGTGAGGCCGGGTCAGGGCGCCGCACGGCCTGCCAGAAGCTGTAGAGTCAGTTCAAAAACACCGACTACGCGGCCTCAAAAGGCCTCCTAGGCCGCGGCGGGCAAAGCACAAATGCGCTCGCCGTCCCGCAAAGAATCAGAACACGCTGCCTAAACCCTCCACGCTGTACTGGAACTAGGACGCACGAACGCGCTACTCCTTCTCTGAGGATTCTGGGATAGCAACGTCACTTCCGACAGAAGACTGCCGCAGAGATTGCCGTCACTTCCAGAATGTTCCCGCCACAGCGGGCTGGGGCGGGCCGAGAAAGTTTGTATCGCGGGATCTAGGGCCTGAACGGAGCCTTTGCGCCTTTTTTTCTTTTTTCTTTTTTTCTTTTTTGGAGACGGAGTCTCGCTCTGTAACCCAGGCTGGAGTGCAGTGGTGTGATCTCGGCTTACTGCAACCTCCGCCTCCCGGGTTCAAGAAATTCTCCTAGCCGGGCGCAGTGGCTCACGCCTGTAATCCCAGCACTTTGGGAGGCCGAGGCGGGCGGATCACAAGGTCAGGAGATCGATCGAGACCATCCTGGCTAACACGGTGAAACTCCGTCTCTACTAAAAATACAAAAAATTAGCCGGGTGTGGTTGCAGGCGCCTGTAGTCCCAGCTACTCGGGAGGCTGAGGCAGGAGAATGGCCTGAACCCAGGGGGCGGAGCTTGCAGTGAACCAAGATCCTGCCACTGCACTCCAGCCTGGGCGACAGAGCGAGACTCCGTCTCAAAAAAAAAAAAAAAAAAAGAAATTCTCCTGCCTCAGCCTCCCCAGTAGCTGGGACTAGAGGCACACACCACCACGCCCAGCTAATTTTTGTATTTTTAGTAGAGATGGGGTTTCAGCATGTTGGCCAGGATAGTCTCGATCTCTTGACCTCGTGATACGCCCGCCTCGGCCTCCCAAAGTGCTGGGATTACAGGCGTGACCCACTAGGCCCGGCCTTTTTTTTTTTTTTTTTTTTTTTTTTTTTTTTTTTTGAGACAGTCTGGCTGTTGCCCAAGCTGGAGTGCAGTGGCACTATCACGGCTCACTGCAACCTCCAACTCCCAGGCTCAAGCGATCCTCCCACTTCACCCTCCGGAGCAGCTGGGACTACAGGCCTGTGCCACCACACCCAGCTAATTTTTTGTAGAGACAGGGTTTCACGATGTTGCCCAGGCTGGTCTCGGACTCTTGACCTCAAGGGATCCTCCCACCTCGGCCTCCCAAAGTGCTGGGATTACAGGCGTGAGCCACCGCGCCCCGCCACCGCTAGAGATTTAAAGGGGAAAAACTTCACGATATTATTTTGTTAACCCTCTATGAATTATATGTTCACTTTGAGAGAAACGAGGAGCTGTTTCGGTGCCAGTCTGCCTCAGGCATCTAGAATTTGAAATGCCAGCTAGTGCCATTAGACTTTATCCCCTTTCAAGCCCTGCCTTGAGGCGAAGGCCTCAGAATGACACCATTACTGTCACTATATTTGTGAGCATTCCTGGCCGTTCCCTTCTGTCTGGCCAAATGAATTATTAGCACAGTTTTCTTTCAATAAGCCTCTCCTATTTTTGCTGCATTTGTTAAAATGACCCCAGGGTATGAATTTAGAATGTCTTTTTTTTTTTCTTTTTCTTCTTTGTTTTTTTTGAGACGGAGTTTCACTCTTGTTGCCTAGGCTGGAGTGCAGTGGTATGATCTCTGCTTACTGCAACCTCTGCCTCCCGGGTTCAAGCAATTCTCCTGCCTCAGCCTCCCGAGTAGCTGGGATTACAGGCATGTACCACCACGCCTGGCTAATTTTGTATTTTTAGTAGAGATGGGGTTCCTCCATGATGGTCAGGCTTGTCTCGAACTCCTGACCTCAGGTGATCCACCCACCTCGGCTTCCCAAAGTGCTGGGATTACAGGCATGAGCCACTGTGCGGGGCTGAATTTAGACTGTCTTCTTGATTTAGTGTTACTTGCTTTTCTGGAAGCCTTTCAGTCTCAGGGACTGGGATTAAATACCCCAGTTGTTTCACAAGTCTGTCTTCCAACAGGGGTAAAATTTCCTTACTCACTTCCCAGGCCCTATATGCAGATTGTTCCTAATCATTAAATTGCAACCTGCTGGGAGAATTGCTTGAACCCAGGAGGCGGAGGGTGCAGTGAGCCGAGGTGGCACTACTGCACTCCAGCCTAGGCGACACAGCGAGACTCCATCTAAAAAAAAAAATTGCAACCTGCTCAAGATTGTGGAACATTAAATAGGTAGCAACTCTGCAACCTGAGATTAAGAGGAAAGAAAATCCTGGGTTGAATAACAGAAAGTCACAGGACAGAGGAATCTAGGGTGAATTCTTTTTTTTTTTTTTTTTTTGAAACGGAGTCTCAGTCTGTCGCCAGGGCTGGAGCGCAGTGTCGCGATCTCAGTCACGATCTCAGCTCACTGAAGCCTCTGCCTCTTGGGCTCAAGTGATTCTCCTGCCTCAGCCTCCCCAGTAGCTGGGATTACAGACACACGCCACCATGCCCAACTAGTTTTTGTATTTTTAGTAGAGACGGGGTTTCCCCATGTTGGCCAGGCTGGTCTTGAACTCCTGACCTCAGGTGATCCGCCTGCCTCAGCCCCCCGAAGTGCTGGGATTACAGGCATGAGCTACCACGCCCGGCCTAGGGTGAATTCAAGAGCATAATTGGCCGAGTGTATGGTTCACGCCTGCTATGATCTCACCATTACACTCCAGCCTGGGCTACTAAGCAAGACCCTGTCTCAAAAAAGAAAAAAAGCATGGTTGATTATAGTTACAGCTGTAATCCAGTGTGGTCAGGGAGACAAGAGAGACGAAAATTACCTGATTGGGAGAGGGGTATGCGTGGGTGGGTGAGATGTTAGAAACACCATGTCTGTTTATAGTGTTATTTAACTGCACAGTATTTTTCTGTCTAGTCTCCTTAGCAGAAGTGACATCTGCTAGAGAATTGAGTCTACTTTACACATATTTGTGTCTGTATAGGATGTTATGTTGTGCTACTCATGAAATAGAATCTAATTAATTCTTAAAAATTTAATGAATGAATGTCTGCAGGAAGTAAAAATTCTTTTCTTTACGTGTAAAGCCTTAAATCCTATTCCCAAAATGAAATGAAACCACTTATTCAATGAGAAATCTCTTTGCCATGGTATGTCCTAGAATTTGTCCTTGCACGTTACCATTTACATAGTCACCTCCATATGATGCTTTAATCAGGAGTTCAGAGCTGACTCTGATTTTGGGTTTGTAACTTGACCAAATAAAGTAATTGGAGATTTTCTTTCTTTCTTTTTTTTTTTTTTGAGATGCAGTCTTGCTCTGCTGCCCAGGCTGGAGTGTAGTGGCATGATCTTGGCTCACTGCAACCTCTGTCTCTTGGGTTCAAGCAATTTTCTGCCTCTGCCTCCTGGGTAGCTGGGATTATAGGCCCCTGCCACCACACCCTGCTAATTTTTGTATTTTTAGTAGAGATGGGGTTTCACCATGTTGGCCAGGCTGGTCTTGAACTCCTGACCTCATGATCCACCCACCTCGGCCTCCCAAAGTGCTGGGATTACAGGCATGAGCCACTGCTCCCGGCCAGTAATTGGAGATTTTCTCTTGCAAGGGAGAAGTAAGAGTCTTAGTACTTTGTTAAAGTACTGAGTGAAGGGGAGATAGCACAAAGAAATATAAGAAGGAGAATATAGGAGAGTACAGATGATAGAAGGGCTTACAATTTTTTTTTTTTTTTGAGACAGAGTTTCGCTCTTGTTGCCCAGGCTGGAGTGCAATGGCATGATCTCAGCTCACCGCAACCCCTGCTTCCCGGGTTCAAGCGATTCTTCTGCCTTAGCCTTCCGAGTAGCTGGGATTACAGGTATGTGCCACCACGCCCAGCTAATTTTGTATTTTTAGTAGAGACAGGGTTTCTCCATGTTGGTCAGGCTGGTCTCGAACTCCTGGCCTCAGATGATCTGCCCACCTTGGCCTCCCACAGTGCTGGGATTACAGGTGTGAACAACTGCGCCCGGCCAGGGCTTACAATTTTACTGGTGGCTAACATGGTGAAATAACAAGGATGAGAAACATGGTTCGTCTGTCCTCTCTGTACACCCCAACTCCACCCCTGTTCCAACTAGAATATAAACTCTATAAAAGTTAGTTGCAAAATCTGCAAGTACTAGGCTAGTATCTGGCACGTAGTAGAGATTCCATAAACATGACTAGTAACTAAGTAAATGAATGGATGAATGGAATGAGTGAATGGTGGGATAATTTCAAGGTGCTAGTAGAGCCTCCAGGGACTTTTTGGAACCTAATGAGATTAGCCAAAGACACCATTTTGGTCAGACACCTTCCATGTGCCTGGTAACAAGAAGGGGATGTTCTGGGTGGTGAATATCTTTTATGTATTCAACAAATATTTGAGTGTCTACTCTGTGCCAGGCATTCTTTTTTTTTTTTTTTTTTTGAGATGGAGTCTCACTCTGTTGCCCAGGCTGGAGTGCAATGGTAGGATTTCAGCACTCACTGCAACCTCCACCTCCCGGGTTCAGGAATTCTCCTGCCTTAGCCTCCTGAGTAGCTGGGACTATACAGGTGCGCACTTCCACACCCGGCTAATTTTTGCATTTTTAGTAGAGACGGGGTTTCACCATGTTGGTCAGGCTGGTCTCAAACTCCTGACCTCGTGATCCACCCACCTCGGCCTCCCAAAGTGCTGGATTACAGGCGTGAGCCACTGCACCCAGCCTGTGCCAGGCATTCTTTTTTTTTTTTTTTTTTTTGAGATGGAGTTTCGCTCTTGTTGCCCAGGCTGGAGTGCAATGGCGCGATCTCCGGCTCACCGCAACCTCTGCCTCCTGGGTTCAATCAATTCTCCTGCGTCAGCCTCCTGAGAGCTGGGATTACAGGCCGCCACACCGAGCTAATTTTTTATTTTTAGTAGAGACGGGGTTTCTCCATGTTGATCAGGGTGGTCTCGAACTCCCTACCTCAGGTGATCCGCCCACCTCAGCCTCCCAAAGTGCTGGGATTACAGGGATTACCACGCCCGCCTGTGCCAGGCATTCTTACAGGCACTAGAGACACAGCAGTGAAAGAAACATGTAAAAATCTCTCTACTTATTATTACTCTTGTTTTCCTTCTCAGAGAAGTTAAGTAATGCAAAATCATACAATCTTCCTCATAGTTTCCTTTAGGAGTACCCAGAAGATGGACATGGAAATTGTTTCTATCACACAATCACTGACCTGCCGCGTACAGTGCTGTATTTTCTTTTTTTTCTTTTTAGACGGGCTGGGGTGCAATGGTGTGATCTTGGCTCACTGGAACTTCCACCTCCCGGATTCAGGCAATTCTCCCGCCTCAGCCTCCAGAGTAGCTGGGATTACAGACACACACCATTATGCTTGGCTAATTTTTGTGTTTTTGTAGAGACAGGGTTTCACCATGTTGGCCAGGCCAGTTTTGAACTCCTGACCTCAGGTGATCCGCCCGCCTCAGCCTCCCAAAGTGCTGGGATTACAGGCAGGAGCCACCATGCCTGGCCTACAGTGCTGTATTTTCTTGCTCTGGTGTCTGCTGGTATTGCAGACCTCTACTCTGTTGACTGCTTCCACTTTGTTGAAAGCAGGTGCTGCCCACACCATTGTCCACCTTCTCTATATCGCTACCTTCATGGGTTGATGTCCCTTTCCAGCCAACAGGGGATCAACTTTTGTGCCTTCTAATTTGTTCTTTCAGAGTTGTTGGCCCCTTGTGTCACATGTTTTTCTTTTTGCCAGAGTCCTTTTTTTCCAGAGACCCTGGGTGCTTGGAGAAATCAGGCTACTGGGATAATATGTTGGGAGATGGACAGAAATAGGCTCAAACCTCTGACCGTGTGTTCTAACAGCCAGCCTTTTTGTTTGGTCTGGCTCATGCAACTAGATGCATGATGGTTTTTTCTCATGATGCTATTGTCTTTCTGGGCAGTCCAGCATTTTCCGAGGACTTCTTGCCATCAAATCAGTACTAGTATGAACCTTAATGTCTTTCCCTCACTTTACCCTGTGGGCCCCATGCAAATCAAGGGTATCTGTTTCAATTGAGTTTCTATTTCAGTTTAGAAGTTTCCTGAAGCTGGGTGCAGTGGCTCACACCTGTAATCCCAGCACTTTGGGAGGCCCAGGTGGGTGGATCACGAGGTCAGGAGTTCAAGACCAGCCTGGCCAAGATGGTGAAACCCCATCTCTATTAAAAATACAAAAATTAGCTGGGTGTGGCGGCAGGCGCCTGTAATCCCAGCTACTCAGGAGTTTGAGGCAGGAGAATCACTTGACCTGGGAGGCGGAGGTAGCAGTGAGCTGAAATTGCGCCACTGCGCTGCAGCCTGGGAAACAGAGCAAGACTCTGTCTCCAATAAATAAAAAAATAATAAAAATAAATTTAAAAAAAAGTTTCCTGAACATGGCTGGGTGCAGTGGCTCACGCCTGTAATCCCAACGCTTTGGCAGGCTGAGACGGGCGGATCACCTGAGGTGAGGAGTTCGAGACCAGCCTGACCAACATGGAGAAACCCTGTCTCTATTAAAAATACAAAAATTAGCCGGGCATGGTGGAGTATGCCTGTAATCCCAGCCACTCGGGAGGCTGAGGCAGGAGAATTGCTTGAACCCAGGAGGCAGAGGTTGCAGTGAGCCAAGATCATGCCATTGATTACACTCAAGCCTGGGCAACAAGAGCGAAACCCCGTCTCAAAATAAATAAATAAATAAATGAAAAGTTTCCTGAACATTTCAGCACACATGGGAGGATCATTTGAAGCAAGGAGTTTGAGACCAGACTAGGCAACAAAGTGAGACCCCTGTCTCTACAAAAAAAAAAAAAAAAAAAAAAAAAAAGCCAGGTGTGGTGGCTCACGCCTGTAATCCCAGCACTTTGGGAGGCCAAGGCGGGCAGATCACCTGAGGTCAGGACTTTGAAACCAGCCTTGACCAACATGGTGAAACCCCGTCTCTACTAAAAATACAAAAATTAGCTGGGCGTCTTGGCATCCGCCTATAATCCCAGCTACTAGGGATACTGAGGCAGGAGAATTGCTTGAACCCAGGGGGCAGAGGTTGCAGTGAGCTGAGATCTCGCCATTGCACTCCAGCCTGGTCAACAACAGGGAAACTCCATCTCAAAAAAAATAAAATGAAATAAAAAAATTAGGTGGGCAAGGTGGCATGTGCCTGTAGTCCCAGCTATTTGGGAGGCTGACCAGGGAGGTCGAGGCTACAATGAGCTATGATCACCCCACTGCACTCCAGGCTGAGTGAAAGAGCAAGACCTCGTTTCCTGAACATTTGAACATAAAAATGTGGAGGCTAGTCTACCCAGAAAACATAGAGGCTGTCTGGTGAGTTGTGTGGTAAAGCAGCTCAAGAAAGTCTCATTTCTGCCTGACCAGCTAAAATATAGTGATACCCATTCATCGGTGTCTTGTGAGCTTGCACAAAATGAGCCATTTCCTCTGAACTAATCAATCTGGGTTAATGATAAAAATTTAGTTTCTTGGCTTGTAAAGCTAAGGTCCAGACCCTCGACCATATCATGGTATGGTCCTGAGCAGACTAATAATTAGCCTCTATTTTTGACATCACTATCTCTGCTCCAACTTCAAGATTACTTGCTCTTAGGGAACTTTTAATTTTTTGAAAAACAAAATCTATGCATATTAAACAATTATAAGAAACTAGGCCCAGTGTGATGGCTCATGCCCGTAATCTCAGCACTTTGGGAGGCTGAGGCAGGCAGATCACTTGAGGCTAGGAGCTTGAGACCAGCCTGGGCACCATGGTGAAACCCTGTCTCTACTAAAAATACAAAAATTAGCTGGGTATGGTGGCACATGCCTGTAATCCCAGCTATTTGGCAGGCTGAGGCACAAGAATTGCTTGAATCCATGAGGCAGAGGTTGCAGTGAGCCGAGATCACACCACTGCACTCCCGCCTGGGTGACAGAGCAAGGCTCTGTCTCAAAAAAAAAAAAAAAAAAAAAAAAAAAAAAAAGAAAGGGCCAGGCGCGGTGGCTCAAGCCTGTAATCCCAGCAGTCTGGGAGGCCGAGGTGGGTGGATCACCTGAGATTAGGGGTTCAAGACCAGCCTGGGCAACATGGTGAAACCCTGTCTCTACGAAAAATACAAAAATTAGCCGGGCCTGGTGGTGCATGCCGTAATCCCAGCTATTTGGGAGGCTGAGGCAGGAGAATCGCTTGAACCTGGGAGGTGGAGGTTGCAGTGAGCCGAGATCGTACCATTGTACCCCAGCCTGGGCAACCAGAGCGAAACTCCGTCTCCAAAAAAAAAGAAATGTAGAGCAAAATAGACACTGTATACTTCCACCAAGGGTAAGCATACACGGTCTACACTTGGGAAACACACATACACCCCACTTTGCACCCTGAGAAAACAGAAACAAAAGAAGGCTCTAGTTTTAATATCTCAAATAAAACCTTGGGCTTTCCTGTAAATTACTGTTTCCTAGATAAAAACAACTGTTTTTATAAAGCGAATAACTGAAGATATGGGAGGGGCTTTATAGATAAAATAATCACATGAGAAAATTGCTATTTTTCCTTTATTAACTGACTAGCTGTTAACTTGGTAACCTTGGTTACTTTGTGGGTAGTTTCCTTTAAGTACATAGTTTGTTTATTCATTTTTTTTTTTTTTTGAGACAGAGTCTCGCTCTGTCGCCCAGGCTGGAGTGCAGTGGTGCGATCTCGGCTCACTGCAAACTCCGCCTCCCAGGTTCGCGCCATTCTCCTGCCTCAGCCTCCTGAGTAGCTGGGACCACAGGTGCCCGCCACCACGCCCGGCTAATTTTTTGTGTTTTTAGTAGAGATGGGGCTTCACCATGTTAGCCAGGATGGTCTCGATCTCCTGACCTCGTGATCCACCCGCCTTGGCCCCCCAAAGTGCTAGGATTACAGGCGTGAGCCACCACGCCCGGCCTCATTTTTGTTTTGTGGTGAGCAAGCTCTTTAAAATACTGGCCACCTTCCTCAAATTTGACACAAATTGAAACCCAAATATCAGCTTACATTAAAAAATTAACAAACAAAAACAAAGAACAGATTCAGAACAAAAAACACAGTAGGTCCTCTTCAAAAACTTCTGATGTTAAATTTATCATATATAGATTTTACATTGCTTAATCTGAAATGTTTAAATAAAAAACGTGAAATCAGGAAAAAGAGCAAGATGTAAGTATTAAAATGATTTGGCATATTTGAAAAAGAATCATATTGCATTTCTAGAATAAAACATATAACATTGAAATAAAAACTTGACAGATTTGCTAGAAAACAAGTTAAAACATGGACAAAAAAGAGAATTAGTACTCTGCAGATAAACATAAAGAAAGTACTTCAGCCAGGCACAGTGGCTCATACCTGTAATCCCATCACTTTGGGAGGCTGAGGCAGGAGGCTTGCTTGAGCTCAGTTCAAGACCAGCCTGGGCAACATAGTGAGACTCTGTCTTCACAAAAAATTTTAAAAATTAGCCGGTGTGGTGGTATGCACCTTAGTCCCAGCTACTTGGGAGGATCACTTAAACCTGGGACAAGAATTCACACATACAGGAAACACAATTCAGAGGGAAAGTTCATACCTAAGTATGGTGTAGAATATCATAATCACAGAATGGTTATGTCAGAACCACAAGATATCAAAAAGAGAAAAATCTTAAATTCAGCCAGAGAGAAAAGTCAGATGACCTGCAACGTACAAAGTAAAACGATTAGACTAAGGGAGGTCTTAACAGCAATAATAGTGTTTAGAGAATAGTGGAAGAATATCTTCAAAGTGTTAGAAAAAAGAGTAACTCAACTTAGAATTGTATATCCAGCAAAATGATTTGTTCATAAATAAACATAAAGACTTTCTTTATTTTGCGACAGAGATTGTTCTGTTGCCCCAGGCTGAAGTGCAATGGCTTAATCTCGGTTCACTGCAATCTCTGCTTCCCAGGTTCAAGCAATTCTCCTGCCTCAGCCTCCTGAGTAGCTGGGTTTACAGGCACGTGCCACCATGCCTGGCTAATTTTTGTTTTTTGGTTTTTTTTGGAGATGGAGTCTCACTCTGTCACCAGGCTGGAGTGCAGTGACACGCTCTCAGCTGGGAGGTTAAGCTGCAGTTAGCAGTGATCAGGCCACTGCACTCCAGCCTGGGCAACAGAGTGAGACCCTGTTTCAAAAAAAAAGAAGTACTTCAAATGAGTCATAGACTCATGAAAAATACAAAAGAATACTTAAGAATACTTAAGAAACCTAAGAAAAAATAGGCCAGGCGCGGTGGCTCGCGCCTGTAATCCCAGCACTTTGGGAGGCCGAGGCAGACGGATCACGAGGTCAGGAGATCGAGACCATCCTGGCTAACAGGGTGAAACCCCGTCTCTACTAAAAATACAAAAAAAATTAGCCGGGCGTGGTGGCAGGCGCCTGTAGTCCCAGCTACTCTGGAGGCTGAGGCAGGAGAATGGCGTAAAACCCAGGAGGCGGAGCTTGCAGTGAGCCGAGATCGTGCCACTGCACTCCAGCCTGGGCGACAGCCTGGACTCCGTCTCAAAAATAAATAAATAAATAAATAAATAAATAAATAAATAAATAAATAAAGAGACTAAGAGAAGAGGTATCAGCAGTGAGCCGAGATTGCCCATTACACTCCAGCCTGGGCAACAAGAGTGAAACTCTGTCTGAAAAAAAATAAAAAATTAAATAATTAAATAATTAATTAATCCTAAAGTTGTGCCCATAGGCTGGGCACTGTAGGTCATGCCTGTAATTCCAGCACTTTGGGAGGCCCATGTGGATGGATCGCTTGACCCCAGGAGTTTCAGACCAGCCTGAGCAACATAGCAAGACCCCATCTTTATTTTAAAAAAGAGTTGTGCCCCTAGATTAACTCATAACCTGATTGAATGAGTATTGTACAATACAGTACATGATGACATAGGGAAAGACCCACACTCTAGCCTTGGTGACAGAGCAAGACTCTGTCTCAAAAGAAAAAAAAGGAATTTTTTTAAAAAAGAAAAGCTCAGGGGCCAGGTGCAGTGGCTCATGCCTGTAATCCCAGCACTTTGGGAGGCAGAGGAGGGCGGATCATAAGGTGAAGAGATCGAGACCATCCTGGCCAACATGGTAAAACCCCGTCTCTACTAAAAATACAAAAATAAGCTGGGCATGGTGGCATGCCCCTGTAATCCCAGCTACTTGGGAGGCTGAGGCTGGAGAATTGCTTGAACTTGGGATGTAGAGGTTGCAGTGAGCCAAGATCGCCCCACTGCACTCCAGCCTGGTGACAGAGTGAGACTCAGTCTCAAAAAAAAAAAGAAAAGAAAAGAAAAGCTCAATGTCTGCAAGTTAATTATATATTGTAAAAATATATCAATTATTGATATGAGTAATGAGTATATGTTAGTAATTGTATATATATATATATATATTTTTTTTTTTAAGAGACAAGGTTTTACTCTGTCACCCAAGCTATAGTGCAATGGCATGATCACAGCTCACTTGAACTCACTTCTGGTTTCAAGTGCTACTCTCACCTCAGCCTCTGGAGTAGCTGGAATTATAGGTCACATCAGCATGCCTGGCTAATTTTTATTTATTTATTTATTTATTTTTGAGATGGAGTTTCACTCTTGTCACCCAGGCTGGAGTGCAGTGGCATGATCTTGACGCACTGCAACCTCTGCCTCTCAGGTTCAAGTGATTCTCCTGCCTCAGCCTCCCGAGTAGCTGGGACTATAGGCACCTCCCATCACGCCTGGCTAATTTTTTGTATTTTTAGTAGAGGCAGAGTTTCGCCATGTTGGGCAGGATGGTCTCAAACTACTGACCTCAGGTGATCCGCCTGCCTCAGCCTCCCAAAGTGCTGGGATTACAGACGTGAGCCACCACGTCTGGCAATTTTTAAATTTTTTATAGAGACAGGATGTTGCTATGTTGCTGATATGGTTTGGCTGTGTCCTCACCCAAATCTCACCTTGAATTCCCAAGTGCTCTGGGAGGGACCCAGTGGGAGGTAATTGAATCATGGGGGCAGGTCTTTCTGGTGCTGTTCTCATGATAGTGAATAAGTCTTTTAAGGGGGAGTTTTTAAGGGGGAGTTTCCCTGCACAAGCTCTGTCTTTACTTGCTGGCATACATGTAAGACATGACTTGCTCCTCCTTGCCTTCCACCTTGTTTGTGAGACCTCCCCAGCTATGTGGAACTTTAAGTCCATTAAACCTCTTTTTATTTATTTATTTATTTTTTATTATTTTCTAGGGTACATGTGCACAACATGCAGGTTTGTTACATATGTATACATGTGCCATGTTGGTGTGCTGCACCCATTAACTTGTCATTTACATTAGGTATATCTCCATCCTATCCCTCCCCCATCCCCCCACCCCAGGACAGGCCCCAGTGTGTGATGTTCCCCACCCTGTATCCAAGTGTTCTCATTGTTCAATTCACACCTATGTGTGAGAACATGTGCGTTAAACCTCTTTTTCTTCCCGGTCTTGGGTTTGTCTTTATCAGCAGCATGAAAACGGGCTAATACAGTTGCCCAGGCTGGTTTGGAACTTTTGGTCTCAAGCGATCCTCTTGGCTTGGCCTCCCAAAATTCTAGGATTACAATTGTGAGCCACCAAGCCTGGCCTCACTGTATACTTTTCAGGTTGGATAGAAACACACTTATGTTCACAAGCAAGGACAGTGCATTACTGGCAAAAGATATCTGAGTTACTGGCAGCAAATTCATATGGGTCTGCAGCAACCTCAATTCTTGCCTCCTCAAAAGAAAGAATTCGACTGAAGGGTATAAGGCAGAAAAAGAGACCACAGCAACTTTTAGAGAAGGAGTTGAAGTTTGTTTGTTTGTTTGTTTGTTTGTTTGAGACAGAGTCTCACTCTGTAGCCCAGGCTGGAGTGCAGTGGCCTGATCTCGGCTCACTGCAACTTGTATCTCCCGGGTTCAAGCAATTCTCCTGCTTCAGCCCCCTGAGTAGCTGGGATTACAGGTGTGCATCTCCATGCCCAGCTAATTTTTGTATTTTTAGTAAAGACATGGTTTCACCATGTTGGCCAGGCTGGTTGTGAACTCCTGACCTCATGATCCACCCACTTCAGACTCCCAAAGTGCTGGGATTATAGGCGTTATCCACCGTGCCTGGGCTGAAGTTTATTTAAAAAGGCTGTAGAACAGGAAAGTATGCTTGGAAGAGATCCAAGCAGGCATGTGAAGGTCAAGTGCTGCCTTTAGCTGTGATCCTAGGACTTTGTAGGCTGCCCCACTTCTGGTGTCTTTCACCCCTTTTCCATGATTCTTCCTTTAGGGTGGGCTGCATGCTGCCCTTTTTATGTTTGGGAAGTGAGCACATGCGCTGTGTTTAGGAGGTTGTATGCATCCCCATCTGAAGCTTTCTTCCCTTTTCCAGTGGAGTGTCCCAAAGGTCATACTCCACCATTTTGTCTCTTAATGCACATGCCAGGGAAGTTCCTTCTTTCTGGTGTCTGCATTCAATTAACACTTTAGTACAACAGGTGCAGACCATCAGGAAACGGCCTCTCCCTGGGACCTGCTGCTAATTTATCACTTTTAGAGAGGCAATGTGATAATTGTGAAGTCTGACATTTCTGGTGGGTTAGGAGAGAGCCCTCTCCTACCCTGCTCATGCCTGTCTAACCATCTGTAACAAGTGTAATAGATTCCTATTATTGCCGTAACAAATTACCACAAATTTAATAGCTTAAAACAACACAAATTTATTACCTTACACTTCTAGATGTCATAAGTGTGACATGGGACTCAATGAGCTAAAATAGATGTGTTAACAGGGCATCTAGAGTGGGGAGACTCTAGGACAGGCTCTATTTCCTCAGCTTTTCCAGCTTCTGGAATGTTATAGACTCCCTGAAATTCATATGTTGAAACCCTAATCCCCAATATGATCATATTTGGAGATGGGTTTTTGGGAGACTATTTTGTTTAGATGAGGTCATGAGAGTAGAATTCCCATGATGGGATTAATGCCTTTATAAGAAGAGGAAGAGATCACATGCTCTTCTCTACCATGTGAGGATATAGCAAGAAGGCGGTTGCTTGCAAGCCAAGAAGAAAGTCCTCACCAAGAACCAAATCTGTCAACACCTTGATCTTGGGTTTCCCAGCTGCTAGAACTGTGAGAAATAAACGTCTGTTGTTTAAACCGTCCAGTCTATGGTGTTTTGTTATGGCAGCCTGAACAGACTAAGAGAAGTTTCCTGCATTCCTTGGCTCATGGCCCTACTTCCTTTGTCACAGCTCCTTCTTGGACTCTGACTGCCTTGCCTTCTTTTCCTCTTTCTTTTTTTTTTTTTTTTTTTGAGATGGAGTCTCACTCTGTCGCCACGCTGGAGTGCAATGGTGTGATCTCCGCTCACTGCAACCTCTGCCTCCTGGGTTCAATCAATTTTCCTGTCTCAGCCTCCCCAGTAGCTGAGACTACAGGCGTGCACCACCACATCCAGTTAATTTTTTTTTTTTTAAGTAGAGACGGGGTTTCACCATGTTGGCCAGGATAGTCTCAATCTCCTGACCTCGTGATCTGCCCACATCGCCCTCCCAAAGTGCTGGGATTACAGGCGTGAGCCATCGCGTCCGGCCTCTTCCTCCTTTTTTTTTTTTTTTGAGACGGAGTTTCGCTCTTGTTGCCCAGGCTGGAGTGCAATGGCGGCGATCTCGGCTCAGTGCAACCTCCGCCTCCCGGGTTCAAGCGATTCTCCTGCCTCAGCCTCCCGAGTAGCTGGGATTACAGGCATGCGTTACCACACCCAGCTAATTTTGTATTTTTAGTGGAGACGGGGTTTCTCCATGTTGGCCAGGCTGGTTTCAAACTCCTGACCTCAGGTGATCTGCCCACTTCGGCCTCTCAAAGTGCTGGGATTACAGGCATGAGCCACCGCGCCTGGCTCTTCCTCCTTTTTATAAGAACCTGTGATAACATTTGGCCTACATAGAAAATTCAGCACTCCATGTCAAGATCCTTAATTTAATCCCATCTGCAAAGTCCACTTTGCCATTTAAGGTAACATATTCATTAGTTCTGGGTATTAGGACATGGATATCTTTTGGGGGATATTATTCTACCTACCACAGATTACCACACCACAGATTCACCATAATTGTCAACAAATTGGTTGTTCTTTTTCTTATTGTTTTTTTTTTTTTTTTTTTTTTTTGAGACGGAGTCTTGCTCTCTCCCCCAAGCGGGAGGGTAGTGATGCGGACTTGACTCACTGCAACCTCCGCCTCCCGGGTTCAAGCGATTCTCCTACCTCAGCCTCCTGAGTAGCTGGGATTATAGGCGCATGCCACCATGCCCGACTATTTTTTTGTATTTTTAGTAGAGACGGGATTTCGCTGTATTGGCCAGGCTGGTCTCGAATTCCTGACCTCAAGTGATCCGCTTGCCTCGGCCTCCCAAAGTGCTGAGATTACAGGCAGGAGCCACCGCGCCCGGCCCTGTTCTTTTTCAAAAGAAGAATAATAGTGTTATAGGAGTTATTAAAAAATTATTTTAGGCAGATAGAGAGGAAAAGGGGTCTTTAGGAATTTTTTGTCTCTTTTAAAGCAGCTCCAGAAATGTCTGTTTAGCAGGAAAGCTCTGGCTCTTAGAACCCGCCGGCAACCTTTAATATGCAAATGTAGGCCATTAAAACTGGGTCCACAGGGTAATTCCCACCTCTGTCCTCTTGCCCTTGCCCCCACATGTGCCTGGCAACATGGCCTCCCCCACATAGCCCCACACGTGTAAAACATCTTGGTGCCCTGCATTTGCATATTAAAAGGCTATGCTGGAAGGGTCAGTTTTTACTCGGGCTTTGTAAATAACATGCCTGGTCAAACCAATCCCCTAAGCCCTATGCAAATGAAACACCGCCTCTTCCAGCCTCCTCACATAACTGGCTGTTTTCCGTGGCACTTGGGGTTTCCTCTCTCAGTTTTAAGAGTATTGGCTTGAAGTAAAATTCTATTGTAAAAAAGCCACACCTTAGCTATATATCATTGAGACAGCAGGTGAGTGGTGGGCTGCAATGAACTTGATGTTAGTGGCTGGAAAGATGCTAAGCCATGAAATAGAGTGGCAGTACATTTCACAAAATTGTTGCCTGAGGTTACCTGAGCAGCAGGCCATGTGTCTACTGAGTCATCCATCCTGGAGGAAGGAAATAGAAAGTAGAAACTTAATAGTGATTATTTTTAGCAATGTTTGGCAAGATATTACATGAAAGAGATGAGATCAAGAAAGAATTCCTGGGCCGGGCGCAGTGGTTCAAGCCTGTAATCCCAGCACTTTGAGAGGCTGAGGTGGGTGGATCACGAGGTCAGGAGATCGAGACCATCCTGGCTAACACGGTGAAACCCCGTCTCTACTAAAAATACAAAAAATTGGCCGGGTGTGGTGGCAGGCGCCTGTAGTTCCAGCTACTCAAGAGGCTGAGGCAGGAGAATGGCATGAACCCGGGGGCGGAGCTTGCAGTTAGGCGAGACTGCGCCACTGCACTCCAGCCTGGGCGACAGAGACGCCGTCTCAAAAAAAAAAAAAAAAGAATTCCTGGGTTTGTAAGCAGAAATGAAAGAGAATAGAATAAAAAAGTTGGGGGCCTTGAAAGTAGGAAATGCTGACTGCTTCTAGCCCTAATAGTAAGAAATTAAGAAAAGTTTTATTTTTTCTCTTCCCCTTATTCCTCTCTCTTCTTTTTTCTCTTTCCCTTTCTGAACAATTTAGCTCCAAAGCCATTAGCTAGGGCCGAGCTGACTAAGTGTCAACATGGTGTCACCTGGAGAGGAATGTCAGAGCCTGACTAGTGTGAAGAGGGTGTCCTGTGAAGGGAAGGCCCACCCATGGTGTCAGAACTTGACAAGAGGGAGAACATCCATGTAGACAATTGCCTCGCACAGAATGTTGGAACTTGCATGAAGTGAGGACATCCCCACGATGTGAACTCTGAGAGTCCACCAGTAGAGCTGACCCATTGTGAAAGGGCCTTCACAATACTTACCCAGTGGGATTTCAAAATTGCTGTGGTCCAGTGACCCATGTGCCCTCAATTCTTCCTTGTTCTGAATGAGGACGTTTTTTTCCCAGTTTTCCTGTCTATGTTGCATTATCACGGGTGCATATGGGCAGATGGTCTTTTTAGTTCATAGGTCACCAGATAATAGAAAGCCAGATAATAGAAAGCCATATCTGAGGGGGCCGGGCGTGGTGGCTCATGCTTGTAATCCCAGCACTTTGGGAGGCTGAGGCGGTTGGATCATGAGGTCAGGCGTTCGAGACCAAGCTGGTCACCATGGTCAACATGGTGAAACCCGTATCTACTAAAAATACCAAAATTAGCCAGTTGTGATGGCAGGTGCCTGTGGTCCTATCTACTCGGGAGGCTGAGGCAGGAGAATCACTTGAACCCAGGAGGCAGAAGTTACAGTGAGCTGAGATCATACCACTGCACTCCAGCCTGGGCAACAGAGCAAGACTCTGCCAAAAAAAAAAAAAAGAAACAATATTTGGTAAGAAAAAGGGCAGACTGTGTCTCTCTTTTCCTTTCATTGGGTCGCAAGAAAGACTCACTTAGTTGTGACATTGTGTTTGGATTCTGGCCAATGAGAGAGGGTTGAAGTCAGGCCATTTCCAGGCCTTCCTCATGCTTTTTCTTTCTTCCTTTTTTTCTCATGCTTTCTTTTGACCTCTTGAATGCAAAGAGAATCAGTTCAAGACTCCGAGGACATCCTACAACAGGGATTGGCAAATCATGGCCCATGCATCAAATTTAGCCCACCATCTATTTTTTTGTTTGTTTGTTTGTTTTTGAGACAGAGTCTTGCTCTATCACCCAGGCTGGAGTGCAGTGGTGTGATCTTAGCTCACTGTAACCTCTGCCTCCCGGGTTCAAGCGAGTCTCCTGTCTCAGCCTCTGGAGTAGCTGGGACTACAGGCGCCTGCCACCACGTCCGGCTAATATTCTGGTTTTGTAAATAAAGTTTTATTGGAACACAATAATGCTCATTCAATTACATATTGTCTATGGCTGTGTTCATGCTTCAATAGCAGAATTGAATAGTTGTGACACAAAAGCCTAAAACATTTGCTATCTGTCCCTTTACAAAAAATGTTTGCAGATGCTTGCATGAGAAGATGGTGCCAGCACAAGTTGGTAGGAGACCAACTTGATTCCTTAAATCAGAATATTAAAGGATGCTTACTGGCCAGGCATGGTGGCTCACGTCTGTAATCCCAGCACTTTGGGAGGTCGAGGCGGGCGGATCACGAGGTCAGGAGTTCTAGACCCACCTGGCCAACATGGTGAAACCCTGCCTGTACTAAAAATACAAAAAAATTAGCCAGGCGCGGTAGCGGGTGCCTGTAGTCCCAGCTACTTGGGAGGCTGAGACAGGAGAATGGTGTGAACCCAGGAGGGTTAAAAAAAATAAATAAATAAAAATAAATAAATAAATAAATAAATAAAGGATGCTTACTGAACACCCAAGTCAGACTGTGATGTGAATGACAAATAAAGCTTTACTTTGTGGAGACATTGTGATTTTTTGGTTATTTGTTAGTAGCTAGTTATCTTCTCCCTAAAACACTACTCTCCTCAGTACCTAGACCAGTGTGCCTGGCTAATGGCAGGAGCTAAACAATTATTTGTTAAGCGAATAAATGAATAGAATAGCAGAAATAATACAGCTGGGTGCGGTGGCTCAGGCCTGTAATCCCAGCACTTTGGTAGGCTGAGGTGGGTGGATCATAAGGTCAGGAGTTCGAGACCAGCCTGGCCAACATGGTGAAACCCCATCTCTGCACAGGATTCTATTCTAGGGATGTAGCATAATTTATCTGATTCCCATTAACAGGCATAATTATCTGATTGCCATTAATAGGCACATAATTGTATATAGTTTATTAGCTATCATCAATAATGCTAAAAAGAACATCCTTGAATATATATGTTTATAAATAATTGTGTATTACTGAATAATAAATTCTTAGAAGATAAATTGTCTTGTGTAAAATTTGTTTGTATGTATAAAATTTTGGCAGATGTTTTCAAGTTGCCCTTTAATACAATTGTACTGTTTACACTCCTACCATTCTTGCTTGAGAGTGCCCATTTTTCAAACCTTGACGATTGTATTAGTTTGTTTTCATGCTGCCGATAAAGACATACCCGAGACTGGGCAATTTACAAAGAAAGGGGTTTAATGACTTATAGTTCCACATGGCTAGGGAAGCCTCACAATCATGGTGGAGGGCAAGGAGGAGGAAGCCACATCTTATGTGGATGGCGGCAGGCAAAGAGAGCTTGTGCAGGGAAAGTCCCCCTTATAATTCCATAAGATCTCATGAGACTTACTATCATGAGAACAGCCCAGGCAAGACCCACCCCCATAATTCAGTCATCTCCCACCAGGTCCCTCCCACAACACGTGGGAATTATGGGAGCTACAAGATGAGATTTGGGTGGGGACACAGAGCCAAACCACATCAACGATACTGGGCTTATTTATTCTTTTAATCTTTGCAAAACAGATATGTAAACATTGTATCTCATTTTAATTCGCAATTCTTAGAGATGCTATTATTAGAGATGCTGACCTTCTTTTCATGGGGATGAGTATTAGAATAAAAAATGTAAGAATCAGCTATCTTTTCACACTTGATTACACTTTTTTTAAGTTTTTTTTTTTTTTCCCAAGACAGAGTCCTGCTTTGTCACCCAGGCTAGAATGCGGTGGTGCGATCTTGGCTCACTGCAGTCTCTACCTCCTAGGCTCAGGCAATCCTGCAACCTCAGCCTCCCAAGCAGCTGGGACCACAGGCCTGTGCCACTATGCCTAGTTAATTTTTGCATTTTTTGTAGAGAAAGGGTCTCACTTTGTTGCCCAGGCTGGTCTCGAACTACTGAGCCCAAGCGATCCATCTGCCTCAGCATTCCAAAGTACTGGGATTATAGGTGTGAGCCACTGTGCCCTGATTACGCTTTTTAAGAAGAAAGCAAGTCCACAACTCCTTCAGTTTTTGAGCAAGTGAACCAAGGAAGATTCAGTCTATTCTTAGGAAGTATTACCAGTGTTTGTACCATAGCAAAAGCTAACATTCATTCCTTTAATATAGTGTTTCTTAAGTGACAGTTTTTCTTTTTTTTTTTTTTGAGCCAGAGTTTTGCTCCTGTTGCTCAGGCTGGAGTGCAATGGCGCGATCTTGGCTCACCGCAACCTCCACCTCCTGGGTTCAAGCGATTCTCCTGCCTCAGCCTCCTGAGTAGGTGGGACTACAGGTGCACGCCACCATGCCCAGCTAATTTTTGTGTTTTTAGTAGAGACGGGGTTTCATCATGTTGGCCAAGATGGTCTCGATCTCCTGACCTCGTTATCTGCTTGCCTCAGCCTCCCAAAGTGCTGGGATTACAGGCATGAGCCACCATGCCTGGCCAACAGTTTTTATTTATCCCAAGGTGTCACCATTAAAAAAAAACTTCATGAGGCCAGGCGCGGTGGCTCACACCTGTAATCCCAGCACTTTGGGAGGCCAAGGTGGGGGGATCACGAGGTCAGGAGATCAAGACCATCTTGTCCAACATGGTGAAACCCCGTCTCTACTAAAAATACAAAAATTAACTGGGCATGGTGGCACGTGCCTCTAATCCCAGCTACTAGGGGAACTGAGGCAGGAGGATCGCTTGAACCCGAGAGGCGGAGGTTGCAGTGAGCTAATATCGTGCCACTGCACTCCAGCCTGGCGACACAGTGAGACTCCATCTAAAAACCAACCAACCAACCAACCAATCAACCAACCAACCAACCAACCAAACAAACAAACAAAAAACCCTTTATGAAATCAATGATGCTCAAATCGCTATAATAAATATAATACAGAGAGCTTGGAAATTTGGGAATTTCTGGCCCCTGCCCAGAGAGATTTTGAATCAATAGGTCTAGAGTTGGGCCTGAAGTCTGGCTTTTCAAATACAGAACCCAGGCAATTCTGATTCGTGGGGTCCAAGAATAAAAAATTTGAGAAGCATTAATTTAAAGGATTCTGAGAAATTGTTTTAAAAACAATCTTTAAAAAGATCTAAAGTGAACTTTAATTTTTAAGGTTATGGACTTCCACCTTTAGTAAGGGGACCAGGTAGCTAAGACCAGCCCTATTACTGAGGACAACTAGAAAAGCTGAATAAAATATTTCCTAAAAATTTGCTTGAAGTCATCTAAGCGTTATGAAGGTAGTGAAGAATACCAAGATCTTGGAAAGTGGAAGAATCTAGAGGAGTGAGTTCAAGATCTGTTGTCATTTCCCCATTTGGCATTTGCCAACTATAGTAGAAGTGGCTGGAAGGCTGAGCAGTGCTTTCAACATTTTGTCAGTTCAGGGATACAAGTTAAAAACTAGCTCCAGCCCAGCAATGAGCAAATGAAATTTGAAATTAAAAACATACCATTTACGGCTGGGTGCAGTGGCTCATGCCTGTAATCTCAGCACTTTGGGAGACCGAGGCGGGCAGATCACCTGAGGTCAGGAGTTCGAGACTAGGCTGGCCAACATGGTGAAACCCCGTCTCTACTAAAAATACAAAAAATTAGCCGGGTGTGGAGGTGCACATCTGTGATCCCAGCTACTCGGGAGGCTGAGGCAGGAGAATTGCTTGAACCTGGGAGACGGAGGTTGCAGTGAGCTGAGATTGCGCCACTGCACTCCAGCCTGGGCGACAGAGTGAGACTCTATCTCAAAAACAAACAAACAAACAAAAAAACAAGAAACAACAAAAAAACACCATTTACATTAACATCAACCCCAATGAAATATTTAGGTATAAGTCTAACAAAATATGTTAAAATCTGTATGAAGAAACCTACAAAACTCTGATGAAAAAATCAGTAAAGAGCTAAATAAATGAAGGATTTCTATGTTATGGATAAGAAGGCTCAATGTTGTCAGTTAGATGTCACTTCTTCCCAACTTGATATATAGATTCAGTGCAATCCCAATCAAAATCACAGCATTTAATTTTGTGCATATCAACATATCAATTCTAAAGTTCATATGGAAGCTGGGTGCAGTGGCTCACACCTGTAATTCCAACACTTTGGGAGGCTGAGGTGGGTGGATTGCTTCAGCACAGGGATTTGAGACCAGCCTGGGAAACATGACGAAACCCCGTCGTTACAAATATACCAAAATTAGCTGGTCGTGGTGGCAAGCGCCTGTCATCCCAGCTACTTGGTAGGCTGATGTGGGAGGATGTCTTGAGCCCAGCCAGGAGGCAGAGGTTGCAGTGAACTGTGATTGCAATGCACTGCAGCCTGGGCGACAGAGCCATTTTTTACTTGTCTCAAAAAAATAAGTAAGGGCCTGGTGTGGTTGCTCACACCTGTAATCCCAGCACTTTGGGAGGCCGAGGCAGGCGAATCACTTGAGCCCAGGAGTTCGAGACCAGCCTGGCCAAAATGGTAAAACCCTATCTCTACTAAAAATACAAAAGTTAGCCAGGCATGGTGGGGGGCACCTGTAATCCCAGCTACTCAGGAGGCTGAGGCAGGAGAATTGCTTGAACCCAGGAGGCAGAGGTTACAGTGAGCCGACATTGTGCCACTGCACTCCAGCCTGGGCAACAGAGCGAGACTCCGTCTCAAAAAAAAAAAAAAAATTAAAAAATAAAACCCATAGAATGTCTAACACCAAGAGTGAACTTTGGGTGATAATGATGCATCAGCATAGGTTTATCAATTGTAATAATTTATATTATTCTGGTGTGGGACATTGATAGTGTGGGATGCATGTGTGATATGGGCACTGTACTTCCTGCTAAATTTTGTCGTGAACCTAAAACTGCTCTGAAATCAAAGTCTGTTTAGAAGGAAAAACAGTTGAGTATATCATGTGTAGAACACCCCAAGATTTGGAATGGGACATCTAAGGGTAGACTCTTGAGACTAAGAATGAAACAGAACTGGCATGAATTGAAGCCCAGCTTTGAGAATTCTGGCAGGTAGAAAATCTCAGTCCCTAAAATTGGATTAAGGTGACTCTGGGTTCCTAGTGCCCTAGGACAAAACTCCTCTCTGAAGGAAGAAAATATTGTTATTACAGATTATTTCAGCAAAGTTTCAAACACAGTGCCCAGCACGTAATCAAAGATAATGAGGAGATAATGTGAATGAGAATCAAAAAAAGCAAGTGCCTCCAGGGGCTCTAGAATGATCAGAAACAGGATCTAAAATAACCATGTTAATTATTGTTAAGGTATATAGAGAATGTCAACTGAGAATTTGAATTGTTAACAAGGACATAGCAAATTTGAAAAAGACCAATAGAAATTGTAGGACTGAAAAACTATAATACAGATTAAGAATTATATGGGCCGGGCGTGGTGGCTCAAGCCTGTAATCCCAGGACTTTGGGAGGCCGAGGCGGGTGGATCACGAGGTCAGGAGTTCAAGACCAGCCTGGCCAACATGGTGAAACCCCGCCTCTACTAAAAATACAAAAAAATAATTAGCCAGGTGTGGTGGCACGTGCCTGTAGTCCCAGCTACTCAGGGAGGCTGAGGCAGAGAATTGCTTGAACTTGGGAGGTGGAGGTTGCAGTGAGCCGAGATTGTGCCGCTGCACTCCAGCCAGGGCGACAGAGCGAGAATTTGTCTCAAAAAAAAAAAAAAAAGAACTACTGCTGCTCTAGCTTATTTCAGCTTACTCTCCGACCTTCAATTTAGATGTTATTTATGTATTTATTTTGGAAGCTTTTCCTGACTAACTTGCTTGGATGTAGGCTCCCTTAATAATCCTCTTCACCTATTACTAGCAGCTCTTTTCAAGGCCATTGTATTTTTTTTTAATGTAATGGTTTTACTGAGATAATTAGCTTATACTGCTCACCTCTTTAAAATATATAATTTTTAGTATATTCATATAGCTGTGCAACCATCACCAATCAATTTTAGAGCATTTTCATCACTTCCAAAAGGAACTCTGTACCCATCAGCAGTCACTCTCCATTTTCTCCCTAATCCCTCAGCCCTAGTAGGAGGCTGGAGCAGTAGCTCACTAATGTTGCTTTGAACATTAGTGTACATGTTTTTGTTATATGTTTTATTTTTATTTTTAGAAACAGAGTGTATTAGTCTGTTCTCACATTGCTGTAAAGAGCTGCCTTAGACTGGGTAATTCATGAAGAAAAGAGGTTTAATTGACTCATAGGTCTGCAGGCCTAACCGGAAGCATGACTGGAAGCCCTCAGGAAACTTACAATCATGGACCAAGGCAAAGGGGAAGCTATCACCTTCTTCACACGAGAGCAGGAGAAAAAGACTGTGAAGCGGAAAGTACTACGCACTTTTAAGCAACCAGATCTCGTGAGAAGTCACTCACTATATTGAGAACAGCAAGGGGAAAATCTGTCCCCATTATTCACTCACCTCCCAAGTCCCTCCCCCAACACTGGGAATAACAACTGGACATGAGATTTGAGTGGGGACACAGAGCCAAACCATATCACAGGGTCTCACTATGCTGCCCAGGCTAGAATGCAATCATAGCTCACTGTAATCTTGAACTCTTGGCCTCAAGGTATCCTCCTGCCTTGGCCTCCCAAAGTGCTGGGATTATAGGCATGTGCCACTGAGTCTGGAATGGATATATGTTTTCAATTCTCTCGGGTATATACCTAGGAGTGAAATTTCTGGGTCTTATGGTGACTTTATGTTTTACAATTTTGGGAACTGACAGACAGTTTTTCAAAACTTTTTTTTTTTGAGACAGGGTCTTGCTGTGTTGTCCAGGCTATATAGTGCATTGGCTCACAGGCTTGATCATAGCATAGCACACTGAGGCTTCCACCTCGTGGCCTCAAGGGATCCTTCTGCCTCAGCCTCCCAAGTAGCTAGGACTATAGGCCAGTGCCACCATGCCTAGCCTAAAGCATTTTATATTCCTACTAACAGGGTATAAGGGTTCTAATTTCTCCATAGCCTTGTCAACACTTGTTATTTTCTGTCTTTTTGAACATAGCCCTTCTAGTGGGTATAAAGTGGTATCTCCTTGTTTTTTTTTTTTTTTTTTTTTTGAGACTGAGTCTCGCTCTGTCACCCAGTAACAAGCTGGAGTGCAATGGTGTGATCTCAGCTCACTGCAGCCTCCTCCGCTTCCCAGGTTCAAGCGATTCTCCTGCCTCAGTCTCCCGAGTAACTGGGATTACAGGCCTGAGCCACCAAGCCTGGCTAGCTTTTGCATTTTTAGTAGAGATGGGGTTTCACCATATTGGCCAGCCTGGTCTCCAACTCCTGATCTCAAGTGATCTGCCCGTCTTGGCCTCCCAAAGTGCTGGGATTACAGGTGTGAAGCACCACGCCTGATTGTTTTTTTTTTTTGAGACAAGGTCTTACTCTGTTGCCCAGGCTGGAGTGGAGTGGGATGATCTTGGCACACTGCAACATGTTGCCCAGGCTGGTCTTGAACTCCTGGGCTCAAGAGATCTGCCCACCTGGGCCTCCCAAAGTGCTGGGATTACAGGTGTGAGCCACGGTGCCCGGCCTCCTTGTGTGTGTGTTTTTTGGTTTTTTTTTTTGAGATGGTGACCAAAAAAACACAACAACAAACAACAAACAAAAAACAAAACGAAGTCATTCTTTTGCATGTGAATGTCCAGCAGTGGTAGTACCAACTGTTGAAAAGACTGTTCTTTCACCATTGATTTGTCTTGGTGTTTTTGTTGATGTAAATGTGAGGGTTATTGATTTATTTCAGGATTCTCAATTCTATTTGTTTATATTCTTATCCTCCATGAGTATGCCCGTAGGGCCACTGTGTATGCCAGTAGGGCCATTGTGTTTTACAGAAGAAATCTAAGAAGAATCATTCTTTTTTTTTTTTCCATTAAAAGTCATGTTTACTAATCTAGCACCACAATTCGTCTTAGAACCTCCCATGCAGTTGGAAAGGGAATATGGGAAGAGGTGAGTATGTTGGAAATGTAGGGTAGTTCTCAAATTGAGGCCCCATTTTGCTTGCTCTAAAGCCAAAAACACAGGGTCTAGCAAAGAGGAGCCCAGAGGCTGGAGATGAAAACAAAAGCTTTTGGTTCAGATGGTAAAGGAGGCCCTCAAGAGCAGTAGAATCAGTATATCCCGAAGGCAGTGCTGGAGGCATTCTCATGAAGTAGGGGGTTTCTTCTTGGCATCCAAGTCCTTTTTAATTTCTTCAAGTTTTTTAGCCAGGTTTGGTATGTCATAGTTCTGAGCCAGATACATTCCAACCACGTTGCCCAATGTAAATCCAAGCAGGAATTGGAGCATGATGTTGGTGGGGAGGGCGAGGAGGGCGCAAAGGGCTGCTGCAGCTCTGCAGGCCGGTCAGAGCCTGCTTCCCCATGCGAGGGGAGCGGAATCGCCCCCCCCGCCACCTTTTTTTTTTTGAGAGGGAGTTTCACTCTTGTCGCCCAGGCTGCAGTGCAATGGCGCGGATCTCGGCTCACTGCAACCTCCGCCTCCCGGGTTCAAGCGATTCTCCAGCCTCAGCCTCCCTAGTAGCTGGGATTATAGGCGCCAGCCACCACGCCCGGCTAATTTTTGTTATTTTTAGTAGAGACGTGGTTTCACCGTGTTGGCCAGGCTGGTCTCGAACTCCTGATCTCAGGTGATCCGCCCGCCTCGGCCTCCCAAAGTGCTGGGATTATAGGCGTGAGCCACAGCGCCCTGCCAAGAAGAATCATTCTTTAACCTTAACTCAAAGCAACCAATTCAAGGGTTGGAATTACTCACTCCCCATTTAGAACTTTCAGCAGCGGTCTTTAGCATCAGTAGCCGTCAAGATTGTGTTGGGTCGTTGCTTTCTTGTTGTTTTAAATCACGGTCATGTGTTTGGCAAGGGTGCTGGTTAACCGAAAATGTTGGTTCTAGAGCTAGAAGTACTGGCATTCAAATAAACATATTTGGGGGTTGGGGGTTGATGAGCAAGGCTGGGAGGAGACAAAAGAAGTATCTCGGCTCAGTCGTCAGAGACGCGCAAGGTGTAACGGAGAGAGCAATCTAGGTTGTGAGAGTGGCTCCAAACATTGAGACATGGAGCCAGGACCTTTGCTCCTGGGGGATGGCCCTAGTACTGATGCGCAGGACCTGGTCCTTGAAGGAGCTGACAAAACTGCCGTTCACCCGCGCGACCACCGGCAAAGCAGCTCCACAGCCTGCCCCTCCCCTTGGCTGCTCCCCCACCCATTTCCCGCCTTGTCTTTCCTCTCTTCTCTCTCTCCCTCCTCCCTGCGCGAAGCGGAAGTGACGCGAGGCGTAGCGGAAGTTACTGCAGCCGCGGTGTTGTGCTGTGGGGAAGGGAGAAGGATTTGTAAACCCCGGAGCGAGGTTCTGCTTACCCGAGGCCGCTGCTGTGCGGAGACCCCCGGGTGAAGCCACCGTCATCATGTCTGACCAGGTACCGGGCTGGGAGCCATCCAACGGCGGTGGCCAGGGCCTTCCCTGCAGGTCTGCCTGCCGCTAGGCTGGGGTCGGGGATGGAGGCGCGGGGGAGGGGAGCGCGGAATGGGGGAGGGGGCGGCCGGTGGGGACTAGGCAGGCGAGGGAGAGGAGCCGACTACGGCCGGAGGTGCCGGGGCCTGCTGCGGGGCTCCCGGAGCCGCCCGCCCCTCTCCGGGCTCGCTCATCACCCCCGTACCCCACCGCCTTTGGTGGCGGCCTCCCTCATGTCGTCCCACTTCTTTCTCCCGGGTCGACTAGGTGCAGAGCCCCGCTTCCACCTCCCTGGGAGGGTCTCTGGAGAACCCGTCCGTCTCCTTCCAGAGGACTAATCGCAGAAGCAGGGCCCTAGGCCTTAGTTATGTAACGGGAGAGAATCCCTGACTGGGAGGCTCCGTGGCCCTGAGAAGCGGCTGGACTCTCCACTTTTTGCTTCTTCGTCGGGAGGGCGTGGGGCGGCGAGGGAGGGAGACGTCCGATGTTGTTGGGAATCCTGCCTCCGTTCGGATTGGAGCTAGGGCAAGGATGCCGCTGCTCTCCTCTGAGTCTTTTTCCGTGTGGGGGTGCAGAGCTGTCGCCTCTTTACTGTACTTTCCCGTTTCTTACTCGGGATTGGTTCATCCTAGCTCTCCAGTTGTAAGAGAGCATTCATAATAACCAAGAAAGAAAATAGAACTAAACTGCTAGAGCAACAAAAAGCATCTCACCTGGGCATTAACCTGAGGAAGTCTCATATTTTTGAGGAAAAGCATAGGAAAACTTTGTGTATGTAGAGTCGTTGCAGAATATTTGCAGAAAGTTGCCTGGTAAGGCAAAGTGCTCCAGCTCACTGTTAGTATCAATAATTTACTTGGGATTTGCACTTAATCAGGAGTGATCGATTTCCCCTTTTCTTCCTCATCCTGTTCTAATTAAACAACTTTATGGCTAGTTTTTAATTCATAAAGTTTTTGTCTGGTCTTTTGTTTGCTCAGACGACTTTGACTTTTTTTTTTTTTTGAGACGGAGTCTCGCTGTGTCGCCAGGCTGGAGTGCAGTGGTGCGATCTCCACTCACTGCACCCTCCCGCCTCCTGGGTTCAAGCAATTTTCGGGCCTCAGCCTCCCGAGTAGCTGGGATTACAGGCACTCACCACCAGGCACTCACCACCACACCTAGCTAATTTTTGTATTTTTAGTAGAGACGGGGTTTCACCATATTGGCCAGGCTGGTCTCGATCTCCTTACCTCGTGATCCGCCCACCTCGGCCTCCCAAAGTGCTGGGATTACGGGCGTGAGCCACCGCGCCCAGCCGACTTTGACTTTTTACATTATTTTTGGACTTTTACTCATTTAATGGTAGTTATTCAGAAAACTATTTTTCATTCAACTCCACGATGTACTTGAACTTTTAAATTTAACACACCTATTCCCTTGGCTTTTAACCCAGTTTTGTACCATTTCGTGAGAGCAAGTGAGGTTTTTGCAGATTGGTACTATTGTACAAAATGTACACTTAACATTTTAAAGCTTAACCATAATCTAGATGAATTTTGGATGGATCTACTTACTAATAATCTAGATTAATTCCCAAGTGGGCATTGTGTTTCCCTAGGTAGTTGTTTACTTGGTTACTAGGAAGAAAAGTATAGGCGTAAATGCTTAGTTTCGTCAGCCTTTTATTTTGTTTCCCAGAAGCGTCTAGGAAGCATTTTGAAATTTATTGTAGACTGATGGAAGAGCAACATAAAGAAATAATTATAAAATGTAGAATTTATTGCTCCATTTTGAAGTCAGGTTATTTAAGAGATACATAAAGAAATGAAGGACCTAGGATACAAATAGATTCTTTTATTTCATGTTCATACTAGGACATTATTTGTCTTTTTCACTGTCATTCTTTCATGAGTGTTCAATGGACGTTTCTAGAAACTAACATGACTTGTGATAAAACAAATTAAATGTGGAAGCAGATGTGAAAATCCAGCTGTTTAGCTGTTTTTATTAAGCCAGACATTAAAGAGATTTGCAAAAATGTGTAACAGTCCCACTCTTTCATTAATTTTGTTTTGAAAAATATTTTTAATAAAAATATATATTTGTTAACATATAACAGGTTTGTTGGTATTTTAAAATGAATTAATATTTAAGACATTTCTCAGTTTTCAGTGTTTAATACTGTAAACATCAATAGATGTAACCAACCTAACAAAAGCTTTATGGGATTCTAAATAAATTTAAGTGTAAGATTCCTGAGAACAAAAAGTTTGAGAACTGTTGCTGTAGGCTGATTGACCAACATCATTAGGACTCGCCGGGTGCAGTGGCTTAAGCCTGTAATCCCAGCACTTTGGGAGGTCAAGTTGGGTGGATCACGAGGTCAGGAGTTCTAGACCAGCCTGACTAACATGGTGAAACCCCGTCTCTACTAAAAATACAAAAAATAGCCAGGCGTGGTGGTGCGCACCTGTAATCCCAGCTACTCAGAAGGCTGAGGCAGGAGAACTGCTTAAACCCGGGAGGCGGAGGTTGCAGTAACTGGAGATCACTCCACTGCACTCCAGCCTGGGCGACAGAGTGAGACTCCGTTTAAAAAAAAAAAAAAGACTCAGTACATTGGCCGGGTGCAGCGCCTCACACCTGTAATCCTGGCACTTTGGGAGGCCTAAGTGGGGGAGGATTGCTTGAGCCCAGTTTGAGACCAGCCTGGGCAATATAGAGAGACGTCGTCTCTACAAAAAATAAAATTAGCCAGGCATGATGGCCTGTACCTGTAGTCCCAGCTACTCAGGAGGTTGATATGGGAGGATCACCTGAGCCTGCGAGGTCGAGGTTGCAGCAAGCCAAGATCATGCCACTGTACTTCAGCCTGGGCGATAGAGACCCTGACTCAAAACAAAGAAGACCCAGTACAAGTTCAGTGTTGAGTGCTAAAGACTTAAAAGAGTTATAAAGCTGAACCCTTAATCTTAAGAGGTTTATAAGTGAGAACAAGAATCTCCAAATCCTGTACTGTTTAATATCAGCATGAGACTAAACCACTGTCCTAAGAAGACAACCTTAATTTGAATCAAGTTATTTTAGAGTGATGTGTTTTCTGAGGCAGCTCTCAGAAGGTTATTGTCTGGTGTTAAAATAGTGAAATTGAGTAATAACAAGGTTAAAATCGGTGGACATTAAATACACACAAGACTTCAATTGCTGGGTCCTCCATTGATTAATGAAAAAATGATTGTTTTTGGAATTTGAGTGAAACACTTCTTAATGGCTGAGTAGGGTGGCTTACGCCTGTAATCCCACCACTTTGGGATCACTTGAGGCCAGGACTTTGAGACCAGCTTGGCCAACATGAGGAAAGCACGTCTTTACTAAAAATACAAAAATTAGCTGGGCCTGGTGGCTCATGCCTGTAATCCCAGCTACTTGGGAGTCTGAGGCGAGAGGATCGCTTGAGCTTGGGAGGTGGAGGTTGCAGTGAGCGGAGATCATGCCACTGCATTCCAGCCTGGGCGACAGAGCAAGACTCTGTCCCAAAAAAAAAAAAAAAAAAAAAAGAAAAGGAAAAAAAACAAAAAACTTTTTTTTTTTTTTTTTTTTGAGACGGAGTCACAAAAAATTAGCCACCATGCCCAGCTAATTTTTTTGTATTTTTGGTAGAGACAGGGTTTCACCATATTGGCCAGGCTGTCTCGAACTCCTGACCTTGTGATCCGCCCGCCTCGGCCTCCCAAAGTGCTGGGATTACAGGCGTGAGGTGCCGTGCCTGGCAAAAAAAAAAAAAACACAAAAAAACCCACTTCTTTATAATTTTAACAATTCCAACATCATCTAGTAGATTTGTGTACCATTATTAAATAATCCTTTAAAATAAGTTCTAAACCTAAGGCCCATAGACCATAAAGACTGAAAGTTCGCTTACATTGTATGGAGTGTTTTGTGAGTATTTGTGCATACGTATTTTTTTTTTTTTAAGATAGAGCATTGCTCAATTGCCCAGGCTGGAGTACAGTGTGGTGTGATCTCGGTTACTGCAACCTCTGCCTCCTGGGTTCAAGTGATTCTCCTGCCTCAGCCTCCCTAGTAGCTGGGATTATAGACACATGACACCATACCTGGCTAATTTTTGTATTTTTTGTAGAGATGGGGTTTCATCAGGCTGGTCTCGAACTCCTGACCTCAGGTGATCTGCCCGTCTTGGCCTCCCAAAGTGCTGGGTTTACAGACGTGAGCCCAGCCATATATATATATTTTTTTTAAATAGGAGAAAGGACCCATAGTCTCATCAGGGGTACGTGATTCCTCAAAATGGTTAAGGACCATCCTTTAACCAGTAACAGAAATCTGATTGGGTGCTTTCCTTTAGCCCAGTCTCACCTTGTAGCAAAACAAAGTGCTCGTACAGAACCCGAAGCTTAATATCAAAAGGATAAGGGTAATTTGTACAAATATTTTCCCCTTCCTCCTTTCTGATATTTGAGTTTATAGTGTTTCTTTTTTATACCAAAATCATTAAAGGTAGCTTGGTCAGCTCTTCAATTCAAGTCTGTTAATTGTAGCAATTGGATGACTGTTCCACTCTAACTGAATCTGTATTAACACCCCCAAAGAGAGATTGAATGATTTCCTTTTATCTTTAGTCAAGGATTTGGAAGCATTGTGTAATTCTGATTATCTGATACATTACCTCAAAATTTTGTGACTTAAAACAACAGCCATTTATTTTGTTTATAAATCTGCAATTTGGACAGGGCTCTGTGGATTAGACTCACCTCTGCTTCTTGGTGTGTGGGGCCTCAGCTGAGATGACTCAAGTGGCTGGGGGCTGGAACAGCTAGTTGTCAGGTGAGATGAGACTGGATGGGGCAAGTGTCTCCATATAGTCTCAGAGCCTTTCTTAGTGGTTTCATCATGTGATGTCAGCATGGAGACCCCAGGGTATTCAGACTTACGGCTCAGGGATCACAGAGAGAATAGGTGTTCCAAGAGAACCTGGGTGGAAATAGCAAGTCTCCTACAACCTAGCCTTGGAAGTCACGTCTGTAATTCTGTTGCCCACTCAAATCACTAAGGTCAGCCAGATTCAAGGGAAAGGCATTTATTTAGACACTGTTTCTCAATGGGAGAGTAACAAAGAATTTGCAGTTATCTTTAATCTACATTAATTGTATTTTTGCTGCCATGATAGTATTATTCCCTGCAGTGTTCTATATAGCTCCCTGCTATTGATTTTTACTGATTTTAGAAATTCTTTGCTTGAGATAGCAGGAGAATATGATGAACTGGTTGTGTATTAAAATTCATAATTGTGTGTACTACTATTTATATCATAGAATAGATATGTTAAACTGTAGTTATTACTTGAGTATGTAGTTAAGCATTTCATGCCCTAGGAGAAGAAGAATACTGTGTCCGCTCTGATAGACATGAGGTCCTGCTAGTGGATGTTACAAATGTATAGATTGTAGCATTATCTAAACAAACTTTACTAGTAGTTTAAAAATTGAATATGAATGTTATGATTACTCATTAAGATTTAGTAGTTCAGATTTAAAAACTATTAAGTAGTTGTCAACTCATGACATCCTTTAGTCCCGAAGGCAGTTAGGGTATCTCTTTCATAATTTTTACATGTAATGTTACAGTTATTTACGTTCCTTTTTTTTTTTTTTTTTTGAGATGGAGTCTTGCTCTGTGGCCCAGGCTGGAGTGCAGTGGCATGATCTCGGCTCACTGCAACCTCTGCCTCCTGGTTCAAGTGATTCTCCTGCCTCAGCGCCTCGAGTAGCTGGGATTACAGATGTGTGTCACCACGCCTGGCTAGTTTTTATATTTTTAGTAGTGATGGGCTTTCCCCATGTTGGCCAGGTTGGTCTTGAACTCCTGACTTCAAGTCATCCACCTGCCTCGGCCTCCCAGAGTGCTGGGATTACAGGTGTGAGCCACCGCGTTGCCAGTTATTTACATTCTAAGTGTCTTTTCTCCATTACATCAGGCTTTATTTATCCTCTTTTTCCTGTAATGCTTAGCACATTGAGTGGATAATTAGTAAAAAATTTTTTAAAGGAGAGTGGCCAGATTCATTCAACAAATGTTTATTAAATGTCACAATGTTCACAGCATGATTCTAGGCCCTAGAATTGGAAGGTCGCCTCAAAAACATGAAACAGCAGGTACCTTCCTCCTCCTCTTTCAGTCCTCTTGATGTTGTTTTGTTATTGAGGCAGGGCTGGTTGCCATGGAATAGTTTTTCTCTTATGATATTTTTGCATACCTTCTTCATCTTTACTTCTGTTAGCAATAGACCTGGTAACTATATCCAAAGTTGAATCATTTACTTCTTCCAGGACACTGGGATTGTTAAGGATGATTTTTTTTTTAAAAAATGAAAGGTCTCACATATTTATTACTGAACCTAGCCAACCAACACGTTCATAACAGATTCAGAGAAAAAAATATATTCCCAATAAAACATGTCCAACTCTCTAGATAGTGGTGACATTTTCAGCTCGATATGGTAACATGATTGTGACCTTCAGACAGCATAAGTATGTTGTATCATGCAATGCCTTATAGACCCAGCTTGGTTCTTCTCCAATGGCTCCTTTTGGAGTTTTACCTGATTTTATTACCAGTTTTCATCCGAATCCACTGGGGAATGGGTCAATTTTGCTTTTGTTTCTTGGCCAGGAATCACTTAACCCTGAAAGTCTTGTGAGAAGACATGGCGAGAAGTGGAGTCAAGCACACACCATGATGGCAGATAAAGGAAGAGAGGCCGATAATCTTTTTTTTTTGAGACGGAGTCTCGCTCTGTCACCCAGTCTGGAGTGCAGTGGTGCCATCTCGACTCGCTGCAACCTCCGCCTCCCAGGTTCAAGTGAGTCTCCCTCCTCAGCCTCCCAAGTAGCTGGGATTACAGGCACCTGCAATCATGCTCAACTAATTTTTGATCTTTGTAGAGATGGGATTTCACCATGTTGGCTAGGCTGGTCCTGAACTCTTGACCTCAGGTGATCCGCCTGCCTTGGCCTTGCAAAATGCAGGGATTACAGGCATGAGCCACGGTGCCTGGCCCAGTTAATTTTTTATTAAGACATCTTTAGCATTCCATTTTGGAATTCCCTGAAGTTGTGATTTAAAAAAGTATATATATATAATGCTGATATTCTACTTAATTAATTTAATTAATTAATTTTTTTTGAGACAGTTTCGCTCTTGTTGCCTAGGTTGGAATGCGATGGCGCCATCTTGGCTCACCACAACCTCTGCCGCCTGGGTTCAAGCGATTCTCCTGCCACAGCCTCCCGAGTAGCTGGGATTACAGGCATGTGCCACCATGCCCAGCTAATTTTTTTTTTTTTTTTGAGACAGAGTCCTAGCTGGAGCGCAATGGCGTGATCTCTGCTCACTGCAACCTCTGCCTCCTGGGTTCAAGCATTTCTCCTGCCTCAGCCTCCTGAGTAGCTGGGATTACAGGCACGCACCACCACGCCTGGCTAAGTTTTTTTATTTTTAGTAGAGACGGGGTTTCACTGCGTTAGCCAGGATGGTCTTGATCTCCTGACTTAGTGATCCGCCTGCCTCGGCCTCCCAAAGTGCTGGGATTACAGGCGTGAGCCACTGCGCCCGGCTAATTTCATTTTTTTTTTTTTTTTTTTTTTTAAGTAAAGATGGGGCTTCTCCATGTTGGTCAGGCCGGTCTCGAACTCCCGACCTCAGGTGATCTGACTGCCTTGGCCTCCCAAAGTGCTGGGATTACAGGCATGAGCCACTGCGCCATCCCGGCTGATATTCTGTTTCTTTTTAAAAGAGTCATGGGGAAAAGTTCACACAGATACTGTTATTGAGCACCTTAGTTTTACAGTTTAAAATCTGGATAATTCCTGCAACGTGACTATGTTTACTTAAAGATACGTTGTATCGGTTATATTTTTTGGCTATTTTTGCATTCAGTTGCCTTTTCTGAGCTAATGAGGATCTGAAGGAAAAGACCTGAAGGAAGGAAGGAAGGGTGGAGTTTTGTTTGCTGGGCTGGTTGTTCTCAATATCTAGGGCCAGTTATTTTTAAAGGTTTTACCAAAGAGTAATATACATACAAAAAAGTGCACAAGAGTGTTTGGTTTGCCGAACTTTCACAAACTGAACACATCCATGCAACCAGCACTCAGATGAAGAACTGCTGTATTGACTTAACAAGTAGAATAGTTTTGTCTGTTTTTATACAGCATAACATTTTATAAGTGAAATCATACAGTATGTATCTCTGTGTGTTGGTTCTTTTGCCCGGCACTGTTTAGAGGTTTGTTCATTATTATTGTATATAGTTGTATGTTATTACATCTCATTGCTGTGTGGCTTTCCATTGTGTGGAATGCAGTACACTCAATTTACTTATTCATTCTGCTTTTGATGCCCATTGAGGAATTTTCTAGCACCTGTTTTTAATATGAGCCAAACTTATACCTTTTATAGCACCTTCTATTTCAGGATTACTTTTGGGCTGAATAACAGAAAGTTTGATTTATTGTAGGTTAAACAATTTTTTTTTTCTCATAAAACAAGAAATGTAGACAAAAGTAGCTCAAGGCTGATGTGGTAGCTCCACAGTTCCTTCATATTATTTTCTTCTCCATCCTTAACAGCAGTCTTTCACTCTGGTGCTTGTCTACTTGTGGGCACAAAAAAGCTACTTTGTGTTCCAGACAGGAGAAAAGGGAAAAAGTATGTTCACTTTATATCTCTTTGGCCAAAATGGGTATAAAAGAAGCTGGGAAATACGTTTTTTATCTGGGTAAATTTAGGTTTCCCTTTGTAAGGAAGAAAGGGAAAATAGATACCAGATAGGTAATTAACAATGTCTGTCATACTTCCAAGTCTGTTTGCTAGTACTTTTGGATGCAATCAAACTGGTTTGTTCTAGGCTTAGCATAGGTCTAGACTCAAAGGGTAAGGTTTACACAACCAGTAAAATTTTTAGTTATAGTTTTGAGTTCCTGAGAAGCTATCTGTGCATGACTAGTGTTTAACTACCATTCAGGGTTGAATGTAAATATTCAGAGGCCCATTGTGTTGACAGCTTTGACCTAAACCTTGAAGTTATACAGTTAAATCTGGTCAGTTCTGTTCTAAATCTCTAGTACCGTCTTACTAAGTTTGAACATATGCATCATGAAGATGAAAATATACATATATTTTTGTGTTTTTAGAATCGTGGGCCCAGTGCAGTGGCTTACTCCTGTAATCCCAGCACTTGGGAGGCCGAGGCAGGCGGATTGCCTGAGCACCAGAGTTCGAGACCAGCCTGGGCAACATGGTGAAACCCTGTCTCTATGAAAAAATACAAAATTTAGCTGGGTGTGGTGGTGTGCGCCTGTAGTCCCAGCCACTGAGGAGGCGGAGTTTGCAGTGAGCCGAGATCGTGCCACTGCACTCCAGCCTGGGTGACACAGCGAGACTCAAAATAAATAAATAAATAAAATGGAATTGTGGTAAATTATTTAAGTATAAGGGAAGTGACTTCACTGTAATTCTCGGTTTTTCCCTTTTAATGGTGCATTAGAATTATCCTGTTTAACCCTTTTTGAGCTTTCTTCATTAGGAAATAAAATAAATTGATATATATAGAATTTGAAGCTTGGAGTGACTTTTTTTTTTTTTTTCCGAGACAGTCTTGCTCTGTTGCCCAGGCTGGAATGCATTGGCGTGATCTCGGCTCACTGCAAGCTCCACCTCCTGGGTTCACGCCATTCTCCTGCCTTAGCCTCCCAAGTAGCTGGGACTACAGGCGCCCACCACCACGCCCAGCTAATTTTTTGTATTTTTAGTAGAGATGGAGTTTCACCATGTTAGCCAGGATGGTCTTGATCTCCTGACCTCATGATCTGCCTGTCTTGGCCTCCCAAAGTGCTCTAACTACAGGCATGAGCCACCGTGCCTGGCTGGAGTGAATTTTTTAATGAATTTTTTTAAATTTATGTTTAAATGTACTGTATTATAATGAATCCTTGTGGCCTCCTCTTGGCCTATAATCTACAGCATCCCATTATACTCCCCCATATTATTTTGAAGCCAATTCTAAATATTGTATCATTTCATCTGTAAATATTTCAGTATGTATCTTTAAAAGAGAAGGGCTTTTTCTTTATTTTTAATTTAAATTTAATTTTTTTTTTTGAGACGGAGTCTTGCTCTGCCTCTGCCGCCCGGGATGGAGTACAGTGGTGCCATCTCTACTCACTGCAGGCTCCGTCTTCTGGGTTCACGCCATTCTCCTGCCTCAGCCTCCCGAGTAGCTGGGACTACAGGCGCCCACCACCACATCCAGCTAATTTTTTGTATTTTTAGTAGAGATGGGGTTTCACCGTGTTAGCCAGGATGGTCTTGATCTCCTGACCTCGTGATCCACCCACCTCGGTCTCCCAAAGTGCTGGGATTACAGGTGTGAGCCACCGTACCTGGCCCCCCCTTTTTTTTTTTTTTTGAGACGGAGTTTTGCTCTTGTTCTCCAGGCTGTAGTGCAATGGTGCAGTCTCGGCTCACCGCAACCTCTGCCTCCCGGGTTCAAGCGATTCTCCTGCCTTAGCCTCCCTAGTAGCTGGGATTACAGGCATGCACCACCACGCATGGCTAATTTTGTATTTTTAGTAGAGACGGGGTTTCTCCATGTTGGTCAGGCTGGTCTCAAACTCCTGACCTCAGGTGATTGGCCCACCCTGGCCTCCCAAAGTGCTGGGATTACAGGCATGAGCCACAGTGCCCAGCCAAGGCTTTTTCTTTTAACATGACCAATATACTCTTGTCACACCTTAAAAAATGAACAGATTTGTTAATATCATCAAATAAGAGTAAACGTATTTTATTTTTTGTTGAGTTTTCCTAGAACCCCTCCTTTTTCAGTGAGAATAAGCAATCCAGCCGGGCACAGTGGCTCACGCCTGTAATCCCAGCACTTTTGGAGGCTGAGGTGGGCAGATCACCTGAGGTCAGGAGTTCGAGACCAGCGTGGCCAACGTGGTGAAACCCCGTCTCTACTAAAAATACAAAAATTAGCCAGGTGTGGTGGTGTGTGCCTGTAATCCAGATACTCAGGAGGCTGAGGCAGGAGAATCGCTTGAACCCGGGAGGCAGAGGTTGCAGTGAGTTGAGATCACGCCACTGTACTCCAGCCTGGGAGGCAGAGCAAGACTCTGTCTCAAAAAAAAAAAAAAAAAAAAGGCAATCCTTGTGCAGCTGGGTCCGTGACACATTGGCAGTAGTTAAGTGTGATGCTGTGTCCCTGTGACTGAATTGTCAGTGTACTGATCACCAGAGTGCTTTTTTTGGCATGATCTCGGCTCACTGCCACCTCCACCTCCCGGGTTCAAGTGATTCTTGTTCCCCAGCCTCCCGAATAGCTGGGATTACAGGCGTGCACCACCACCACTTTTTTTAGTAGAGATGGGGTTTCTTCATGTTGGCCAGGCTGCTCTTGAACTCCTGGCCTCAAGTGATTGCCTGCCTTGGCCTCCCAAAGTGCTGGGATTACAGAAGTGAGCCACTGCGCCCAGCCTCCTGAGTGCTTTTAAGCAAAGGTCTTGTTCTTTTGACTTTGAAATAGCATAATAAAACCCTCCTCATGAATATTGTACATTTGAAAATGAGGCCTATTGTGTTTTCCATATCTTTTGCAGTCTAAGAGGCTTTCAGTTCTCTCTTTGATCCTGTATATTCGCTTAATCTTTCCATCACCCATTTCTTCTGCTTTGGGGCTGTGTATCCTTTCCAGCCAAATCACCCAGCTCTCTTTGGGATTCTCTTTTCTTTGATGACCTAGTGTCCCAGACTCGGAGCTAAATGCTTTCACTGTTTTGTAATCACTGTATCATACCGTTCTGTATTGGCTGCTTTTTACAAGGAAGAGAAGGAAAGACAGCCTACAAAAGACACTGAGCTCGTTGGAGACAAACTTTGGCCTTTTTTTGTACAGGATCTTCTCATTTTCAAGGCTAGTTTGTCAAAGAGAGAAGGCAAAAAGCTTGATGACTGCCTTAAACAAGCATGAGGCTATTAAACAAGTGGTACAGGTGATTGTTATTATGGTGGTTAAGAGTTGGGAAGACATCACCAAATGGAGTGTCTAGGGAAAGTGGCAGCTTGTTTTTGGAAATTTAAAATCCAATTGTTCACATATTCTTATGAAATTGAGGTGAATTATCTCTTATTCTCAACTGAATGCAAAAAACTGAAAAGATCTGTTTGAACTATTGCATACAGAAGTATGAAGCATGAGTAAGATTCTGTGATATACAGAAAATAGTGCTGTCAATCTTATTTATTCAACAAACATTTAAAAATTGCTTAGTATTTATTTGGCACTACAGAGGTTAGAGAGGTGAAAAAACTTGGACCCTCCACTTGTAAACTTGTAGGGAAGACAAGACATACCAACCTGTCACAGAAAACTGTTTAATAAGAATATTGAGTATCTTCAAAAGTACCAGGCTCTGTGCTTGACCGGAAATACAAAGAAGAGTAAGGCATGCCAATAAGAAACTCAAATCTGATAGGAGAGACAGATATGCAAACAAATGGTTATGATAGATAAGTAAGCAGTATGGGAACATTTAAGAAGATGATCAGGGAAGTGATGTCTGGGTGGTCATGAGAGGTGAATAGAGTGGGAAAGGGCCTTCCAAGAAGAGGGGGGTCAGCATGTAAAAAGATAATTGAGATAAGGTGGAGGGTGCCATGTTCCAGCAATTGTAGATAGTTATGGCTGGAGGATAGGATATTTGCTAACAGAGGGAGGAGAATAAGGTTTCATTGCTAGGCAGGGACCAGCACATGAAGGATCAGTGTATGTCAGCTAAGGAGTTAGAATTTTTTTTTTTTTTGAGACGGCGTCTCCGTCTGTTGCCCAGATGGGAGTGTAGCGGGCGATCTCGGCTCATTGCAACCTCTGCCTCCCGGGTTCAAGCGATTCTCTGCCTCAGCCTCCTGAGTAGCTGGGATTACAGGCATGCGCCACCACACCTGGCTAATAATTTTTGTATTTTTAGTAGAGACAGGGTTTCGCCATATTGGTCAGGCTGGTGATCCACCCGCCTCGGCCTCCAAAAGTGCTGGGATTACAGACGTGAGCCACCATGCCTGGCCTAGGAGTTTGAATTTAACCCTGAAGATTTTGAGCAGACCAGATTGCATTTTAGAGAGATGGCTCTGGTGACAGTTTGGAGAAATAATTGAAGGGAGGAAGACTGGGAACCTCAGTTATTCTATTTTTAAAATTAATTATTATTTTTTTTTAGTGACAAGGTCTCGCTCTTTCACTCAGGCTGGAGTGCAGTGGCACAATCTTGGCTCACTGCAGCCTTGACCTACCGGGGCCAAATGATCCTCCCACCTCAGCCTTCCAAGTAGCTGGGACTATAGGTGTGTACCACCACGTCTGGCTAATTTTTGTATTTCTTGTAGAGACAGGGTTTCACCATGTTTCCCAGGCTGGTTTCTAACTCCTGGCCTCAAGTGATCTACCTTGGCCTCCCAAAGTGCCAGGATTTGGGTGTGAGCCACTGCACCAGGCCAGTTATGTTGTTGCAGTGATGTTAATAAGCATCAATGAGTGGCTGAACTAAAGCAGTGGAAGGGAGAGAATGGGTTGGGCTTGAGAGCTAGTAAGAAATAGAATTGTCATGGCTTATGCCTGTAATTCCAGCACTTTGGGAGGCTGAGATGGGAGGATTGCTTGAACCCAGGAGTTCAAGACCAGCCTGGGCAACATAGTGAGACCCTGTCTCTAAAACAAAACAAAAAAAGATACAGAATTGTCAGAATGATGAGTGATGTTAAGTATGAAGTTTAATGTTTAAAAGCAGAAGAGGAGCCAAAGATGATCCCGGAATTTCTGTTGTTGGCAGCTGATTGTATGGTAACCATTTATTGTAATTGGGAATCCAGGAAGAATTATAATTTGTTTTGATTTTGATTTTTAGAAAGAGGAGTTAAAACTGACACAAGAGTTAGAGATAATGATTTAGTTGGGACACTTTCACACTGACGTATCCAAGGATATATTCAGGCACTTGGATAAATGAGTGTGAAACTCATAAAGGTTAGAAGGAATAATTGAGTTATTAGTATCTGTTTTTTTTTTTTTTTTTTTTTTAGACGGAGTCTTGCTCAGTCGCCCAGGCTGGAATGCAGTGGCGCGATCATAGCTCACTGCAGGCTCCGCCTACCGGGTTCACGCCATTCTCCTGCCTCAGCCTTCAGAGTAGCTGGGATTACAGGTGCCCGCCACTACGCCCGACTAACTTTTGTATTTTTAGTAGAGATGGGGTTTCACCGTGTTAGCCAGGATGGTCTTGATCTCCTGACCTCGTGATCCGCCCACCTCGGCCTCCCAAAGTGCTGGGATTACAGGCGTGAGCCACCGCGCCCGGCCGAGTTATTAGTATCTGAGAACTAGTTGGAACCGTGGGTCACCAGGGAGACAGAAAAGCAGAGGATTGAAGACACAGAATTCAGATGAAACCCAGCATTGAAGGAAATTACAGAAATGAGGAGAGAACCTAATCTTGGCAGCCAAAGGTGGAGAGTTTTCAAGGTAAAACTCAATCAGTGTTTGTTTGAGAGAGTTACAGATGAGATTTGAAAGTGTACATTGGATTTAGCAATAAAGAATCCACCTGCTAACCACTGGTGAGAAGAGTGTTAAGTGGAATGATGGGGGCATAAAACCACATTACAGTAGGTTGACAGTGAAAGTGGGGATAGCAAAAGCTGAATACTCTTTACGAAGTTTGATTTTGAAAAAAGGTGATAATTGGCTGGGCGTGGTGGCTCACGCCTGTAATCCCAGCACTTTGGGAGGCCAAGGCGGGCAGATCACAAGGTCAGGAGATTGAGACCATCCTAGCTAATACAGTGAAATCCCATCTCTACTAAAAATACAAAATATTAGCTGGGCGTGGTGGCACGCACCTGTAATCCCAGCTACTCAGGAGGCTGAGGCAGGAGAATTGCTTGAATCTGGGAGGTAGAGGTTGCAGTGAGCCGAGATCGCACCACTGCACTCCAGCCTGGGCAGCAGAGCAAGACTCCGTCTCAAAACAACAACAACAACAATAACCACAAAAAGAAACAAAAAAGGGGAGAAAAACGACTAGAGAAGTAAGGTCAAGGGAGAGTATTTTTAAGTTGAAAATAAATGCCATAAAATATATGAATAAATTGCAAGTAGGAGCATTAAAGGAAGATATTAATATCATTTGGAAGGTTGGGGGAGTGCTGTGGTTCATAGACGAGTTTTAAAAAATCCTGGACTTGGCCTTACATGGTGGCTCACGCCTGTAATCCCAGCACTTTGGTAGGCCAAGGTGGGCAGATCATTTGAGGCCAGGAGTTCAAGACCAACCTGGGCCAATGTGATGAAACCCTGTCTCTACTAAAAATACACACACAAAAAATTGCTGGGCATGGTGGTGCATGCCTGTAATCCCAGCTATTCAGGTGGTTGAGGGATGAGAAAATCGCTTGAACCTGAGGTTGCAGTGAGCCGAGATTGTGCCACTGCACTCCAGCCTGAGTGACAGAGCGAGACTCTGTCATAGAAAAGAGAAAAAAAAAAAAGCAGGCCGGGCGTAGTGGCTCAAGCCTGTAATCCCAGCACTTTGGGAGGCTGAGGTGGGTGGATCACCTGAGGTCAGGAGTTCGAGACCAGCCTGGCCAACATAGGGAAACCCCATCTTTACTGAAAATACAAAAATTAGCCGGGCGTGGTGGCACACTCCTGTAATCCCAGCTACTTGGGAGGCTGAGGCAGGAGAATCGCTTGAACCCAGGAGGCAGAGGTTGCAGTGAACCAAGATTGTGCCATTGCATTCCAGCCTGGGCAACAAGAGCGAAAATCTGTCTCAAAAAAAAAAAAAAAGAAAAGAAAAAAAAATACTGAACTTAAGTTCATGTGTGAGGTAGATATCCTTGAGGTGATTTCAAGAGAGGCTGAGAGAGGATATGTATATATATTCCAGGTAAATGAAACTAGGGCCGCAAAGGGCTGAAGTTGAAGTAATGCTAATGGACATATTCAGGGAACAGCAAATAGTCCAATTGAACAGAATCTTTGGGTATGTTGAGTGAATGATGAGAGAAAAATGAGAATTGAGCTTGATGGTGGAAGCAGAGAATGTCATGCTATAGAGTTAGGTTATAGGCCCTAAAGTCCTGGAAGGTATTTATGCTTTTTGATCTGAGTAGTTACAGGATTGGAGAAGCTGGACTTTAGGAGAATTCTGAAGCACTGAGGATGATGGAGGGGAGGAGGGGAAGAATTCTTTTGTGCTGAGTAGCCGCTATAGCTACCCTATCTAGGAGACACAGGAGCAAAGCCACTCATGTTGTGCTGATATATTGCTGCTAGGGGAGGGGGCTGTCCTTTGTGGTAACTTAAACAAAGCTTCTTAAGGCCTCCTCTCCTTCCAGTTACAGAGGACTCAGGGCTTGGTTGCTGTTTATTGCCCTTCACTGCATGGAATAAGCTCTTTGCCTTCTAGATACTTAGAGGAAGAAGCAGCTGTTTACTATGAATATAAATTCATAGAAATGTGGAGAGACTATATTTGAAGACAGTCTTCTAGTTTTCAGGTGAAATACTGTCTCACTAAAGAAGGTTAATTTTGCCTGCTGCTGTAATAGTCAGTAGTCAGCAAATGTTAAAAGCACTGCAGAATGAAAAACAGGCAAGGATTCATACTAATGAAATCAGTTCTGTTATCTAAGCATTTCCCTAGACTCTAGCCTGTATTTTAAAGTTAAAAGCTGCTTCTAGTTTAATATGTTCTTTTAATTGTTGAATGTTAAAGAATTTTGTATTTTAAGTTACTGGCATGAGATACACAGGTAATGGTTATGGTTATTCTTATCAAATACGGATTAACTGCTTGAAATTATTACGGATAATAAGGTATATATCTAAATAAGTGGGTAATTTGGTGGCCAAACTAAGGTGTAGCACATAGAGAAAAAAAGCTACTTTTTTACCACATTATTCATGAAATTTTCCAAGGTACCCCCTTTACTAAAAATGATTTGCTTATTCTTGAGATACTTCATGGTGAAGTTGTTTTAACTAATTTATTCTGTTAACCTCATTTTCATTTCAGTATCTCTTTATTGGAAATTGTTTTGTAACTGTTTTTGTGATCTTTTTTTTTTTTTTTTTGAAGAGATGAGGTCTTGCTATGTTGTCCAGGCTGGCCTCCAACTCCTGGGCTCTCAAGCAGTCCTAGTGCCACAGCCTCTCAAGTATCTTGTCCTCCTATTTTTGTCTCCTCTTTTAAACTTAAGCATTATGCTTCGGATAGTCTAAAATAATTGATTATATAAAACTGATTCGTTTTGACTCCAGAGTACATTAGGCTAATACTTTCTTATTTGATTTTCCTTTCTAAATAGCCTTGCTTGGCTGGGCACTGTGGCTCACGCCTGTAATCCCAGCACTTTGGGAGGCCGAGGTGGGCAGATCACCTGAGGTCGGGAGTTTGAGACCAGCCTGACCAACATGGAGAAACCCTGTCTCTACTAAAAATACAAAATTAGCCGGGTATGGTGGTGCATGCCTGTAGTCCCAGCTACTCGGGAGTCTGAGGCAGGAGAATTGCTTGAACCTGGGAGGCAGAGGTTGCGGTGAGCTGAGATCGAGCCATTGCACTCCAGCCTGGGCAACAAGAGCGAAACTGTCTCAAAAAAATAATAAATAATAGCCTTGCTTATGCTAATATGATTAATTTACATTTCTTAGTACAGTTTTGTAGTTAAAGTAAACTCCTCATGATAGGCTGTGAGAAGATAATCTTGGATTCAGAAGTTTGTCTAAAAATTCATGGAGGATGAACTTCCTTTGTGCTGGTAAGAGCTGGCTGTAGGGCAGTTGTTTCCAAGTTGTTCCTCTGGCCAGTAGTATCGGTACCACCTGGTAATTTGTTAGAAAGAGATTCTTATCCCTACTACAAATGTGCTGAATAAGAAACTGGGTCTTGGGCCCAGCAGTTTGTTTAACACGTCCTTCAGCTGATTTTGATGCGTGGTAAAGTTTTAGACCATTACTATGGGGTATTATAATAAAAGAGACCCCTTTCTTGATTTCTAGTGAATGGCGTTTGGGACAGTAATTGACTTAGGATTTTTTTTTCTTAATTGACTGGCATGGAAAAGAAATGCTGTTTGTATTCTCAGGTGCAGATTTTGCATCCTGAATGAAAGTAATGGATACTCATAAGTGAGTAATTAAAATAGCATGTAGGAACTTTTATCTTGAAATTTAATTTTCTTTCAGGAGGCAAAACCTTCAACTGAGGACTTGGGGGATAAGAAGGAAGGTGAATATATTAAACTCAAAGTCATTGGACAGGTGAGTTTCATTGTTTTTCTCTTTTGAGTCCCCTTCAATGTGAATACTTTTTCACAGGAAAAAAAATTATTTAAGGCAAATTATTTTAAAATGACTATGTATGCATTTTAATTTACTGTGTATGCATCTGTTAGAGGTAGAAGAGGCCGATACTGTTTTTTAAATTACTCTGCCAGGCAGTTTTAGATCATCTTAATTTTTCCAAATAGGAATGTTTTCTTGGTTAGTGTGCTTCAGGGGCAAATACAGTGAATACTATTAAGTGTTAAGGCTAGGGCCAACCTTAAGTAAAAGGTTTATCAGCCCTTTTCCTGACCCTTTTCTGGCCCCCTATTTCCCTAGACTCTAGTCTGTATCTTTTTTTTTTTTGAGATGGAGTCTTGTTCTGTCACCCAGGCTGGAGTGCAGTGGTGCGATCTCGGCTCACTGCAAGCTCCGCCTGCCGGGTTCACGCCATTCTCCTGCCTCAGCCTCCCAAGTAGCTGGGACTACAGGCGCCCGCCACCATGCCCGGCTAATTTTTTTTGTATTTTTAGTAGAGACGGGGTTTCACTGTGTTAGCCAGGGTGGTCTTGATCTCCTGGCCTCGTGATCCGCCAGCCTCGGCCTCCCAAAGTGCTGGGATTACAGGCGTGAGCCACCGCGCCTGGCTCTAGTCTGTATCTTATTGATTCTGAAATGTTAATTAAGGTTAGCTAACAACCGTTGGAGGAATGAATCTACATAGTTACGTGGGTTTTCTAAAGGACAAAAGACAGAGAATTGGTGGAAGGGTGGACTCGCCCAGGATGGAGTGCAGTGGTATTTCTATTGAAGTGTGACAGTACCATTTCCCTATATTCTCCCAAACATGGGATATTAACAGTCTTTAAATTTTGTTCAAATATGCTAGGTAAAACATTTTTGTTTATTTTTCATTTACCTGATTATTAATAAGGTATAATTTTTTTGGTCTGTTACATTTATATTCTTCTGTTAATTGTGTTCATACCCTTTTCCCATTTTTCTGTGATTATCTTATTTTGAAGACTTTTATTTTTTATTTTCAAAATTTTTTAAATTTAAATTTTATTTTGAAATGGAGTTGTGCTCTTGTTGGCAGGCTGGAGTGCAATGGCGTGATCTTGGCTCACTGCACCCTTCACTCCTGGGTTCAGGTGATTCTCCTGCCTCAGCCTCCCGAGTAGCTGGGACTACAGGTGCCTGCCACGAAGCCTGACTAATTTTTTTAAAAAATATTTTTAGTAGAGACGGGGTTTCCCCATGTTGGCCAGGCTGGTCTCGAACTCCTGACCTCAGGTGATCCCCACCCGTCTCGGCCTCCCAGAGTTCTGGGATTACAGGTGTGAGCCACCATGCCGGCTTTATTTTGAAAACTTTTAAAAGATAAAATTCACATACTATAAAATTCACTATTTTAAAGTATATAATTCAGGGGCTTTAGTATTATTCACAAGTGTGTGCAGCCATCACCACTACTAATTCCAGAACATTTGCATTACCCCAAAAAGACACCCTGTACCCATTAGCAGTCATTCCCCATCCTATTTCCTCCAGCCAGTGACAACCATGATTCTACTTTCTGTCTCTATAGGTTTGCCTTTTGTGGACATTACATATAAATGGAATCATAAGATATATGGCTTTTTTTTTTTTTTTTTTTTTTTGAGGCAAGGGTCTCGCTGTGTCACCCAGGCTGGAGTGCAGTGGCCTGATCTCAACTCACTGCGACCTCAACCTCCTGGGTTCAAGCGACCCTCCTGCCATAGCCTCCTGAGTAGCTGGGATTTCAGGTGTGCACCACCATGCCCAGCTAATTTTTGTATTTTTAGTAGAGATGGGGTTTCGCCATGTTGGCCAGGCTGGTCTCAAACTCCTGACCTCAGATGATCCGCCTACCTCGGCCTCCCACAGTGTTGGGATTACAGGCATGAGCCACCATGCCTAGCTTTGATATGTGACTTTTTATTCTGGTTTGTTTCTTCTTTTCTGCCTTGCTTCCCTGTTCCTCTTCCCCTCCCTCCCCTCCCCCCCTCCCCATCCCCGTCTCCCTCTCCAGGGTTCTCGCTATGTTGCTCAGGCTGGTCTTGAACTCTTGGGCTTAAGTGATTCTCCCTCTTTGGCCTAAAGTTCTGGGATTATAGGTGTGAGCCACTATGCCTGGCCTGGCTTCTTTGTTTTAGCATGTTTTCAAGGTTCATTCATGCTGTAGCATGTATCAGTACTATATTCCTTTTAATGGCTGAATTCTGTTCCATTATATGGGTAGAATATATTTTGTTTTCCATTTATCAGTTGATATTTAGTTTGTCCCCATATTTTGGCTACTATTAATAATGTTGCTGTGAACATTCATGTGTGTTTTTGTATGGACATATGTTTTCAGCTCCCTTGGATATATACCTAGGAGTGGAATTGCTGGGTCTAGTATGCAACTATATGTTTTACTTTTTGAGGAACTGCCAAACTGTTTTCAGCAGTGGCCCTACCATCTTACATTCCTAGCAGCAACATATGAGGGTTTCAGTTTTTCCATATTCTGGTCAACACTTGTAATTATCCGTATTTTTGGTTATAATCCTAGTGGGTGTGAAGTGGTATCTCACTGTGGTTTCAACTTGCTCTTTCCTGATGGCTAATGATGCCAAGCATTTTTTTATGTACTTATTGGCCATTAGTACATCTTCTTTGGAAAAATGAAGTTCTTTAGATCTTTTGCCCATTTTTAAATTGGGTTAGTTGTCTTTTTATTGTTGAGTGGTAATATGTCTTTTATTCTGGGTATTAGACCTTTATCATATATATGATTTGCATGGATTTTCTCCTATCTTTGAGTTGTCTTTTCACTTTCTTGGTTTTATTCTTTGCAGCGTAAAGTTTTTAATTTTGGTAAATTAAGTTCATCTGTTTTTTCTTTTGTTGCTTGTAATTTATCTAAGAAACCATTACCTAATCCAGGGTCACAAAGGTTTACGCTTGTGGTTTAAGAGTTTTAAGGCTGGGCACAATGGCTCACACCTGTAATCTCAGCATTTTGGGAGGCCAAGGTGGGCAGATTGCTTGAGCTCAGGAGCTGGAGACCAGCCTGGGCAACATGGCGAAACCCCATCTCTACAAAAAATATAAAAAATTAGTAGGGCGTGGTGGCACATGCCTGTAGTCCCAGCTACTCAGGAGGCTGAGCAGGGAGAATCACTTGAGCCTGGGAGGTCAAGGCTGCAGTAAGCTGTGATCACGTGACTGTACTCCAGTCTGGGTGACAGAGTGAGACCCTGTCTCAAAAAAAAAAAAAAAAAAGTTTTATGGTTTTATTTATAGTTTTAGCTCTTACATTTAAATCTTTCATCATTTTGAATAATTTTTTATGGGTGTTTGTCCCAGACCATTAGTTGAAAAGACTGTCCTTTTCTCACTGAATTGTTCTGGTATCCTTGTCAAAAAATTGACTATAGATATAAGGGTTTTTTCTTGGCTCTCAATTTTATGCCATTGATCTATCTATATGTCCATATGCCATGGAATGTCTTTTTAAGAATTATTAATTTGTGGGATTTTTAAAAATATTGTCTTCATTTTCCTTGTCTGTTACATGTTATGAATATTTCCTCCAGTATGTCTTAACTTTTGTTTATGGCATCTTTTACTATACAGACGTTTTATGTTTTTATTAAGTCAAATTTATCCACCTCTTTTTTTTATGGTTTCTAGGTTAAAATCATGCTTTGCAATAGGGCATCCCAAGGCCAAAATTAGGGGAAAAAAATTCTCCCTTGAGGGGAAAATATTGAGAATTTTTTTTTTTTTTTTTTTGATGTGGAGCCTTGTCCTGTCATGCAGGCTGGAGTGCAGTGGTACTTCCGGCTCACTGCAACATCCGCCTCCCAGGTTCAAGCACTTCTCCTGCCTCAGCCTCCCGAGTAGTTGGGATTACATGCAACTGTCACCACACCCGGCTAATTTTTTATATTTTTAGTAGAGATAGGGTTTCATCATGTTGGCCAGGCTGGTCTTGAACTCCTGACCTCGTGATCTGCCCGGCTTGACCTCCCAAAGTGTTGGGATTACAGGAGTGAGCCACTGCACCTGGCCAAAAAAATTTTAATGTTAGCTCTTTAATTCATCTGCAAGTGATTTTTTTTTTTTTTTTTTGAGATGGCGTCTCACTCTGTTGCCCAGGCTGGAGTACAGTGGCGAGATCTAGGTTCACTGCAGCCTCCGCGTCCTGGGTTCAAGCGATTCTCCTGCCTCACCCTCCCGAGTAGCTGGGATTACAGGCATGCGCCACCACGCCTGGCTAATTTTTTTGTATTTTTAGTAGAAATGGCGTTCACCATGTTGGTCAGGCTGGTCTCGAACTCCTGAACTCAAATGATCCTCCTGCTTTGGCCTCCCAAAGTGTTGGGATTATAGGCATGAGCCACCATGCCCAGCCTGGAATTGATTTTAATGTATAGCATGAGGTTTGCTGTAGAATTTTATCTGTTTATGAAATGATCTATGTGAAGATAATTTTATTTCTTCATAGTTACAGTCACAAGAAAAATACTGTAAATGTGCAGCTTCTGCAAATACACATTTGTGAATGTGATATGTAGTCATGAAGTTTGGCTTTGAAAGTTTACATTATGCAAGTAACAGTATTTTTTCTGAGGATTGGCTGGCTGATAGTTTGTTTCACAATCTGAGCAGAATAAAATAATTTTTGGTCTCACAAATCAGTTTGACTAACTCAGGTTCTTACTCATTTTACTCATGTGAGAGAAACCAGATTCCATGTGGTGATTTTTTTTTTTTTTTTTTTTTTGAGATGGAGTACTGTTCTGTTTCCCAGGCTGGAGTGCAGTGGCGTGTTCTTGGCTCACTGCAACCTACACCTCCTGGGTTCAAGCAATTCTTCTGCCTCAGCCTCCTGAGTAGCTGGGACTACAGGTGTGTGCCACCATGCCTGGCTAATTTTTGTATTTTTAGTAGAGACGGGGTTTCACTATACTGGCCAGGCTGGTCTTGAACTCCTGACCTTGTGATCCGCCTGCCTTGGTCTCCCAAATTGCTGGGATTACAGGCATGAGCCACTGCGCTCAGCCCCATGTGGTGATTTTTTATGGCAGGAATAAATTTCTCAGTCGCTTATTGTATAAAATTGAATTTTATACAATTAATTATTATCTAATTAACTGCTTTTCTCCTAGGCGACCACCTTCAGTGACACTTCACTTGGGGGGACAGACTTTTTGTTTTGAGTTGCTATTGGGATAAATAAAAGATGCGATAGTTCATCTTTTATTTTGACAATAGAATGGCAAATGAAGGAATGCATTTACTTAGACTTTTACTTATACTGATAATTTTAACACTCAAGACTGATTAACTTTGTTTTACTCGGTTTCTTTTGTAATGGGTATACAGTAACTTTGAGGATGATTACACTGTTTTAAGAAAACCTGTTAAGAATGCTAAAAAGAATATTGTGGTGGAAAAATACAGGTTACAAGGTTTATGTTTCTATTTGCACTATATGTGTAATTAAATAGTTTGGTTCAAGTAAAGCAAATGATTTATACAAAGAGGGATAATTTTTTTCTTTTTTATCTCCTTAGGATAGCAGTGAGATTCACTTCAAAGTGAAAATGACAACACATCTCAAGAAACTCAAAGAATCATACTGTCAAAGACAGGTTCGTCCATTTTGGTATTAAGTACAATGCTTTGTCGTTAATTTTTTTTTTTTTATAGAAGATTGTCAGAAGAAAAATCCTGTTTTATTATTTTCACCATTAGCAACTCAAGGAAAACACTCTATCATTTCTTGTACCCTGCTTAACTGCTTTTTTTGTCTTGTGGCCCATTTTAAAGTTTGAATTCGTAAGATGGGAACTAGTTTGAAAAGTAACTCAGAATTGTAAAAGCGAGCTCAAATGAATGTTTCTGTCTTGATGGCTTACCAGTATATATAGCAAAAAAGGCAAGTAATTTTTTGGTGATTACTATGGATTGTTTTTGTACTTCTAATCATGAGTGTTTAGCCATATGTTAAATTTAAGTAGTAGTATTATTAGTATATTATCTCTCTTTTTTTTTTTTTTTGAGATGGAGTTTGCTCTTGCTGCCCAGGCTGGAGTGCAGTGGCACGATCTCTGCTCACTGCAACCTCCGCCTCCCAAGTTCAAGTGATTCTCCTGCCTCAGCCTCCCGAGTAGCTGGGATTACAGGCATGCACTACCACGCCCAGCTAATTTTGTATTTTTAGTAGAGATGGGGTTTCTCCATGTTGGTCAGGCTGGTCTCGAACTCCCGACCTCAGGTGATCTGCCCACCTCGGCCTCCCAAAGTGCTGGGATTACAGGCGTGAGCCACCAGGCCTGGCCTTATAAAATAGGTTTTGAAAATAAATGTAATTGGAATTAATATGAGACAACCAAGATATAGTTTAAGTGAAATTATGATTTAATAAGCAAGAAATATATGTTTAATCAGTCTTAAATTAAATTATAGGCTGGGTGCAGTGGCTCATGCCTGTAATCCCAGCACTTTGGGAGGCTGAGGCGGGCGGATCACCTGAGGGCAGGAGTTCAAGACCAGCCTGGCCAACATGGCAAAACCTTGTCTCTACTAAAAGTACAAAAATTAGCCAGGCATGGTGGCGCATGCCTGTAATTCCCAGCTAGTCGGGAGGCTGAGGCAGGAGAATCACTTGAATCTGGGAGGCAGAGGTTGCAGTGAGCTGAGATCATGCCACTGCACTTCAGCCTGGGTGACAGAGCAAGACTCCATCTCAAAAAAAAAAAAGAAAAAAGAAAAAAAAGAAAAAAAATTGAATTATATTACATAATATTAACTCAGGTATTGTAAATTTTATTTTCATTTATTTATTTATTTCTTTGAGATGGAGTCTTCACTCTGTCGCCCAGGCTGGAATGCAGTGGTGTGATCTCAGGTCACTGCAACCTGTGACTCCCTGGTTCAAGCGATTCTCCTGCCTCAGTCTCCCGAGTAGCTGGGATTACAGGCATGCACCACCACGCCCGGCTAATTTTTGTATTTTTAGTAGTGGCGGGGTTTCACTATGTTGGTCAGGCTGGTCTCGAACTCCTGACCTTGTGATCCGCCCGCCTTGGCCTCCCAAAGTGCTGGGATTACAGGCATAAGCCACCGTGCCCGGCCTGTAGATTTCATTTTTAGAAGGTTTGCTTTTAACAGTTTAAATTTGTAACTCACATTAAAAAAAACTTATTATAAGAAAGAGAAACTAGGTGTTAGGATAAGTAAAACAATAAGCATTTTTGTCTCTTCTGTTTTTGTAGATTTTAATTGTTTAACTTAATAAAATCACATTAATTGGGGTTCAACTACTTCACATTTGTAATAACTTTGGGTGTTAAAATTGAGATGAAATTCATCAGGGGAAAGAAACATTTATTGAAATCTCAATTATGTGTACTGTGCCATAGGTATTTAAGATACATTATTGGCCAGGCACAGTGGCTCACGCCTCTAATCCCAGCACTTTGGGAGGCTGAGGCAGGCGGATCATGAGGTCAGGAGTTCGAGACCAGCCTGACCAACATGGTGAAACCCCTGTCTCTACTAAAAATACAAAAATTAGCTAGGCATGGTGGTGCACGCCTGTAATCCCAGCTACTCGGGAGGCAGAGGCAGAAGAATCGTTTGAACCCAGGAGGCGGAGGTTGCAATGAGCCGAGATCACGCCATTGCACTCCAGCCTGGGTGGCAGAGTGGGACACTGTCTCAAAAAAAAAAAAAAAAAAAGATTCATCGTCATTTAATTTTCATAACTCTGAAGAAAATTCATATAGTCTCTACGCCCCCCATCTGTAGGCCAGGGAATTGATTTTTTTTTTTTTTTTTTTTTTGAGACAGAGTCTCACTCTGTCGCCTAGGCTGGAGTGCAGTGGTGCCGTCTTAGCTCACTGCAACCTCCACCTCCTGGACTCAAGTGATTCCCAATGCCTCAGTCTCCCGAGTAGCTGGGATTACAGGCACCTGCCACCAGGCCTGGCTAATTTTTGTATTTTTTTTTGTATTTGTATTTGTATTTTTTTTTTTAGACAGGGTGTTCCTCTGTTGCCCAGGTTGGAGTGCAGTGACACGACCTTGGCTCACTGCAACCTCCACCTCCCGGGTTCAAGTGATTCTCCTGTCTCAGCCTCCCGAGTAGCTGGGATTACAGGCGCGTGCCACCTCGCCAGGCTAATTTTTGTATTTTTGGTAGAGATGGGGTTTCACCATGTTGGCCAGGCTGGTCTTGAACTCCTGACCTCTAGTGACCCACCCGCCTCGGCCTCCCAAAGTGCTGGGGTTACAGGCTGAATCACTGCGCCTGCCCCGTAATTTTTGTATTTTTAGTAGAGATGGAGTTTCATTATGTTGGCCAGGCTGGTCTCAAACTCCTGACCTCAAGTGAGCCGTCTCTCCCCTTTCAGCTGTTTTTGTTGAAGAGTGATTAGAAAAATGTATACTAATATATTTTGTAATATTTATGGTGCTATCTGTGCCATCCAGGTTTATGGTAGATGAGCTAGCTAGCCATTTGCGCTTTACCAGATTTTATGATAATGTTGGCCAGGCTGGTCTCAAACTCCTGACCTCAAGTGAGCCGTCTCCCCTTTCAGCTATTTTTGTTGAAGAGTGATTAGAAAAATGTATACTAATATATTTTGTAATATTGCGCTATCTATGCCATCCAGGTTTATGGTAGATTAGCTAGCTAGCCATTTGTGCTTTACCAAATTTTATGATGTAATCTGTTTAAAACCAATTTCGCCAGTATAGTTGGAAGCTAGTGAGGGTGCACGTCCAGTTTCTGATCTGATCTTTTATTCTAGCTTACAGATTTAGGGCAAAGTGAATCGAGTAGTGGTCAAGAGCATAGGCTTAGAAACAGGTTTGGGCTTAAATTCTTGGCTAGCTCCAAGCCTTAGGTTCCCTAGCTGTAACATGAAGATAAGGTGGTAATACCTACCTTCCAGGGTTGTTGTGTTTAACACTTATGATTATGTATGTAAAGAATTGGTACAGGGAGGGCCTTGCAAATAGTTGCTACTCAGTACAGTATATAGTATTTATGATTGAATTAGCTTGTCTAATTTTATTTTCTATGTAGTGTTCTAAGGCTTTCATGCTTGCTTTTTGTGCATCAAAGTTACCATTATGTTTTCTAATATTTGTGTGTGTATGTATGCATTATTATTATCTTTACCTTTTTAGGGTGTTCCAATGAATTCACTCAGGTTTCTCTTTGAGGGTCAGAGAATTGCTGATAATCATACTCCAAAAGAAGTGAGTATACTTTTCTCCTGAGTCAAGAAAAAATTTAAATTCTCCTTTGAGCAGTTTGGTTCACTGGTGTTAAAACTGCCCTTTTCTTGAATATTCTCTGATTTAAATGGCATATCATTTGTTGGAGAGAAGAAATAATGTTTTGGGTTGAACTTCCCCTATAGTGCCTTTAAAAGTGCCAATAAAAAGGGTGGTAGAAACAAAATGAGTACTGAAATTGTCATAGGTCACATGCTACATCCTTTTTGAAGATAGACAAATGTTCCTCAAATTTGGTAAATTTCTGGTATACTTTCATGGTGATGGTAACATTAATGGCTGGATTTTCATTTTTGACCTATTTTGAGAATGTTAATACAGAAGCATAGTGTATATTAATATATTTGGCTCTGTCATCTTGTTTTACCCTATTTTTTTATGCTTCTCTGTCTTCATTTGATTTTTTTATTCTATGAGCAGTTTGCTTTGCTTTTATATTCCACCCATCTTCCCTCTATAGAGATATCTCAAAGTAGTGTGTGTGTGTGTGTATGTGTGTGTGTATCTATATACATAGATTCCCTTCATACACAGAGTAACATTACTGATATTTCTGATAGTGGGAACAATATAGGGTTATTAACTTTTTATTTTGAAAATATTTCAAACTTACTGAATTGTGAGAATAGTGTAATACTCTCCTGTATAACTATTCCTTAGATTCACCAATTAAAATTGCACAGCATGTGGGCCAGGCACGGTGGCTCATACTTGTAATCCTAGCACTTTGGGAGGCCAAAGTGGGTGGATTGCTTGAGTCCTGGAGTTCAAGACCAGCCTGGGCAACATGACGAAAACCCGTCTCTACTAAAAATAAAAAAATTTGGCCAGGTGCAGTGGCTTATGCCTGTAATCCCAGCACTTTGGGAGGCCGAGGTGGGCGGATCACGAGGTCAGGAGTTCGAGACCAGCCTGGCCAGTATGGTGAAACCCCGTCTCTACTAAAAATACAAAAATTAGCCGGGCGTGGTGGCATGTGCCTGTAGTCCCAGCTACTCGGGAGTCTGAGGCAGAAGAATCGCTTGAACCCGGGAGGCAGAGGTTGCAGTGAGCCGAGATTACGCCACTGCACTCCAGCCTGGGCAACAGAGCGAGACTCTGTCTCAAAAAAAAAGAAAAAAAGAATTAACTAGGCTTAGTGGTGCATGTTTGTAGTCCCAGCTACTTGGGGGGCTGAGGTGGAAGGATCACTTGAGCCCAGGAGGTCGAGGCTGCAGTGAGCCCTGGTCATGTCACTGTGCTCCAGCCTAGGTGACAGAGTGAGAACCTGTCTCAAAAATAAAGTAAATAAAATAAAATAACATTGTGCAGCATTTGATAGCTGGGATTGGTGGTGCACGCCTATAGTCCTAGCTGCTTGGGAGGCTGAAGCGGGAGGATCACTTGAGTGAGCCCAAAAGTTCGAGACGAGCCTGGATAACAGAGCGAGGAGTCCCCTGTCTCAAAAAAAAAAAAATATTATGTTTTTCTAGTATGACTACTAGAATGCAGTCATAGCTCACTGCAGCCACAAATGCCTGGGCTCTAGCAATCCTATCACTATCAGCCTCCTGAATAGCTGGGATTACAGGCATGTGCCACCATGCTCTGCTTTTAAATTTTTTGTAGAGATGGAGTCTCCCTATGTGCCCAGGCTTTGATCACTTAGTTTAAGTGTTGTCTCTTTTTTTTTTTTTTTTTTTTTACTTTGTAGTTAACTGTTTTTCCTGTTACAATTAAGTAATTTGAGGGGACACACTTTGAAACTATGCGAATATCCCCTTTCTCATCAAATATTCCCCTTAGGTTTAGTGTCCACCACCTTCTTGAACACTTCCTTACTTTCTGGCACAGTAAGAAGTTCCAAACTCATCTTTTACTTTCCTTTAACTTGGCATAATCTCTGGGACCATACAGTAGATATCTAATACATTTTACTGACACATGCCTTACACATTCCTTGTAATTAAGAGATTATTTTTTCAGAGGAATGTTGGTGCAGTGGGAGACAGTAGGTCTTTAGGGAGTGACCCTCCTGTGCTGTTGTTCACTTGTCTCTGTTAATGTACTTCTTGAAGTTTGTAGCTTTATATTCTTTATAGCTCAAGGACTCATGCTGTCTTCCTGTTTTGAAGGTTTCTAATAACACTTGGAATTTTATTCCTTGCAGTATTTACCATGCTATATGGGCAATTAAAATTGTTTTAAAAGCATCTTTTTTTTTTTTTTTTTGAGATGGAGTTTTGCTCTTGTTGCCCAGGCTGGAGTGCAATGGCACAATCTTGGCTCACCGCAACCTCTGCCTCCCGGGTTCAAGCGATTCTCCTGCCTCAGCCTCCTGAGTAGCTGGGATTACAGGCATGCACCACCACGCCTGGCTAATTTTGTATTTTTAGTAGAGACGGGGTTTCACCATGTTGGTCAGGCTGGTCTCGAACTCCCGACCTCAGGTGATCTGCCGCCCCCCCAGCCTCCTAAAGTGCTGAGATTACAGGTGTGACCCACTGCACCTGGCCTAAAAGCATGTTTAATAATTATTTAAATATTCAAATATGTTCCACAACCAAGATAGCTTAACACTACTAGAGCCATTCTGATCACTTTAAAATCCTAAATTCACATGTGTTATGTTTAGATTTCTTAACATACTTTATTTTCATATTTAAAATTCTGCACAAAAATGTTACCTATAAAATTTAAAACTTTTTGGTCAGGCACAGTGGCCCACGCCTGCAATCCTAGCACTTTGGGAGGCTGAGGCGGGCTGGATCACTGCAGGTCAGGAGTTGAGACCAGCCTGGGCAACATGGCGAAACCTCATCTCTACTAAAAATAGAAAAAGTAGCCAGGTATGGTAGCGCACGCTTGTAGTGCTAGCTACTTGGGAGGCTGAGCTGGGAGGATTGGTTGAGCCCAGGATGCTGAGGTTGCAGTGAGCTGAGGTTGAGCCCAGGAGGCTGAGGTTGCAGTGAGCTGAGATTGTGCCACTGTACTCCAGCCTGGGCAATATAATGAGACCCTGTCTCAAAAAACAAAAACAAACAAACACCAAATTAGATATATCCTATTAAACTATCACTTAAACTATTAAATACATGTTTCATTAGATTTAAAAGTTCTTTAACATGGCTGTCAAAAACACTTCAGTTTTATATAGCGAATAAACTGGGAAGTGAAATTGACTCAGGAAAGTAAGATGCATAACTAAATAGACAGAATCAGAAGGAAAGACACCTCTATATTCTTTAGATTAAAGAACACAGGATTCTTAATATTAGAGGAGTGTAAGTATGGGTCACATTTGGATCTCTTTGCACTTTTAAATTAGTGGCCACGTAATTGTAGTCAATTTAAAAACTGCTTTTATAGTCTAACATTTTTCTTTCCTCTTACAGCTGGGAATGGAGGAAGAAGATGTGATTGAAGTTTATCAGGAACAAACGGGGGGTCATTCAACAGTTTAGATATTCTTTTTATTTTTTTTCTTTTCCCTCAATCCTTTTTTATTTTTAAAAATAGTTCTTTTGTAATGTGGTGTTCAAAACGGAATTGAAAACTGGCACCCCATCTCTTTGAAACATCTGGTAATTTGAATTCTAGTGCTCATTATTCATTATTGTTTGTTTTCATTGTGCTGATTTTTGGTGATCAAGCCTCAGTCCCCTTCATATTACCCTCTCCTTTTTAAAAATTACGTGTGCACAGAGAGGTCACCTTTTTCAGGACATTGCATTTTCAGGCTTGTGGTGATAAATAAGATCGACCAATGCAAGTGTTCATAATGACTTTCCAATTGGCCCTGATGTTCTAGCATGTGATTACTTCACTCCTGGACTGTGACTTTCAGTGGGAGATGGAAGTTTTTCAGAGAACTGAACTGTGGAAAAATGACCTTTCCTTAACTTGAAGCTACTTTTAAAATTTGAGGGTCTGGACCAAAAGAAGAGGAATATCAGGTTGAAGTCAAGATGACAGATAAGGTGAGAGTAATGACTAACTCCAAAGATGGCTTCACTGAAGAAAAGGCATTTTAAGATTTTTTAAAAATCTTGTCAGAAGATCCCAGAAAAGTTCTAATTTTCATTAGCAATTAATAAAGCTATACATGCAGAAATGAATACAACAGAACACTGCTCTTTTTGATTTTATTTGTACTTTTTGGCCTGGGATATGGGTTTTAAATGGACATTGTCTGTACCAGCTTCATTAAAATAAACAATATTTGTAAAAATCATACTAATGCTTATTTTATTTTAATTGTATAGAAAGAAAAAAATGCCTAAAATAAGGTTTTCTTGCATAAATACTGGAAATTGCACATGGTACAAATTTTTTCTTCATTACTGTACAGTGATGATGTTAATGACTTTGAAGCACTGAAAGTTACTGAAGTGCCTTCTGAATCAAGGATTTAATTAAGGCCACAATACCTTTTTAATACTCAGTGTTCTGTTTTTTTAAAAACTTGATATTCCTGTATGGTGCATATATGATACAGTTACCTAATCATGTTGAATAAATGGGCATGCCAAAAATTCTTACTGGATTTTTATTGATAATTTCAGTTCTTCCTTTAACAAGGTACAAAGTGGTAAGGTTTGGTATATTTTATGTTTTCCTTTTATTTCTTTATATCTTTTTTTTTTTTTTTTTTTTTTTTGAGACAGAGTCTCACTCTGTCACCCAGGCTGGAGTACAGTGGTGTGATCTTGGCTCGCTGGAACCTCTGCCTCCCGGGTTCAAGTGATTCTTCTGCCTCAGCCTCCTGAGTAGCTGGGACTACTCGGGACTGTGCCACTACGTCTGGCTAATTTTTGTATTTTTAGTAGAGATGGGGTTTCACCATGTTGGCCAGGATGGTCTCGATCGCTTAACCTTGTGATCTGCCTGCCTCGACCTACCAAAGTGCTGGGATTACAGGCGTGAGCCACCGTGCCTGGCCCAGCCTTATTTCTTTTTATCTTAAATATTTAAACTTTGTGTAAAATTAAAATATCAGATTAGTTTGTTCCTATTAGAGGGCTTAACTTTTCCTTTTAATGCTAATGAATCACAGAATTTACATCTATGCATACATACAGTCCAGTTTCATGTTATCTCAAATAGAATGTCATCTAACTACTTGAGAAGACCAAATAAAACCCACTTTGAATGCATTTTATAAACTATTATAGCTTACATACCTACTCAAGTCACCTTTTGAGAAAGAGATTGATTGGCTTGATCTTATAATTCTTATGTTTGACCCTAACTGAAAAATTATTTGTATGGTATAAGTTAGAGCTTTTAGATTGTCACCTGATATTTATCATTATGTTCATTGAACAGTGACTAGGAACTAGGCCCATTTTAAGAAAATCCTCATGAGTTGCGTATTTCTGTCAAGATTGAATAACAGATCTGATTGGGTATTTGAACTATGAATCTGTAGTTTGGTATCTTAATTTTGTTTGCGTCTCTGAATGTCTGAAGACGCTCAGGATTTTGGTGGGACTTAGCTACTGGGGAAGTAATTTTCTTGTTTTTAGTTTTTTGGATTTTTCGAAATGCATTGCACTCTGATATGGTTAACTTAAATGTGTGCTTATCTGGTTAGCAGTGCTGATAAAATAGGCATTTCACAACAAAAATTTTAACAGATTATCAGATTTCTGAAGGGACCTTGAATAACATTTAGGGAAGTCACTCTTATCTGGTGCTTGACTGCAACATCCTAAATCTGTAACAAAAGGGAGAAAATAAAGTCAGCAATGGTAATTTCCCCCACAAGGATGTTATCCTCAAGTGTTTGTTCTGTTGTGGGTTGAATTATTTGAGATGCTCCTTTCTTATCTGATTAAGTAGTATTGAATGAATTGATTGAATGAATGAATGTCCAGGTAGGGTCCACAAGCTTGAGAAAACGTTTATATGACATATTTAAGTTCAGTATGACTGATACTATCTAGTGTTTGACTGTTTTATTTCTGTTTAATTTTTACAAAAAAGGAGTTAAAATAAGTATCAAATCTAAGCACATCTAATAACAGCAATACAGACTACAAATAGGTTGGATTTCTGGGTTGTAAAGGTGTAATTTCTGTAGAAAGCAAATACCTTACAAACATTAATGAGGAATTGGAGGGGATTACTTGCAAATATTAAGCTTTTCATCTGTGGACAGTTAAGTATAGAGTAGGGCCAAAAGAAATTTGTGAAAAAATTCAGTTCAGATGCTCTAGATTTAAATAACATCCTTTTATATAACTTGTATGCTAAAAATATCTTTCTTCATTTTGTTAAAGGGATATTTTATTAAATATTAAAAGAGATGTTAAATATCTAATCAAGTCTCATCCTGGGCCAGGCACAGCGGCTCATGCCTGTAACCCCAGCACTTTGGAAGGCTGAGGTGGGCAGATAACTCGAGCCCAGGATTTTGAGACCAGCCTGAGCATCATGACGAAACCCCATCTGTACTAAAAATATACAAATTAGCCAAGTGTGGTGGTACGTGCCTATAGTCTCAGCTACTTGGGAGGCTGAGGTGGGAGGATTGTTTGAGCCCAGGAGGTCAAAGCTGCAGTGAGCTGTGATGGCGCCACTGCACTCTAGTTTGGACGACAGAGTGAGACCCTGTCTTAAAAAAAAAAAAAAAAAACAAAAAACCGCTGGGTGCGGTGGCTCACGCCTGTAATCCCAGCACTCTGGGAGGCCAAGGTAGGCGGATCACAAGGTCAGGAGATCGAGACCATCCTGGCTAACATGGTGAAACCCCGTCTCTACTAAAAATATAAAAAATTAGCCAGGCATGGTGGCGGGGGCCTGTAGTCTCAGCTACTCGGGAAGCTGAGGCAGAAGAATGGCGTGAACCCGGGAGGCGAAGCTTGCAGTGAGCCGAGATCGTGCCACTGCACTCCAGCCTGGGCGACAGAGCGAGACTCCGTCTCAAAAAAAAAAAAAAAGACATCCTGGTAGAGTCAATGTAATTTTTTCAACTGGGGAAATTTTTGTGGGTGGTTAATTCTTCAGGGCACAGGGGCTAAAACTCAAGATTTATTAATGTTCAGGGCTCTAGAATAATGCTGCCCAATAGAACTTCCTGTCATGGAAATATTCTACATCTGTGCTTTCCAATACAGTAGCCGGTAACCACACATGACCACTGAGCACTTGAAATGGGGGTGTTGTGGCTGAAGAATGTTTTAACAAGTTTAAATAGCTACATGCGGCTGGTGCTGTGTACTCAGCAGTGCAGCTCTAGAATCTATACTTCGAGGATGTGAGAATGGCCTCACGAAGCAGCTCATTTTGCTGAAATGAACATTTTTCAAGTGGTTGCAGATATGCATTGTTCTAAATAGACATTACGTTTTAGATTCTTAAGGTGAAATGGTTGTGGTTTTGCTTTATAGAGAGATGTATAATAAAATTCTTTATATATTTGAATATATAAATTTCTCTGCATTACAAAATTTTGCATTACAAAATTTTCATTTATCTAAACTCTTTCAGATACATTGACTGAAATGAAATACTTTGACTATCCTAAGACCACGTTAGTGTTTCAGACTGAAATTATGGGCAGTTTTAGGCACCAAGGCTTCTGGATTTACGTGGTTCTGAAGGACATAAAGGATTTAGGTGAATGAAGAGTTCAGTTGGGTTGAACAAAATGTGTGAGTTGTGGAGGAGTGGTGGAAATGGAGGTTCCAGAGTAGAGAATATCTTAGGTGTGGGTTGAGGTTAAGCAGATGAAATGGAACTAACTAATTGGGCTCAGAATGGAACTTTTTTTTTTTTTTTCTTAAGAGACAGGGTCCCACTCTGTCACCCAGGCTGCAGTACAGTGGCACCGTCATAGCTCAGTGCAGCCTGGAAGTCTTAGGCTCAAGTGATCCTCCTTCAGCCTCCTGAGTAGCTGGGATTACAGGCACACCCCACCATGCCTGGCTAATTTAAATGTTTTTTTATAAAGATGAGGTTTCCACTATGTTGCCTAGGATGGTCTCAAACTCCTGACCTCAAGCAAGCCTCCCGCCTCAGCCTCTCAAAGTGTTGGGATTACATGCATGAGCCACCGTGCCTGGCCCCTAGAACTTTATTATAAAGGGGAATTTCTCCTTTTCTTTCACCATCTCCCAACTTACTTTTTAGTTTTCTTCTAGCCTTAAGGCCTGGGTATTTGTAGGAACTGGAAATAAGAGTAAACCCATGGTCTGGAAATGTTCTGTGTCCACTGCAGGCCACTGGCTTCCTTATGGAGTTCTTGATAGAAATGAAAATGTTTCTCCAAAGCAGCTTTTTGCCTAAGGAGACAACCCCACCCCCAATTCCAATAATGATTAAACACCCTAGAAATTGTCCTTATAAGCCAGCAAGATAACTTTAGATTTGAATAATTATCAGTTAGACTTCGGGCTGTTGATCTTGGATTTCAGTGGAAGATCATACTCTTCATTTAGTAAATTTACATACAAGGTTTGGAGTACCATGAGCCTCCTACTGGAAAAGTAAAAAGAGAGGCATAATTCACAGTTCTTACACTGCTGGAAAGGACTCCCTCATTTAAGAGATGAGGAAACGGGCCAGGTGCAGTGGCTCATGCCTGCAATCGCAGCACTTTGGGAGGTAGAGGCAGGCAGATAGGCCAGGTGTTTGAGATCAGCCTGAGCAACATGGTGAAATCCCGTCTCTACTAAAAATACAAAAACTGCGGCGGCAGCGCCACTCAGGCGTTGGGTAACGCTAGACAGATGGACTGTCACGTGACATGAAGTGGCTCCGAACAGGAAGAGGACGGAAAAGATAACCGTCCCTGATGCCGAGACGAACCGGACCTGCAGCCACCATGAACAGCAAAGGTCAATATCCAACACAGCCAACCTAGCCTGTGCAGCCTCCTGGGAATCCAGTCTACCCTCAGACCTTGCATCTTTCTCAGGCTCTACCCTATACTGATGCTCCGACTGCCTACTCAGAGCTCTATCATCCAAGCTTTGTGCACCCCAGGGGCTGCCACAGTCCCCACCATGTCGGCCGCTTTCCTGGAGCCTCTCTGTATCTTCCCATGGCCCAGTCTGTGGCTGTTGGGTCTTTAGGTTCCACAATCCCCATGGCTTATTATCCAGTTGGTCCCATCTATCCACCTGGCTCCACAGTGCTGGTGGAAGGCGGGTATGATGCAGGTGCCAGATTTGGAGCTGGGGCTACTGCTGGCAACATTCTTCCTCCACCTCCTGGATGCCCTCCCAGTGCTGCTCAGCTTGCAGTCATGCAGGCAGCCAATGTCCTCGTAACTCAGTGGAAGGGGAACTTCTTCATGGGTGAATCAGATGGTGGCTACACCATCTGGTGAGGAACCAAGGCCACCTTTGTGCCGGGAAAGACATCACATACCTTCAGCACTTCTCACAATGTAACTGCTGTAGTCATATTAACCTGAAGTTGCAGTTTAGACACATGTTGTTGGGATGTCTTTCTGGTGCCCCAACTTTCAGGCACTTTTCACATTTAATGAGGAACCATGTAATGGTAGCAGTAACTCTCTGAAGCATTTTGAGGTAAGGGAGGTATCCATTCATAAAATGAATGTGGGCGAAGCTGCCCTAAGGATCTTCCTTTAATTTGGAGTAATACTGTGCCATACTGGTCTTTGCTGTTAGTAATAAAACATCAAATTAGGTTTGGAGGGAAACTTGATCTTCCTAAGAATTAAAGTTGCCAAATTACGGCCAGGCGCGGTGGCTCACGCCTGTAATCCCAGCACTTTGGGAAGCTGAGGCAGGCGGATCACTTGAGGTCGGGAGTTCGAGACAAGCCTGACTAACATGGAGAAACCCCGTCTCTACTAAAAATACAAAATTAGCCGGGCGTAGTGGTGCATGCCTGTAATCCCAGCTACTCAGGAGGCTGAGGCAGGAGAATTGCTTGAATCTGGCAGGCGGAGGTTGCGGTGAGCCGAGATCACACCATTGCACTCCAGCCTGGGCAACAAGAGCGAAACTCCGTCACCAAAAAAAAAAAAAAAGTTCCAAAATTATTCTGATTGGTCTTTAATCTCCTTTAAGTCTTTGATTTATATTACTTGTTATAAATGGAACGCATTAGTGTGTGCCTTTTCCTTTACATCCCTTGCCCCACCCATCCCATCTCCAACCCTAGTCTTCCATTTCCTCCCGCCAGTCTCCATTGAATCAATGGTGCAGGACCGAAAGCCAATTTCCTTCTTTCCTTGTACTTCTCCCCACTGGTCATCTTTTAACTAGTCTTTCATAAGGATCCTCTGAAACCCCCTCTGTGCCCCAAGCACAGATCCCGTTACTTCTGCTTTCGTATTTCCTCAGGCAAAAATGGAGGGTGCCTTTTGGGTCCTCCTCATAGGTTGTCTCTGCATACATGAACCTAACCCAAATTTGTTTTGGTGCCAGAAAAACTGAGCTATGTTTGAACAAAGATATCCTGCAGACTGTACTGTGAACAACAGTTAGTTTAAAATATGAGAGGTGGCTGGGTGCAGTGGCTCACGCCTGTAATCCCAGCACTTTGGGAGACTGAGGTGGGTGGACCACGAGGTCAAGAGATTGAGACCATCCTGGCCAACATGGTGAAACCCCCCGTCTCTACTAAAAATACAAAAATTAGCTGGGCGTGGTGGCATGCGCCTGTAATCCCAGCTACTCAGGAAACTGAGGCAGGAGAATCGCTTGAACCGGGGAGGCAGAGGTTGCAGGGAGCCAAGATTGCGCCACTGCACTCCAGCCTGGCAACAGAGTGAGACTCCGTCTCAAAAAAAAAAAAAAAAAAAAAAAAAAAAATTATGAGGGGCAAGGAGGAAGATGCATTTCAAAAGCCTGATTGATGGTTTAAAGCCAAATTAAGAGGAGTTTTCAGATCAAAAATTGGTTACCATTTTTTGTCAGAGTGTCTGATGCAGCCACTCATTTGGTCCCCCAAAATTCCTGGAGTGGGTTAATAGGGTCATATTGTGAATGCCTCACTACAAAACGACTTGAATCCAGTGAAATCTCATTAGGGTTAAGAATATTTCAGGGATCCTTAATGTTTTGATTTTTGTTTTCTGAAATTGGATTTTATTTTGTCTTAAAATTTCAGTTCATCTAAATTGTGAGTTCTGTACATGTGATGTTTGTACCGTTGACTGTTCTGGAAGTTCAGCATTGTATGTCTCTCTCTACACTGTAGTGCAGTTAACTTGTGGAATTTTTATGCTAAAAATGTAGAATAAAGACTATTTTGAAGATTTGAAAATAAAAAAAATAAAAAATACAAATATAAAAACTAGCCAGCATGGTGGCCCGTGGCTGTACTCCCAGCTACTTGGGAGGCTGAGGCACAAATCTCTTGAATCTGGGAGGTGGAGGTTGCAGTAAGCCAACATTGTGCCACTGTACTCCAGCCTGGGCAACAGAGTGAGACTCTGTCTCAAAAAAAGGGGGTTGGGGTGAGGAAACGGGCCAGAGAAGTTAAAGTACCTGGGCCAGTGTCACACAGTGAAGATGAAATAAAGCCAGTTAGTATCAAATTCTCCTGAGTCTTGGTAGAGTGAGGCTCTTCCCCTCATTCCTTTAGTTATTTGGTTTTCTGCTTTCGGCTACTTGGACTAGCCTTATAAATTGCCCAGATTTCTCTTGGATGACCGTCAGTTTTCTTCTCGTGTGGAAAGTTGGAACTCCCAATAGTTTGCCTGTGGTCTCAATATTTAGGAAGCTAATTCTGCTTCTATGGTACATGGAATACATAATTTTGAAATGGAGTCAGGGCTTTCCTAATGATCCATTTTGTAATTCACCTAACAGCTGAGGAAGGTCCAGAGAAGGAAGAACTCAAGGTTAGTAGACAAACTTGATATTGAGTTGCACTGGCTGCCTTCTCTTTTTGGTCCCCTAAAGAGTATTTATCATCTTAGATTCAGCTTAAGTTGTGGACAAATATCAAGGGGAAAAGTATTTACAGTTAACGTTGGAATCACACGGTTTTCGGGGTTGTGCCTCTTTACCCTTCAACTTTGGTGGTTCTAAAGAGGGACGATTATTAGTTGCTTTCACTAAGGAAGGGAAGTTCATGATGTAGCAACTATAGAGGACCTAGCTTTTAAAAAGTCAATTGAAATACATACCTCAGTTTTTATTATCAGAAAGATGCAATGATAATCACTAGTGTAGGAGAATAAAGGGGGAAAATTCCCCTGGCCCTGGATAACTTTGATTCTGTGCTTTTTCTTCTAACAAGGCCCTCATGTTAGATCTGGTCTTGGGGCCACATCCCTAACTTCATCTGGAAGTATTCTTTGCCCTTTGTCCACTTCATTCCATCCATACTGTCTTTTATTCTTCCAACATGCCAGTCTCATTTCTTTCTTCAGACCTTTGTATTTACTGTTTACTTGCTGGAATATTTTTCTCTCAGATGTTTATGTGGCTCTTTGTTATTCAAGTTTCACCATATATGACACCTCTTTTGAGAGGTCTTGCCCTGGCTAGCCAATTAAAATGAGCCACTTGCAATCCTATCAAATCCTTTTTTTTTTTTTTTTTTTTTTTGAGAAAGAGCCTTGCTCTTGTCGCCCAGGCTGGAATGCAATGGCACGATCTCAGCTCACTGCAACCTCTATCTCCCAGTTTCAAGCAATTCTCCTGTCTCAGCCTCCCGAGTAGCTGGAATGACAGGTGCCTGCCACCATGCCCAGCTGCTTTTTGTATTTTTAGTAGAGATGAGGTTTCACCATGTTGACCAGGCTGGTCTCAAACTCCTGACCTCAGGTGATCCACCCGCCTCAGCCTCCCAAAGTGCTAGGATTACAGGCATGAGCCACTGCACCCGGCAGCCCCTGCCTTTTTTTTTTTTTTTTTTTTAAAGAGAGTCTTGCTCTGTCACCCAGGCTGGAGTGTGGTGACTTGATTTTAGCTCACTGCCGCTTTGACCTCCCAGGTTCAAGTGATCCTCCTGCCTCAGCCTCCCATGTAGCTGGGACCACAGGCATTCACCACCACACCTGGCTAATTTTTTGATTTTTTTTGTAGGGATAGGGGTTTCACTTAGTTGCCTAGGCTGGTCTTGAACTCCTGAGCTCAAGTGATTCTCTCTTCTTGGTCTCCCAAAGTGCTGGAATTAACATGTGTGAGCCACTGTGCCCGGTGTCCTATCACATCGTTAAATTTTTTCTGCATAGCATTTATTGCTAGCTTTAAAAAATATTTGTTTAGAGTCTGTCTCCATTCCCACCCCTAGAATGTAAATATGATGGGAAGAGAGACCTTCTCTGTCTTGCTTACTCCTGAATTCCTAGTGTCTAGAACAGTGTTTGGCACATAACAGGCACTCAGTAGATATCAAGACAGGCAGTGGGTTCGAAATCAGGGGGTCTTAGATCTGGTCTTGGCATTGTCCCTAAGTCACTGTTTGTCTGTGATCAAGATCCTTTCCCTCTTTGGGACTTGCTTTTTTCATCTATAAACTAGGGGGTTGACGTAGATATCTCCAAACTCCCTTGTAGATTCATTACAACTTCATTAAGCTACAAAGGAATCCTTGACATTTGCAGCAAAAGAATCCCTCTATGCCTTTCAGTCTTCCAAGCCATGCTGGGGGTGGGGGGACTTTTCTTGTCTAAAGGCAGTGCAAAGCTAGCACTAGCACTGGACAGTGAAGCCCTTGAACCATCCCCCTATGGCAACTGTTGCCCAAATATCCAGTACCTGGCTTGTTCCTGGGCTTGTTTCGTGGCTTCTTCCAGAGCCAGTCTTGCTGCTTCCTCTTCTTTTTGCCTCCTCTCCTCTGCCTCCAGCCGAGCCTTCTCTTCTGCTTCCTGTTTCCGCCGCTGGTACTCCAGTCGTTCCTCTTCAGCCATTTCCATCAGGTGTTTTTGTTCTTCTTCTAACTGCATTTCCAATTCCTCTTGCCTTTGCTTCTCTGCCTCTGCAGAATAGAAAAGGGGGTGGGCTCAGCAGGGATCATTTTTAGGGAAAACAATTTTCGGATCCAACTCTCAAATCTGTGATTCTGAAGGACTCCCCGTGAGAAATTTTGCAGTTGACCTGCTAGCAGGCTGCCAGATCCTCTCTGGGGAGTACCTTGGGGATTAATTTACTAATTTAAGAGTCCTTTATTAATACAAAGCCTTAGGGAAGAATTTTTCCAGAGCCCGGTGTGCTTATGTGGTGGTATGAAGCTGGGTTGGGGAGCGGTGTCAAATCAGGGTCTAGAGAAACTTGGTGCTTCCTGGCCGGGCGTGGTGGCTCACGCCTGTAATCCCAGCACTTTGGGAGGCCGAGGCGGGCGGATCACGAGGTCAGGAGATTGAGACCATCCTGGCTAACACGGCGAAACCCCGTCTCTACTAAAATCACAAAAAAATTAGCGGGGCGTGGTGGCAGGCGCCTGTAGTCCCAGCTACTCGGGAGGCTGAGGCAGGAGAATGGCGTGAACCTGGGAGGCGGAGCTTGCAGTGAACCGAGATCGCGCCGTTGCACTCAAGCCTTGGCGACAGAGCGAGACTCTGTCTCAAAAAAAAAAAAAAAAAAAAAAAAAAGAAAAGAAAAGAAAAGAAACTTGGTGCTTCCTCAGCTGGACTGACCAGTCTACAGCCAGAACCAGGAAGTAGCCACAGTTTTGTCTGCTGAAGTTCCTATCTCTTCCTCAAAGGTGAGGCTGGACCCAGCAATCCCACTACTAGGTATATATCCAAAGGAGAGGAGATGAGCATGTTGAGGAGATACTTGCACCCGTGTGTTTATTGCTGCACTCTTCCCAACAGCCAAGATACAGAATCAATATAAATGTCCATCAATAGATGAGTGGATAAAGAAAATGTGGTATATATATACATGATGGAACACTACTTATCCATAAAAAGAATGAAATTCTGTCTTTTATGACAATGTGAATGATCCTAGGAGGACTTACATTAAGTGAAATAAGCCAGGCATAGAAAAATAAATAACACATTTTTACTCATGTGAAAGCGAAAAACATTGATCTCATGGAAATAGAGAATAGAATAGTGGTTACTAGAGGCAGGGAAGGGTAGGGGGTTGGTGGAGGTGGGTAGGGAGAGGTTGGTTAAAGACTACTAAATTACAGCTGGATAGAAGGAGTAAGTTCTAGTGTTCTATAGCACTGTAGGCAACTGTAACAATAACTTATATTTTCAAATAGCTATAAGAGTGCAGTTTTTTTCTTTTTTCTTTTTTTTTTTAGACAGAGTCTTGCTCTTGTCACCCAGGTTGGAGTGCAGTGGCACTATCTCAGCTCACTGCAACTTCCGCCTCCTGGGTTCAAGTGATTCTCCTGCCTCAGCCTCCCAAGAAGTAGCTGGGACTACAGGCACACACCACTACACCCAGCTAATTTTTGTATTTTTAGTAGAGACGGGGTTCTGCCATGTTGGCCAGGCTGGTCTTGAACTCCTGACCTCAGGTGATCCACCTGCCTAGGCCTCCCAAAGTGCTGGGATTATAGGTGTGAGCCACCACACCTGGCTAGAAGAGTGGATTTTGAATGTTCCCAACACAAATGATGAATGTTTGAAGTGATGGATATGCAAATTACCCCAATTTGATAATTACATATCATATATGTGCCAAACGGTCACACTGTACCCTGTAAATATGTACAATTATTGTTGTCAATTAAAAATAACTAATAATTGGGCTGAGCACGGTGGCTCACACCTGTAATCCCAGCACTTTGGGAGGCCAAGGCAGGCAGATCATGACGTCAGGAGTTCGAGACCAGCCTGGCCAACATAGTGAAACCCCATCTTTACTAAAAATACAAAAAATTATCTGTGCATGGTGGCGGGCGCCTGTAATCCCAGCTACTTGGAAGGCTGAGGCAGGAGAACTGCTTGAACCTGGGAGGCAGAGGTTGCAGTGAGCTGAGATCACATCATTGCACTCCAGCCCAGGCAATAGTGTGAGACTCGGACTCAAAAAAACAAAAACAAAAACAAACAAACAAAAAACTAATAATTTTTTAAAAAGAGGCTGGCAAGATTCCACACATCAGCACCTGAAAGTCTGCCCTGAAGCTATCCAGATGTTTGTGGCTGTTTCCATCTGCTCGGGAAGGAAGCAAAGAGTAGGGCTGTGTCTCCAATTTAGGTAGCTCTTGAGCAATGCCGAAAGGGCAAAGGGACTCTGGAGTCATTTCCACAAGCAAGTCATTACTTTCTTATTTAAATCTATATTAACAAATTATAGTCATACATAATCACTTTGAAAAATAGTTTATATTATTTAGAGTGCTTAACACACTAAGGCCTAGGATAGGAATAAATGAACACTCACAGCTGGATAAAAGTGTTTCTGCCCCAAGTAGAAGAGAGATGCAAAGAGCTCAAGAACCCCCTCACCGGCCCTCTCGGCTTCCTCCTGCTGCTTTTTTCTCTGTAGTTCTCGCAGTTTCCTCCGAAACTCCTCTTGCTGTTGCCGGGCTCTCTCCTGGGCTGCTTTCAACCGGAGCTGCTGCTTTCTCTCCTCCTCCTCCTGCCGCTGCTGTTCTTCTTGGAGTCTCTGTTTCCTCAAGCTGAGAAAACCCAAGATGGTCAGGGAAATGGCAGAAAACACTGAGGCATCCTTGTGAGATGAGCCAACAGACAGTGCCCATGGGGGAGGCTCTGCAGCCCACAGGCCACAGGGAGCAACCTATTCCCAGGAGACTCAGTTTTCCAAGGGAAGCCAGGATTGAAGAGCAAAGAGCCCAGCGGGCTTGAAACCAGAAGCCTAGAAGTTTCAGTACACAGCTCTGTGCTCTGCAGCAGGGGTCTTAAGTTCATTTTTCATGCTTATGGATTTCAAAACTCTTGCCTCACAGGGTTGTGAAGATTAAATTGCAGTTGAGGCCTGTGAAAGGGCCTAGCACAGTGCAGACCACAAAGTGCAGGGGCTTGACAAGTGTTTTCTGGACTGAATCTCAGAGCCTTCCCAAGAAGATCTCAGGGTCATCAATGTGAGTAACCCTCACATGGGGTTCTAAACTTGAAAGAGAGTGACATTCAGCAGAGTGTACCAATGCACATGGTTGAGACGCTACAGTTTATCTCTGGTGAGTGTTGTTCCTAGGAAAACTGAGGATAGAGAAAAATGACACATGCTATTTTAACTTCAGGGCATGAGCCTCAGAACCAAACATTGCCCCTAGGGGAGGTCAACCACTGTCTTTTTCTTCTGCTTCCTAACATGGCTGTAGTCTCTTTGGCTTGCCCAACCTACCGGATCTCTTCTGTACGTCTCTGCTGCTCCAGCTCCAGCTCCTCCTCCATCTTTTTTGCTCTCTCCAGCTGCTCCTGCTGGAGCTGCCTTTGCTCTTCCTGCTCCCTTCTCTTCTTCTCCACCTCCAGCCACCTCATCTCGGCTCTTTCTGCTCGAAGCCTGTCCCAGGAAGCCTTCTCCTGCTCCCTCTTAGTGAGGAGGGCCTAAGAAACCAGAGTGTTCTCAGTGCAATAAACAGATGGGTCTGTCTCAGCAGTGAGCCCTTCTCCACCCCAGACAGTGTTGTCTCTAATCAAAGATGGAATCATAAAACAGACTCCACACTTTGCCCACAGCTGCATAGACTCAGCCACCACCAGCTTGGACTTTTGGGTCTGATTAACCTGGATTCAACTCTCTCTCTTACTTGCTTTGGGATTTAGGGATCACAACTTAAACTTCCCGATATTGTCTTCCTCATGGTACTGTTGCCAGGATTAGCTGAAATAATGAAAGTGCCAACATAATGTCCAGTACATGGTAGGTTCTAGAGTTCTCAACCATGGCTGCACTTTAGAATCACCCAAGGAGCTTTCAAAAATTACTTGTGGCTGGGTGCAGCAGTTCATGCCTGTAATCCCAGCATTTTGGGAGGCTGAAGTGGGAGGATTGCTTGGGCCCAGGGGTTCAAGGTAACAAGTCACCTATGATCATGCCACTGCACTCCTGGGTGGCAAAGCAAGACTCTGCCTCAAAAATATAAAAACAAGGGGCCGGGCATGGCTCATGCCTGTAATCCTAGCACTTTTGGAGGCTGAGGTGGGTAGATCACCTGAGGTCAGGAGTTCCAGGCCAGCATGGCCAACATGGAGACACCCTATCTCTACTAAAAATACAAAATTAGCCAGGTATGGTGGCACGTGGCTGTAATGCCAGCTACTTGGGAGGCTGAGGCAGGAGAATTGCTTGAACCCGGGAGGCAGAGGTTGCGGTGAGCCGAGATTGCGCCATTGCACTCCAGCCTGGGCAAAAAGAGTGAAGCTCCCTCTAAAAAAAAAAAAAAAAAAAAAGAAGCTATTTTACCAGGGGCAATCTTAGGTATAGATGGGTCAGATTCACATTTAATCCCACAGAAACTCACCTTTCCAATGGAAGGTTGTTCTTTCAGTTTATAGGAAGGTTGTCATAGCTTTCTTTTTCTCCCTAGTGCCTCTTCCTCAGAAATATGCCTATGAAGGGAACCTTGAGAGGCAAGCCTTCTAGGAACTCTGTGTATCCAACTCAGAGAAAAAGCTCCTTGCTTTTTAGTCTTTGCAGAGGCAGCATAGTATTATGGATTGACAATAAATCTAAGAAATGCTGATGATCCCGCAGGTTCAGAAAAGTTCGGCCCATAGGTTAAAATTTTCATCTGTTGTGCAGAGCCGAATTGTGTGATCCAGGAAGCTGGGAGGGACTGAGAACTATAAAGGAAAATCTTCCTGGAATCCTTTTTGGAAGACCATGAGCCATAAAATAAGTAAATAGATAATAATTTAAAATGGTGACAAGAGTCCTGAAGTTGGAGTCAAAGGACCTAAGCTTAAGTCTTGGCTCTACCACTCAATGGTTGTGCAATTTCTGGCAACCTGCATTTAACTCTTTCTAGTTTCTATTTCTGGATCTGTAAAATGGGGCTAATCATACCTGGCTCACAAGTGTGGTAAAGGTTAATGTAACATATGTGAGTTTAATTGTAGTGGCTTAGCTGTGTGTGCATTTGTAGTGTTTAAAGCTACTTTTTAATTTTTTTGTATAAGATGTCAAAATGAAGTTCAGTACCTTAGTCTCAGGGGAAGAAATAGTAATTTATTCCAACAGCAGAGGAAAGATTGGCCGTTTTGGTCTTACTGACAGATGATGCATCTATATGGTATTCTTTTTTAGTTAGTTGCAGGGATTTTCTTTTTTCTTTTTTTTCTTTTTTTTTTTGGTTAGAGATAGATAGAGTCTTGTTCTGTTGCTCAGGCTGGAGTGTAGTGGCATAATCATAGCTCACTGCAGCCTCAAACTCCTGATCTCAAGCAATGCTCCTGCCTTGGCCTCCCAAAGTGCTGGGTTTACAGGCATGCGCCACTGCATCCGGCCGAATTGCAGCAATTTTCAAGGGTAATTTTTCCTTACACTCAGTTTTTCTCTTCAGACCTCCACATTAGAAGCAAGGTCCCTGGAACAAAGTGACTCTTACATCTTGTGGTTTTGTTTTTTTTAGATGGAGTCTCTCTCTGTCGCCCAGGTTGGAGTGCAGTGGTGTGATCTCGGCTCACTGCAACCTCTGCCTCCCAGGTTCAAGCAATTCTCCTGCCTCAGCCTCCCAAGTAGCTGGGATTACAGGCGTGCACCACTGTGCCTGGCTAATTTTTGTATTTTTAGTAGAAACGGGCTTTCCCTATGTTGGCCAGGCTGGTCTTGAACTCCTGACCTCATGATCCACCCTCCTCAGCTTCCCAAAGTGCTGGGATTACAGGCGTGAACTACCATGCCCGGCCCAAAAGCATCTTGTAAAAGCAGGTATATGTGTACAGGCTGCCTCTCTCTATTCCAGCTGCATACCGCAGAAACGCAGATTAGGAAAGTAGGAATTTCCACAGCCTTTGGAAGGCAAGTAATAGATGAGCCCTAGCCTGAGTCAAGGAAATATGCTCAGCTCTGACAGCCAGTACCCACCTTTCCCTGTAACCATGAGTCCTGCACCTCTCAGAGATGGGTGCTGTGATCATTTCCTATTCTTTAAAGGGTGGATACTTGCCCTGGCAATGTGGGGGCCTCACAGAATGCATCACCACTTCAGAGGGGCTTTGCTACCCCTGCATCTTTGATCAGGTCTGGCTTCTTACTAGGGTCAGAAGATACCAAAGTAGAACAATAAGACCATTAGGTGGTCGAGCTGTTTTAGTAAGTGCAATATAATTAGGGGCAGCTTTCCCATCTTTGCAGTCGCGCCAAGTGAGAACAGAACTTCCTCTGTCAAGCTGAGGACATCAGACCCTACCTTGGAAGGGTCCTCACATCTTCTCTCTTCTTTAGATTCCATGTTGCCAGTGACAGTTGCAATCTGAGAGGGTGATGATCTTCCATCTAGAGAAACTTGGCTTTCCTGGGCATCATATTTGGGAGAAAGCCAAGGGTCCTCTACAAAGGAGTCTGAGGCAAAGGAACCTCTATTTGAGGTGTCTTCTGTTTCCTCATAGCTGACATCAGGCCCGCTCAGCTCTGCCGCTATCTCCAGATTTCTTTCCTTCTGTGTCCTTTTCCTTTGGGGTCTTGTTTTTTTTTCTAATTTTTTTTTAGCCTTTGAGTCCTTTGACTTTCCTGGGGGAGAACAATTGGGGATAGAGATATAGCTGAGTTAACTTAATGTGATCACTATACATCCTTTTTAGTAACTTTTTTTTTTTGAGACAGGGTCTTGCTCTGTCACCCAAGCTGGAGAGCAGTGGCACGATCATGGCTCACTGCAGCCTCGAACTCCTGGGCTTGTGATCCTCCCACCTCGGCTTCCTGAGTAGCTGGGACTGCAGGCACACCACCATGTCTGGCTAATTTTTGTATTTTTTGTAGAAACAGGGTTTTGCCATGTTGCCCAGGCTAGTCTCAAATCCCTGAGCTCAAGCAATCCACCCACCTCAGCCTCCCAAAGTGATGGGATTACAGGTGTGCGCCACCGTGCCTGGCCCCTTTTTAGTAACTTTTAAAAGTTAGCATGCAATGGAATCACCTGGGGTGCAGATTCCTAAGCCCCAGCCCCAGAATCTGGTTCAGTGGGAATCTGCATTGTAACAAACACCCCAAGTGTTTTGGGAAGAGTAGTTCACACACCACCGTTTGAGAAACTACCTTATCCTCTTTGGATCAACTGACATTCAGCAGTCTTGCTATTAAATAAGTTCTATTTCAGCCGGGCGTGGTGGCTCACACTTGTAATCCCAGCACTTTGGGAGGCTGAGGCGGGCAGATCACGAAGTTAGGAGTTTGAAACCAGTGTGGCCAATATGGTGAAACCCTGTCTCTACTAAAAATACAAAAATTAGCTGGGTGTGGTGGTGGGTGCCTATAATCCCAGGTACTCGGGAGGCTGAGGCAGAAGAATTGCTTGAACCCAGGAGGCGGAGGTTGCAGTGAGCCGAGATCATGCCACTGCACTCCAGCCTGGGTGACAGAGCGAGACTCCATCTCAAAAAAAAAAAAAAGGTTCTATTTCACTCTGACTTATGGTGGGGGCAGGACCGTCCGGAGGGTAGGCTTGTACACACAGCTGGAAAGTCATACCTTGAGAGTCTGGCTTGAGGTTGCAGCTTTGTAACCTGGCAAAGTTCAGCCTTCCGTACTCTAAGGACCCTTCCTTCGCTTCACCTTTGGTAGGGGCACCACAAGTATTTCCTTTGCCTAATTCCACCAATGCTACCCAAGTCATGGGCTACAAAAATGTAAATTCAGCAAGAGATGAACAAGCAAATGTCAAAAATAGGTTTCACTCAGGAGTGTATCCATTGTTGTCCTTTCTAGCAGCACTGGATTTGTTTGGAGGGTCTTCTGAATCATGTGGGCAGTAAAGGATGGGTGTAAGTTTTAGGCTAAAGAAAGTGTTCAGAAGCAAAGGAATCCGAGTTCCTGGTCAGGCTCAACATAGGGAACCAAGACAGAAACCGTAGCTTGGAGGATCATTCAACACTTGTGGCATCCTTCCCCTTCCCAAATGCTCTCACTACCCAATACTCTGATTATGTGATATAGTTATTATTTTATGGAGGCAGTGGCAATAGAATCTGCTGGGAGTCAAATAGGAAAGGACAAGCCCTGGGTCTACCACTTTACTGTCTGATCTACTTGATATTATGTAAGTCACCCAACCTTGCTCAGCCTCAGTTGCTACATGAATATAATAATAACACTTCCTTCATGGAGATGTTGTGAGGATTTAATGAGATCACATATACAGAGTCCTAATAAATAAGAGTAGGTATTCAGTAAATAGGTGCTCTTATTATTATAATTTCCTTTCTTGGTGATCACAGGCCTCTAGGCTCCCCGTTTTCCTGTATCTCTGTCTATTAAGATACTGATATGACATAAGGCTGCAACACCATCTTGGCTGTAGTAGTCAAGAAGTCTCAAAACAGAGAGTTTGTCCGGTAGGATCCATGCTAATTATCCATACCACCTCCCGACCCCTAACAGAAGTCTTCTCCAGGTTGTTACTTGCAGGCACACTCTCTTACCAATGGCAGCCTCTGCTTGCCCGTAGACCTTTCCTTCTCTCTCGCTTTTGGGTCCTTTGGTTTTGTCTTTCTTGGGTTTTTCCTTTCTCTTGGCCTCGTTAATCAAATCCCTCTCCTAAAGGTGAAAAATCAAGGAAGGGGACCATAATATGTATAGGAAATGAAAAAATCCATCAAAGAAGATTATGTTGAACAAGGTGACACACTGGCTTAGAATGGAATTTGTGTGGGTTCCAGGTAAAGCAGAAGAGTGAATCTTAGAGAATGCAGAGCCGATGGGGAGACTCAGAGGTTCAGCCTTTGATGTAAAACTGCTAGAAATAATTTCATAAGAGGAAAGAGGAAGAAAAAACACTTATGGTCTGCCTCCTTTCTTAGATTCTAAATCATGATTCACAGAGCTGGATCAAAGGGAAAGAGTTTTCACCTTTGATAGATTGGTGTTGCCATGATTAATGGTTAACTATTCTAAATCAAAGCCAGCTTTATTCACTGCAGAATGATTTGCTAACTTTCAGGAAACCTCAGGCAGATGACCACAACTATGTCAGTCTTCACCTTTCCCCATGGGCTAGAATAACACAGTGGTTCCTCCTAAGAGAGGATGGCAGAGTGGGGTCATGACTACCCACTCAGTACCTTTGTAGGAATTAGAAATGGGGCCAGGTGCAGTGGCTCACGCCTGTAATCCCAGCACTTTGGGAAGCTCAGGCAGGTGGATCACTTGAGGTCAGGAGTTCGAGACCAGCCTGGCCAACATGGTGAAACCCTGGCTGTACTGAAAAAATACAAAAATTAGCTGGGACTGGTGTCACATGCCTGTAATCCCAGCTACTCAGGAGGCTGAGGCAGGAGAATCACTTGAACCTGGGAGGCGGATGTTGCAGTAAGCCGAGACCGCGCCACTGCACTCCAGCCTGGGCAACACAGTGAGACTGTGTCTCCAAAAAAAAAAGGAATTAGAAATGATGTTCCATCCTTCAGGAGGATGCAGCCCAATGTGGCTGTGCAGGGCTTGGTAAGCAGACCACAGGCTGGACCTCAGTGCCCCCCTCATCCCCTTTATCGGGTGCCCTCATATAGTGAGCAATCTATACAACTGTGCATGGTATCCTTGATGAGATCCAAGTAGGGCTTTTGGACCAAGCTTTTAGGGGTTTACACTCACATGACTGATGTTGGCTGATGTCTCCTGGCTAAACAGTCTTGGTTCAGCCTTCCCTTCTCTTTCTCTTGGAAGAAGAGATGTATACACAGCACTCAACCTCTCGGGTGACTCAGGCCCGTATCCCAGAAGTCCTCTGTGTAGGTGGTGTACATCATAATCTCTGCCCCTTTGAAAAGAGCAAACCAACAGGACCAAACTAAAGAAAAACTCTGGTGGAAAGAAAGAGGGCAAGTGAGCCAACATCGAGCACCTGTTCTCTGCAGGCACTGTGCCTGACATTTGACATACTTAGTCAACTCTTTTTCTTCTGCACATCCCATGGTAAGGAAGATGAGAAAGATTGGTCTTCACTTTAGGGATTTCCTCAGAATAAATCCTAAAATTTAGAGAGTGGGATAAATTGTTTGCTCTTTGGGGTTGCATATTTATGCTTTTAATTGAATGGCATAGAATTATTTAACTGAAATTTCTTCTATCAAAGGATTAGCTGGAAAAAGAAAGTGACCTTTAAGAAAGATTGTGTTAGGAACATGTAACTATCCATTCATTCCTTTATGCCCTCTGAATTCTTTTCATTTTTTTTTTTTGAGACGGAGTCTCGCTCTGTCGCCCAGGCTGGAGTGCAATGGTGCGATCTGGGCTCACTGCAACCTCCACCTCCCGGGTTCTAGCGATTCTCCTGCCTCAGCCTCCCCAATAGCTGGGATTACAGGCGCCCACCACCACGTCCGGCTAATTTTTGTATTTTAGTAGAGATGGGGTTTCACCATGTTAGTCAGGCTGGTCTCAAACTCCTGACCTTAGATGATCCACCAGCCTCAGCCTCCCAAAGTGCTGGGATTACAGGCATGAGCCACCACGCCTGGCAATATGCCCTCTGAATTCTATCCTTGATCAAATTCAGCCACTAAAAGGTCATGTGCTGTGTTGGTTTTATCCATTGTAGAATTGCTGTCACTCACTGTTTGCCCTGAGGATAACTGACTTATGCCCTCTGGGTAGAAAGGGCACTGAAAAGCAGCCACGTGGATTGCAGCAATATCAGTTACTGTGTGCCTGCTCTGTGCCAGGTCTGGTTCTGGGCATTTTATTTTATTTTTTTTAGCTAAATGAGTATTCTCTTTACTGTGCTCTGCTAGCACGGGGCCTTACTGTAGAAACTTGAGAAATATTTGTTGAATGAGGTGAATGGAATTTCCTGTAAATATATGAGACTTTAAATCATTCAATGTCACTCTATAAAAGCCTATACGAGAAGTCTCCTTTAGAATTTAGTGCTTGGAAAACCTTTAATTTCCCTGAGGAATAGGTATGCTGCAAATGAGAACCACAAACCTGATTGTTTTGCTCTTTTTTTTTTTCAGAAATCTGTAGGTCAGGAATCCCTCTGTCAAGCCTGAAATTAAGTCACAAAGGCTATGATGACTTTTGTGAAAAGTTTGTGTTTTTTTCTCCTGATTTAAAAAAATTTTTGTGTTTTTTGGTGGAGGTGGTTGTCATAAGCATTTAAAATACATTGTGAGAAAAGATCAGGTATAAAATTCTAAAAATGGTGTTCCTCTGGTGGCTGTCTCATTCATCCAAGTGCCTTTCCCCCTTTATTCCTGGGGAACACAAAACCTTTTTGACCTAGGAGGGAATCCTTACATCCCTGGGCAGGTGACAGCAGGTTCTCAAGTCATCGAGGTTTTTGGGAAGTCACAATAGGCTGTGGTTCCAGATGGAGGCAGAGAGGCCACGCCAGCTGCCACTACCAAAGTAGCTTAAGTCAAAACACTACGCCTGACTGGCTGGGCTCACAGTAAGCGCGTAAGTACAGTACATGGGAAGCACTCAATACGGGCTAGCAATTATTATTAATATTGGTGTTAAGATTATCAGCATTATTTATTTTACTCAGAGCTGACTGAATGCTGAGGGGACAAACCCAGGTTGAAGTGATAGATTTCAGCTTTCTAGGCATCTCTGTGGATCTCAGATTGGGCAAATGGAAAGAGCTGTTCCCATAGGGTTAGAGTTAACTTCACTCTTTATCCAACCAGCCAAATAAATATGATTTAGGTAGGAAACATATCACAATATAATCATCCTCAAGAATCTTTGTTTCTTAGACAACCATTTAATTTTGGCTGTTAGAGCATACTGTCAGCTGAGAACTCCCATTCCTGTCTGAAAAAAAACCAAACTAAACCAATTAAAAATACAAACAAAATAAAAGCAGAGAAGCCTATGTTATTACAACTTTGAACACTTACACTTTTTGCACAATATCTGCTTCTGGGGTCTGGATGTGCTCAGTCCGGGAAGCCCTGGGAGAGTCAAGGGTCATACTCCTTGGCTCTGGGTCTGTGAAAACAGAGTATCAATCAATAAAGGACAACAGGCAGTTATCCTAGGAGGAGATCAGACATGGAAAAACATCTACCTGGTGAGTAGCCAAAGGCATGCAAATTAGAACAATGACGTATGCTATACCCAGAAAATTAGCAAATACTTCAGAAACCAGGGCTGACACATGGCAAGTAACATTAAAATTAGTATTAAAATATCCTTTGGGAAAGTGATATGACAGTATGTATCAGTGATCAGAAAAATGTTCTAGCCTTTGATCAGGAATCTCACTCCTGGTATTTATCATAAGGAAAGAATTCAAAAGAAGAAACAAGCTTTTGTACCAACTTACTTCTTATTACATTACTTTTTTTTTTTTTTTTTGAGACGGAGTCTTGCTCTGTTGACCAGGCTGGAGTGCAGTGGCGTGATCTCCGGTCAGTGCACCCTCTGTCTCCTGGGCTCAAGTGATTCTCCTACCTCAGCCTCCCGAGTAGCTGGAACTGCAGGTGTGTGCCACCACACCCGACTAATTTTTGTATTTTTAGTAGAGATGGGGTTTCACCATATTGGCCAGGCTGGTCTTGAACTCCTGACCTCGTGATCCACCCACCTTGGCCTCCCAAAGTGCTGGGATTACAGGTGTGAGCCACTGCGCTCAGCCAACATTACTATTAATCATGAAAAATTAGAAACAGCTCAACAAGGGAGACTGGGGGAGTAATTTATGATACATTAACTTGACATTTAAAATTATGGTTAAAAAGATAAATAAGCAATATGGAAAAACTGATATGACAAGTAAAAATATAAACTACAGAATAGTGTGTTAGAACTCTATAAAATCTGGACGGATATGAACTGGAAAACAGAAAAAGGAAATAATAGATAACATTGGGAGGTTTAGGTGTGTTTATATTTTTTCTTAAAGGTTATAACATTGAAAAGCAAGTTGATTTTAAAAAACAAATGTTAGGCTCACGCCTGTAATCTCAACACTTTGGGAAGCCAAGGCAGGCAGATCACCTGGGGTCGGGAGTTGGAGACCAGCCTGGCTAACATGGTGAAACCCCATCTCTACTAAAAATACAAAATTAGCTGGGTGTGGTGGTGGTGCATGCCTGTGATCCCTGCTACTCGGGAGGCTGAGGCAAGAGAATAGCTTGAACCTGGGAGGTGGAGGTTGCAGTAAGTTTAGATAGCACCACTGCACTCCAATGAGCACCACTGCACACCAGTGGAGCACCACTGCACTCCAGTGAGACTGTCTCAAAAAAAAAAAAAAAAAAAATTTAAAAAACCCCCCAAAAACCCCCCAAAAAACAAATGTTAACTTTTTTTTTTTTTTGAGACAGAGCCTTGCTCTGTCGCCCCGGCTGGAGTGCAGTGGCACAATCCCGGCTCACTGCAACCTCAGCTTCTTGGGCTCAACCAATCCTCCCCACCTGTCTCGCAAGTGGCCAGTACCACAGGTGTGCACCACTATACTCGGCTAATTTTTTCTATTTTTCGTATAGACGGAGTCTCACTATGTTGCCTAGGCTGGTCTCGAACTTCTGGGCTCAAGCGATCCGCCCGCCTCAGCTTCCAAAAGTGCTGGGATCACAGGCATGAAGCACCATGCCTGGCCAAAAAAACAAATGTTATCTTATGAGGATATGAGGAAGGGTTACACAGGCCACACAGTTAGTGCTCTTTGCTGGGTGCTCTGCAGACTGTGTTGGGCTACTCTTTTAGAATGAAGAGTCTCCAGACCAAGACTTCATATTGGACTAGTCTACATCTTGTTTTAGTTACTTTAAATAATTTTTTGATTATGGAAGATACATTTTATTGCAGAAAAATTGGAAAACACAAAAAAAATCATAAAGAAGAAACAAAACCCCCACAGTCAACTCATAACTACTAGAATGACTAAAATTAAAGACTGACTGTACTGAGATTTGACAAGGATGTGGAGGAACTGGAACTCTCATCTACTGCTGTTTGGAATGTAAAATGGTACAACCACTAAGGAAAATAATTTGGCAGTTTTTAAAAAAGTTAAATATATACCTGCCGTACCATCCAACTATCCTACCCCTAGGTATTTTACCCAAGATAAATGAAAGAAATGAAAGCATAAATCCATACAAAGACTTGTACACAGATGTTCACAGCAGTTTTATTTGTAATGGTCAAAACTGAAACAGCTCAAATGTCCATCAACAGATAAACAGATAAACTGGTGTATATATACAATACAATACAACTCAGCAGTAAAAGGGAATGAACTATTGATATACCTGGCAATATGGATGAATCTCAAAATAATTATGTTGAGTGAAAGAAATCATACGAAAAAGTACATATGGCTGGCTGGGTGTGGGGGCTCATGCCTGTAATCTCAGCACTTTTGGGGGGCTGAGGCAAGCAGATCATCTGAGGTTGGGAGTTCGAGACCAGCCTGACCAACACGGAGAAACCCCATCTCTAGTAAAAATACAAAATTAGCTGGGCGTGGTGGTGCAAGCCTGTAATCCCAGCTACTCGGGAGGCTGAGGCAGAATGGCTTGAACCCGGGAGGTGGAGGTTGCAGTGAACTGAGATCGCGCCATTGCACTTCAGCCTGGGCAACAAGGGTGAAACTCCATTTCAAAAAAAAAAAAAAAAAAAAAAAGAATAAAGAAAAAAAAGTACATATGGCATGATTCCATTTATATAAAATTCTAGAAAATGCAAACTAATCTATAGTGACAGAAAACACATCAGTTGTTGTCTGGGGATGAAGGAGGCTGGAATAGGGGAGGTATGAGGAAACTTTTGGGAGTGATGAATATTGTATTTCGATTGTGGTGACGGTTTCATGGGAATTGTACAATTTGAAAAGGTCTAATTTATTGTATGTCAATTATCCCTTGATAAAGCTGCTTTAAAAAAGTAGCAAGAGATATGTTAATACAAGGAAAGTGCCTAAACCAGTGCCAGCACACGGTAAAAACAAACAAGAACCAAAAAAATCTCACCATGCTCTCTCACTCTACCCATATACAACTACTGCAAATATTTTGGTGTATTTGCTTTCATGTATATCTAATGAATATCATATTTCCATATAATTGATTAGTGTATATTCAATTTTAATCTACTTTTATATTACAACTTTCCCATATAATTAAATATTCTTAATTTTTTTTTTTATTCTTAGAGACAGGGTCTCGCTCTGTTGCTCAGGGTGGAGTGCAGTGGCATGATCACAGCTCACTGTAACTTTGAACTCCCGGGCTCAAGGGACCTCCCACCTCAGCCTCCTGAATAGCTGAGGCTACAGGTGTACACCACCACACCCAGCTAATGTTTTAAAATTTTTCTTTTTGTAGAGACAGGGTCTTGTCATGTTGCTCAGGCAGGTCTCAAACTCTTGGCCTCAAGCAATTCTCCTGCCTCAACTTCCCAAAGTGTTGACATGACAGGCATAAGCTGCCACGCCTGGCCTAAATGTTCTTAAAAATGATTTTAGGCTAGATGTGGTAGCTTATGTGTATAATCCCAGGACTTTGGGAGGCTGAGGCAGGCAGATCGCTTGAGCACAGGAGTTTGAGACCAACCTGGGCAGCATGGTGAGATCCTGTCTCTACAAAAAATAGAAAAATCAGCTGGGCATGGTGGCATAAGCCTGTCATCCCAGCTACTCAGGGGGCTGAGGTGGGAGGATCGCTTGAGCTTGGGAGATCGAAGCTGCCGTGAGCTGTGATGGCACCACTGCACTCCAGCCTGAAAGACAGAGTGGGACCCTGTCTCAAAAAAAATTTTTAATTGCAGCACAGTATGTTATCGTATGAATGTACCATAAGTGACTTAACCAAACATGTAATTTTAAAAATTCATATCGCTTCTATTTTTTATAACCATAAAGAACTTTGCATAGAATATCCTTGAAAGGAATTTTTATTTTGTTTTGTTTCTGAGACAGTCTCGCTCTGTCGCCCAGGCTGGAGTGCAGTGGTGCGATCTCGGCTCACTACAACCTCTACCTCCTGGGTTCAACCGATTCTCATCCCTCAGCCTCCTGAGCAGCAGGGGTTACACGCATGCACCATCATGCCCAGCTAATTTTTTGTATTTTTAGTAGAGACTGGGTTTTGCTATGTTGGCCAGGCTGGTCTTAAACCCTGGCCTCGAGTGATCCACCCGCCTTGGCCTCCCAAAGTATTGGGATTACAGGTGTGAACCACAGCATCTGGTCAGGAATGTTTTGATTATTAAAAAATTTACTCTTTGTTCATATTTCTGATTAAAGGATGTACAGTCTATTTTTTGTGGGTTTAGCAGTTTATCAGGATTTATAAGTGTCATTTTAAAAACAGTCGATTTAAGCCATGTAGAAATACATATGAAAAAGTCTGCAAAACAAAACATACTTTAAACATGTTTAAGTAGATAGATTATCTGAAATTCTGGATTTTTCAGTCACTTCATTGTTATGCAGCCAAGCAATTCTTTTTTTTTTTTTTTTTTTGGAGGAGTTTCACTCTTTTGGCCTAGGCTGGACTGCAATGTCGCGATCTCGGCTCTCCGCAACCTCCGCCTCCCGGGTTCAAGTGATTCTCCTGCCTCAGCCTCCCGAATAGCTGGGATTATAGGCATGCACCACCATGCCCGGCTAATTTTGTATTTTTAATAGAGATGGGGTTTCTCCATGTTGGTCAGGCTGGTCTTGAACTCCCGACCTCAGGTGATCTTCCCACCTTAGCCTCCCAAAGTGCTGAGATTACAGGCATGAGCCACCGCGCCCACCCGGCTGGCAGCCAAGTAATCTTAACTTCAGTTGGAGTAAGCCCCCTAAATCCAGCTTCGTTGAAGATTCCAACTTCTATGTTATCCTCTCATTTGGCCTTCAAAGCTTTCCTTTAGGGTTAACATGGCTGTATGAATGGCATCTTCAAGTTCCAGATCTTCATTTTATCTTTTCTCAAGGGAAGTTTCCCCATTCACATAGTTCTTTCCCACTGCTGTGGCTTTCCAGGCCAAGTAAGCTCCAGATGGATCTGACTGAAATAAATATGGTTGTCCCTCATTCCAACCACAAACAAGTAAAGAAACTCCAAATGGACAAACACCACCTGACTGAGTATATTCTTGCATTACAGAAGCTACTCTCCGCACTAGCTGAGCTGTGGGAATGGGCACTTGGTACACAAGATAGTATTGTTGAGCTAGTTTCGAGCTGTGTGCACAAGCACTTTGTTATCTGGGCCCACGCCACTGTACACCAAACCTATGTGCTTGGTAATTGGTTCCACTTTGTCTACACTTCGCTCATCATACAGAATGAATTTCTGTTTTTTCTCGGTTGCTAATACCACACCATTTGCCGCTTTAATTCCCACTGACAGGGCTCCTCCAGCTACAGCAGCCAAAGCATATTCAATCCGGACAAGTTTATCAGACGGGCTGAATGTAGTCAGCGAAAAGCCGTACCGCGCTCCGCCATCTTTACCCGAAGAGCCAAAGCACAAGTATGTACAGTTTTTAAGTCACAATGCCTACTGCCAAATTGTTCCCTAGAAAATTTGTACCAATTTGAATCAGATAGACACAGATGCTGGTCTAAGGGAGCTTACATTCCAGTGGGGAAGATGAATATTAAAACAAAACCAACCTCAAAACACAAAACTGTTTTTGAAAGGAAGACTCTAATATTCAATTAGTGCCTTTCTCTCTTGAGAAGTAGATTCTTGCATGAATTAATTTATTTCTTCTCAGTTTTATTTGAAGATGTTATACTTTTAAAGAAAGATTTGAAAAGAAAAAGTTCACCCATTATTCCATTGGCATCATTCCCTTAATACTACAGTTAATCTGTTTTTCAATGTTATTTTGTGGTTTCCCCGCCCAGGAGCTTCTTTGCAACTTTGGTTTTCTTCTACTTCTACTCAGGTTCAGGGAGGTGTCCACTGTCTCTCAAATCAACCACCAGACTTTAGAGGGGCACAAGATTGTTAACGCGCAAAGGTGGTTGAGGAATTGGAAAGGTTGACTGGGGCTGCACCTTGGAATTTATTTTGTCTTGGATAATATGTAACATTAACAGAGAGCAGAAGCTGATTAAAGTATCTTGGTGCCAAAGGGTAGTTCTGTGAGTATTTCTTTCCTTAACATGACTGGCGCGAAAAAACTCTCACTGAAGACTTTCACTGCTCTTCTCAACTATTTTGAACTCTGGGACAGGGCATGATAGAACCAGCAGAGGGCGTATTTGTATTGACCAAAAGCTGAGGTTGTACATTGGTGAAACTTCCATTGTGATTAGAATTGAAACCTTCCCAGTTTTGGGATGTGGGCCATAGAAGGGTGATTTTTTTTTTCTCTTAGTAAAATAACCTGATATTTAGGAAGTATTGGAACAAACGAAGTCAGTGCTTTGAATAACTTACAACTTTTAAGTACTTTTTAAAAGTCTATAAAATATCTTAAGCGTTCACAGTATAGGAAAAATACTGTATACTCATTGCCACTTAGTTTTGTAAAATTTTAACATTTTGCCATATTTGAGTCATGCATTTCTTTCTTTCTTTCTTTCTTTTTCTGAGACAGAGTCTCACTCTGTTGCCCAGGATGGAGTGCAATGGCACCATCTCAGCTCACTGCAACCTCCACCTCCTAGGTTCAAGCAATTCTCCTGCCTCAGCCTCCCAAGTAGCTGGGATTACAGGTGTACGCCACCATGCTCAGCTTATTTTTGTATTTTTACTACAGACAGGGTTTCACCATGTTGGCCAGGCTGGTCTCAAATTCCTGAACTCAAGTGATCTGCCTGCCTTGGCCTCCCAAAGTGCTGGGATTACAGGCATGAGCCACTGTGCCCAGCCTAAGTCATGCATTTTCTAAAGAAATCAAACATTTAAGACACAGTCCAAGACTTCATTTATCACATGCTACTATGGTGTGAATGTTATCGTCTCCTTCAAAATTTGTGTGTTGGAAACTCAATCAATATTCAATGCAGCAGTGTTGGGAGGTGGGGCTTAATAAAAAGTGTTTAGGTCATGGAGGGCTCCATCCTCATGAATGGATTAATGCTGCTATAAAAAGGGTTTGTGGGCTGGGCACAGTGATGCACACCTGTAGTCTCAGCTACTCGGGACACTGAGGCTGTGGATAGTGTGAGTCCAGGAATTCAGGTTGAGCCTGGGCAACATAGAGAGACCCCATCTCTAAAAAAAGAAAAAGGGCTTGTGGGAATGAGTTCCCTCTCTTTTGCCTTTTTGCCTCCCACCACGTGAGGACACAGTAAGAAACCTGCATCTTGATCTTGGGCTTCTCAGCCTCCAGAACTGTGGGAGACTGTTCTGTTCTTCATAAATTACCCAATCTCAGGCATTCTGTTATAGCATCACAAAATGGATTAAGACACATATAATCCCATTTCCCTCTCCCTCCCAGAGGTAATCAGTCTCTTCAATTTGATATTCATCAATCCTCATATATATTTTTATATCTGTATTACATATACATGCACATGTAAACAATATATAGTATTTTTTACAAATTAAAACTTTACATAAATGATATTATTTATGTAACTTGTTCAACTTGCCTTATTTTGCTTAATAAGGCAAAAAACCCTTAATAAGTCTTTTGGGATTAACCCATATTAATACATGTAATTTTATTTTCAGCTATCATATAGTATTCCGTTGTATAAATATGTGACCATTTAAAAATCCATTTTACTATTGGTGGCCATTTTGATTATTTCCAATTGTTTATGATTATTAATAATGTTTCAATGAACCTTTTTAGGTGAGTCACTGTTCATACATGCTTTCTCTAAAGGATACCTGGGAATGAACTTGTTGGGATGCAGGATATATGCATCTTCAATTTATTGAATATTTTCAAATTGCTCTAAATTACTAAAACTTTATATCCTCATTAATAGTGTTTATAGACTTTTAAACTTTTGCTGGTCTGATATATATGAAATGATATCTTTTTGTTTTAACTGGGATTTTCCTGATTAGTAAGGAGAACTTTTTTTTCTCTATGGCCATTTATTTGTGTTTCTTCTTCTGTTAGTTGCCTGTTCACATCATTTGCTCATTTTTCCTTTGGGTTGATTGTCTTTTTCTTTCCCTATTTGTAGAGGGAAGAAATGCTGCTGCATTTTGGTTACTAATGCTTTGTTGGTTACATGCATTGCAGGTATCTCCTTCTAATCTGCAATTTGGCTTTTAACTTCATGTTGTCTTGTTGAAAACTTCAAACTTTAATATAGTCAGATTCATTGGCGGGGCACAGTGGCTCACACCTGTAATCCCAGCACTTTGGGAGGCCAAGGCAGGCTGATCACTTGAGTTCAGGAATTTGAGACCAGCCTGGCCAACATGGTGAAACCCTGTCTCTACTAAAAATACAAAAATTAGCCGGGCCTGGTGGCACACACCTGTAATCCCAGCTACTTGGAAGGCTGAGGCAGCAGAATCGCTTGAACCCAGGGGACAGAGGTTGCAGTGAGCCAAGATCATGCCATTGCACTTTCTGGGCAATAGAGCGAGACTCCGTCCCAAAAAAAAAAAAAAGATTTATCAATAATTTTCTTTATGGTTTGTGTTATGAATAATAGGTAAAAAGTTTTTTCCTTTCCAAAATTCATAAAAATATTCTGCTATATTTTCCTCTAAAAGTTAAATTTTGCTTTTTGACATTAAGCTCCTGAATACACCTGATATTTTGTGAGGTGAGAATTTTAAAATTGCATAACCAGTTGTCTCAAAATTATATAGTGAATAATAGATCATCCTTTCTCCACTATTTCCCTTTATAATGCCATTGCCATATATCAAGTTTCCATATGTGGGCACATTTATTTCTGGATTCTCTATTCTCTTCTGTCTGTCTCTAAGCCAATAGCACACAGTTTTATTTTTTACAGCTTTAAAATAAGTTTTTATATTTGTCAGGGCAAACTTCCACTTTATTTTTTTTCAAAATTATACTGGCTAATATCTTAGTCTGTTCAGGCTGCTATAACAAAATACCATAAACTGGGTAGCTTAGAAACAACAGAAATTTATTTCTTGTGGGTCTAGAGGCTGGAAAGTTCAAGATCAAGGTGCTGGAACATTCAGTGTCTGGGGACATTCAGTGTCTGGGGAAGTCTCACTTTCTGGTTCATGGAGGGCACCTTCTTTTGTGTCCTCACATGATAAAAGGGGCAAGATAGCTCTCTGGGGCCTCTTTTGTAAAGGCACTAATCTCATTTATGAGGGCTCTGCCCTCATGACTTAATCACCTCCCAGAGGCCCAACCTCCAAATACCTTTACATTGGTGATGAGGTTTCAGCATGTGAATTTTTGGGGGACACAAACATTCAGACCATGACAACTATTTCTGGCTTTTCTATATGAATTTTAATATCAGCTAATCATGTTCTGCCAAAAACCCTGTTGGGGATTTTTAAAATTGAAATTGCACTGAATTTATAGACTGCCAAAAGGAAAAACCAAACCAAACCGGAATCTGATCAAGTTTCTAGACCCAAGTGTTAACTTACAGGACATGTGGAAGACAGAGAAACATGTTAAACTACACTATGAGGACGCAATCAGCAAAGTCTAGATTGAAACTCAACAAGACAAGTGACCCAATTTCCTACAAATACACTAAAAGGGGGAAAAAAAAGAAATGGAAGGGAACTTATAAATTCAATGAGATTTAAAGGTCATATCAACCAATTGTAAACAGTTGGTTTGCAAATTCCAAAACAATTATAATAATTATGGGACAATTTGAACTTTGAAAACTGACTGAATATTCAATTATATTAAAGAATTATTTAAATTTTGGGTGTAATAATGGTATCATGATTATGTTAAAAGTCATTTCTCGGTGCAGCGCACCAGCATGGCACATGTATACATATGTAACTAACCTGCACATTGTGCACATGTACCCTAAAACTTAAAGTATAATAATAATAAAAAAAGTCATTTCTCATCTTTGAGAGATATGTTCTCAAGTATATATGAATAAAATGATATGAGCCTAAAATTTGTTTCAAAATAACATGGGAGAGAGAAAGGAGTTGGAGATACAGGTGAACAACACTGGCCAAGAGATGGGTATATGGGATTCACTGTGCTGCTCTGTTCACTTCTGTGTATGTTTGCAGTTTTCCATAATAACAATTCCTTTTAAATTCTATTTTTAAATTGTGCTTTATGTTTTCAAACACTATTTTTTACACAATTGATTTCTGTGTATTGATCTGTATTTAGTAATCTTGCTGAATTCTTTTGTCTTTTAATGTCTTGTCTGTAGAGTCCCTTGAATTTTCCATATAAGTAATAATATAGTCTGGAAATAATACCAGTGTCATTTTCCTCCTTCCTATCCTTTCATCTTTCCTTTTTTTGGTTTCTTTACCGTTCTGGCTAGCATTGCTAGTACAATGTTGAATAGAATCACTGATAGAGGACATCCTTGTCCTAGTCCTGTCTCTAAAGAGAATGCTTCTTGGCCAGGCGCAGTGCCGCATGCCTGTAATCCCAGCACTTTGGGAGGCCCAGGAGGGTGGATCACCTGGGGTCAGGAGTTCGAGACCAGCCTGACTAACATGGTGAAGCTCCATCTCTACTAAATACAAAAAATTAGCCAGGTGCGGTGGTGAGCAACTGTAATCCCAGCTACTTGGGAGGCTGAGGCAGAAGAATTGCTTGAACCTGGGAGGCAGAGGTTGCAGTGAGCCGAGATCGTGCCGTTGCACTCCAGTCTGGGCGACAAGAGCAAAACTGTGTCTCAAAAAAGAAAAAAAAAGAATGCTTCTCAAGTTCTACCATTCAAGTATTCAAGTGTGATGTTTACTATAGGTTTTTCATGGATACTCTTTGTCAAAATCAAGAAGCCCTCTTCTATTCTTAGTCTGATAAGTTTTAATTGGGAATGGGTGAATTTTATTTTTTTCCTTTTGCATCTATTGAGATGACCCTAAGGCTTTTCCCCACTAACCTCTTAGTGTGGATTATAAATATATTTTCATATGTTAGACCCTCTTTGAATTCTTGTGATAAACCAAATTCAGTTGTGTGTATTGTTAATACTTTTAAAAATATAAGCTTAAGAATTTGATTGGTTAATAGTTTATTTAGGAGTTTTGTATGTTTGATCATAAGTGAGATTGGTCTATAATTTTCCTTTTTTTATTTTATTTTTTGAGATGGAGTTTCGTTCTTGTTGCCCGGGCTGGAGTGCAATGGTGCTATCTTGGCTCACTGCAACCTCTGCCTCCCGGGTTCAAGCGATTCTCCTGCCTCAGCCTCCTGAGTAGCTGGGATTACAGGCACGTGCCACCACGCCCAGCTAATTTTGTATTTTTAGTAGAGACGGGGTTTCTCCATGTTGGTCAGGCTGGTCTCGAAGTCCCAGCCTCAGGTGATCCGCTCGCCTTGGCCTCCCATAGTGCTGGGATTACCGGCGTGAGTGACCAGGCCCGGCCTATAATTTTCCTTTCTTATGTTGTCCTTATCTCTAGTTTTAGCTGCTTTTGGGTTTTGACAAATTTAGGTCTCTTGTTAGAAATGAGCTTTTCTTCCTGGAAGGTGAAGAGAATTTTCAGAATCAAGGGACGACTGCTGTTCTCTGGGACTCTGGGGGACTTCCCGGGGGACTTCCCCAGTCTGGGCTGTGTAGGAGTAAACCAGAAACATTCTTAAGCGTGCACCACTTCCTACTTCCTCCTCTTCCAATATGAAGGAGAACTTTGAAATACTTCCCAGAGGAAAAATAGAGCAGTACCAGAGTTAGGTCATGTAGGTGCTAAGGACTAGCAGAATATTTTGCACCTAGTACTGCAGGCTGCAGATAGCAGGGCCTGGCAGTGTGCTGTGCCATGACTGTGCAGGCATCATACTGGGCAATGTGGGGAGCAAGGAGCCCCAGACCTTTGCATGGTGCCATCTTCCAGGCTGTAGATTCTGGTGAGTGGCACCACCAGGACTCCTGGGCACACACTTCTGGTCTCCCTGTTTTCTCCACAGTGTTAGGAGGAACTTTTCCAGCACTGGCTACTCCTCACTTCTTTGCACAGGTCAGGCAATCATTACACTTGCTCCTTCTGGAGCTGTTTATTCCTGAAGCTGGAAACTGCCCAAGGAAAAGTCTTCAAAACGAAACTGACCTGAACGGAACTGAACTGAACTAGATAACCACTAACACTGGGCAGACTCCAGTTACCCTGGTTTTAATAATTAGTTGTCATGCACGATTCTCTTGACTTGTAGGCCTCAGGTTTCTTCATCCATAATATAAAAGAACTTCTAGATCACCTCCAAGATTCATGCTGGCTTAAAAAACATACTGCCATAATTTCGTGATGTTTCCCTGACTTTTTACTATTTCCTCTCAGAAACACAGGGATGGCATCACAACTCAAAGATTCAAGGAGCATGGAGTCATAGAAACCTGGGTTCATCTCTCAGCTTCTCCACTTACTGGCTGTGTGCCCCTTGGGCAAGTTACCTAACCTCTTTGAGCCTCATTTTCCTCATCTGTGGAATAGAAACAATGCACTTTGCCTCATAAGGTTATAGTGAGGATAAAATAAGCTCAAAGTACATAAAGCACCTAGCATTACGTCTTGCTTCATAGTAAATGCCAAAAATGGCCAGGCGCGGTGGCTCACGCCTGTAATCCCAACAGTTTGGGAGGCCGACGCGGGCGTAAGCCCGCAAACAGCCTGGCGAAAACCCGTCTCTACTAAAAATACAAAAATTAGCAGGGCGTGGTGGCAGGCGCCTGCAATCCCAGCTACTCGAGAGGTTGAGGCGGCTGACTTGCTTGAACCTGGGAGGCGGAGGTTGCAGTGAGCCATCACGCCACTGCACTCAAGCCTGGGCAACAGAGTAAGACTCTGTCTCCAAAAAAAAAAAAAAAAAAAGTAAATGCCAAAAATTACTTCCCTTTTCTCCACCCCTAAGTGGAAAATTGGCCAAAATAAAACAGTATCAATTAAAAAGTCCAATTGTTTGGGTGGCACTCCAGGGGTTTGCCTGCCTCCCTGCCTTCTCCCCAGGGACTATGCGTGCCTGCTTTTCAGATGTTTAGACCTTCTAGCTCTGCCAGTCTCCATCTCGGGATGGAGTCCATAGGAGGCCCCAGCGTTAGAGACATCACAAGCCACCACAGAGAGGAAAAGAAAAGACTAAAGGAGGCGACACACTCGGAGAAGTGACCCTTCGGGGAGAGCCCGCCTGGGGTCTTGAGCTCACCAGCGAGGAGCTCCTTTTGTAAGGCCGGGACGACCTCGCGCAGCAGAGAGGCGCTAGGCAGAAGCCTCTCCGACGCCGCGGGGACCCGGAGCGGCGCTATTGAAGCCATAAACGCGGCAGGCCCCGAGAGAAGCTGCTCCCAGCGCGCCTGCTGCGGGGCCCCTGCCGCCGCGGAGGCGCAGATGCCGCACTGCTGGACCACTTTGGCCTCCCTCCCCGATTGGCCACACCTTTTTATTCCCTTTAAAAAAACTGCTTGAAGAATCTTTTCATTCATATTTCTCTAGTTGGGGTGTGTGTGTGTGTGTGTGCATGTGTGTCTGTGTATATGTGTCTGTGTGTGTGTCTATGTATGAATGTGTGTGTGTATATGTCTGTGTGTGTGTGTGTGTGTGTGTGTGTGTAGTATTTCTTTAAATCTCTATTTCCCCGGACCTTGCTGTTTTCTCCCGTGGGGGGCGAACCCTCTTTTTGATAGCTGTTAACATCCAGCATTAATCTATGCAGACAGCCTGGGGAGGTCAGCCTCACTGTTGCCCAGCTCTGCGAGCAAGGATGTGGTACTTAACCACTCTGTGCCTCAATTGTCTCATCTGACAAATAGGGATACCAAGGCCTGCTTCTTTACAGGATTAGTATAAAAGTTAAATGAGGCACTTTACAGAAAATGCATAGCCTGGTGCCTGGCACACAGGGAGTGTGAACTGCTGCCTTCTCTTGATGTCTTCATCACAAATGGGTGAACGCAGTCTAGGTTCGTAAATGCCTTCCTTCATGTCAGCCATTACCTCCTACAGGAAGCCCTACCTGATTTCTCTCTATCTGGATCAGATTTCTGCCCCGGTCTGGATCAGTTGTCCTTCCTGTATTCTCTTAGAGCACTGATCACACTCCACTCACTGGAGCTGTCTGCACACATATCTGTTTCCTCCACCAAAGCGGGAGCTGCAGTAAGGAGTGTGTTTTATCCAACCATGAAGGCTATGAAACTTAGTAGGGATCAGCAAGTGTATGCTGAGTGAATAATGGAAGCTTCCATTCATGCAGTCGGTGGTTAAAGACTTAAGACGGCCTGAACCTGGAGGCTGAACCATGGAGCTATCTCAGTGGTAGCACCGTGGATTCTGCTTTTCCCCTTAACAGAAACAGTTCCAATGTCATTGAATCACAGAAAGTGAGAAACAGAGATTGGAAGGTCAATTTTGTTATTTTCAGATCAGGAAGTGGAAGCCTCCAGAGGCCCAGAGGTTTATGGAGTCCTCATGCCATGCCAGAGAACCGTGGCAAAGCAGTGCTCCCATCTTGACCCATTGAGCTCTCACTCACTTGTTGCTGCACTGAGCCAGGGCTCACAAATGGCACAGGGATGGCCTCCTCCCAGGCTGTCACCTGAGGGAGGCTGGGTGGTAGAAGAGATTTATGTAGGACACAGTGAAGGTGGCAGACCAGCCTTCCCCGGAAGTGGGGGTGGGGGATGAGCTTGGGAAGGAGGCCCCGCCCCAGTCCTGGATCTACAGCCTACCACTGTGCAAGCCTGAGCGACTCATAGACGGCCAGAGCATGAGAATGGGATGGGGCCCTAGAGATGATCCATCCCGACCTCCTTGGTTTATGGGAAAGGAGACCAAGGCCCAGAGAAGCAATCCGCCCTTCCCTAAACTACAGACTTAATCAAAGGCACAGCTGGTAAAGGAATCCATGTCTTTTGAATCTGAAACCCAGTTTCCTCGATGAATAGATTTCAGTGTTTCCCAGACATCAGTGGGCATACGAATCACTTGAGGACCTTGTTAACAGGCAGGTCTGGGGTGAGACCCCAGATTCTCTTTTCTAATAAGCTCCCAGGTGCTAGCTAGAATGGGTCTAGATAGGTGGTTCTTACAAAAATCTCTGGTCTAGACTGCACTATGATGAAACGACTTGGTACACTAGCCACGAATTAGACCAGCCTTATCAGGTTAATGAGGGCATTGGCTGCTGGGACACTCACTGAGAAGCTGACAGAGCCAGTGTCCTCCTTCCCCATCAGCATTAGTTACCTGTTGCCTGTTGGCTGCTTCTGGGTCTATGGTGAAGGTGCAGGTTCTGGCTGGTGGCTGTAGGTTCCTTGACTGCACCCTAGTTAGAGGGCTGTGACCTTAGTAACCCTGGGAGGCACTGTTTCCTCACAGTGAACATCATGCCTGCAGTTGAAGTCTTCACTGTGAGGCCTTGAGGGTAGGAAACTTGGTTTTGTCATCTTTGAATCCTTTGAATACTTAGCATATTCATTCATTCATACATTTGACTCATTCATTCATTTAGGAAACATTTACCAGGCCTGAATAAGGCATGATCCTTGCCTTCAAGCAGCTCACATAACACATGGGGCTATAGGTGGTACTTAGTAGCCACCCAATTAAGCATTTGTGCAATTGAATTAGACTTCATGGATCCCAGGGACCCCCTGCCTGCCAGCTCAGACTTTTCCATCAGAGAGGAATAACCCTTCCATCTCGTTTGAAGTCACTTTACTTTGGCCTTTGTTAGAACAGTTGTACCAACATCCTATCTACTACACATCTGTCTCTTGAATAAGGCAATAGGGCTCTGGGCCTCCTTTTTTTGACAGAACAGAAATGATGGAAATGGCTTATTTGTTTCTGAGAATTTCCACAATACCTGCCTTTCGTCCCCACCCCCACATTGTTCCAGGCTGCTCCTTAAGGACCCCCTGCACCTCATGCAGGGTTCCCCAAATCTCTCACTCCTCCTAAGACTCTTAAAGCAGTTCTGTCATGTCCCAAGGAGTTATGTCACAGTAACTTCACTGAATGCAGAGGCTGGAAGGCTGCTTCATTCATTTTGGGTCTGCTGCCCATACCTGGACTTAAGCAGAGGACTACATGCATCCCCCAAAAGCACCCCCAATACCCCTTATGCCACCCAGACTGGGAAAGTAAAGAAATCATTATGTTATTACCTTAGAATAAGGCTCTCCTGACAAGGAGCAAATTGTGGCTCCTATTAAAGATTTTTAAAGAGTAGATGAATATCCCTTTTTGAGCACTTTGTGATGGGTACTTTTCTTTTTTTTTCTTTCTTTTTTTTTTTTTTTTTGAGACAGAGTCTTGCTCTGTCGTCAGGCTGGAATGCAGTGGCACAATCTCGGCTCACTGCAACCTCCGCCTCCCGGGTTCAAGTGATTCTCCTGCCTCAGCCTCCCGAGTAGCTGGGACTACAGGCACGTGCCACCACACCTGGCTAATTTTTGTATTTTTAGTAGAGATGGGGTTTCACCATGATGGCCAGGACGGTCTCGATCTCTTGACCTTGTGATCCACCCGCCTCAGCCTCCCAAAGTGCTGGGATTACAGGTGTAAGCCACCATGCCTGGCCCTATGACGGGTACTTTTCTAAGCACATTACATAGTTAACTCTTCTTTGTCACAACCACCCCATGAGATAAGTACTGTTAGTATCCCCATTTTACAGAGGAAGAAAAAAGATGCCCAGAGAAGTTTAGTAACTTACTCAAGGTCACACAGCTAGTAAGTGGTGGTGCTAGAACTTGAACCCTGGGAATCAGACTACATAATCAGTACTCTTGATCACAATGATGCTGCCTAAACAGTGCCTGCCAACCAATTCCTTCCCCACTACCTATTATTATTATTATTATTTTATTTTCTTAGAGACAGGGTCTTGCTCTGTCATCCAGGCTGGAGTGCAGTGGTGCAGTCTCAACTCACTGCAGCCTTGAACTCCTGGGCTCTAGGGATCCTCCTGCCTCAGCCTCCTGAGTAGCTAGGGCTGCAGGTCCTCACTACCATGCCTGGCTAATTAAAAAAAAATTTTTAGAGGCCGAGATGCAGGGCATGGGGAGGGGTCTTGCTATATTGCCCAGGTTGGTCTCCAACAACTTCTGGTCTGAAGTGATCCTCCTGCCTCCCAAAGTGCTGGGGTTGGAACCATGAGTGACTGTGTCCAGTATTCCTTCCTACTGTTTTTAAAAGAACAGGTTAAATTGAGTTGCTGCCAAATTCAGGGAAATACATACTGGAAACAAGGCCCAGGGCAGCGATTCAAAACTGTGGTTGCTGGTCCACCAGCATCAGAATCACCTGAGAACTTACTAAAAATGCAAATCGTCAGGCCTCAGCCCAGATCTAATGAATCAGAAACTCTGAGGGCGGGGCCTAGAAATCTTTAGTTTAATAAGCCTTACAGGTGATTCTGATGCACATTGAAGTTTGAGAACCATTGGCCTAGGAAATAAACAAGAATTGAAATAAGAATTGAAATTTTATTCTTTCCCTGGACTTTGGACAGGGGTAGAGGAGTGGAAAGTTTTTTTTTTTTTTGAGACGGAGTCTCACTCTGTTGCCCAGGCTAGAGTGCAGTGGTGCGATCTTGGCTCACTGCAAGCTCCGCCTGCTGGGTTCATGCCATTCTCCTGCCTCAGCCTCCTGAGTAGCTGGGACTAACAGGCACCCGCCACCGCACCTGGCTAATTTTTTGTATTTTTTAGTAGAGACAGGGTTTCACCGTGTTAGCCAGGATGGTCTCGATCTCCTGACCTTGTGATCTGCCCGCCTCAGCCTCTGAAAGTGGAAAGTTTTGTATTTAAAGCCAGAGCAATTTTTCAAAGCCACTTTGATTTGGAGGTTGCTGATTTGACCTGTCTTGTGGAAACTTGAAGTGTTCTCACCAAGTCTAAGACTCATGATATTCTCACTGCAGGTGGCAACTGGTTCACTGCTTATAATTAACCATGAAGATCACAACTTAATTTAGAGTAGGAAAAAAATCCTGGTAATTAGCCTTAAGACCTATGGGGAGAAAATTGATCCTTTTTTTTTTTGTTTTTGTTTTTTTTTGGAGACAGGGTCTGGTTCTGTTGCCCAGGCTGGAGTGCAGTGGCATGATCATAGCACAGCTCACAGCAGCCTCAAACTCCTGGGCTCCAATGATCCTCCTGCCTCAGCCTCTGGAGTGATGGGACTACAGGCATGTGCTACCATGCCCAGCAATTTTTAAAATTTTTTGTAGAGACAGGATCTTGTTGTGTTGCCTAGTCTGGTATCAGACTCCTGACCTCAAGTGATCCTCCTGCTGTGGCCTCCCAAAATGTTGGGATTACAGGCGTGAGCCACTGTGTCTGGCTGAAAATTGATCCTTAAATAGTTAAAAAAAATTCCTTGGCACTCCCTCTTCTTTTTTCTTCAAATACTTGAAATCCTTTCTGAACATTAGTGTTTATCATTCAGGACAGGAAAATGCCTTCTTTAATTTTCTGTGGTGATATTTCATTGCATTAAACATGGTCTGAATAACCTTTATGCAATCCAGCTGGTGCCTGCTCTTCCGTCATGAGACAGGAAATCTGTTTTGACTGACTTGGTCATTGCTTAGGTTTGGCCATGTTCTGTGCTGCCTAAAACCTCCATCACACTTGGCCAAGCCCTTGGAGCCCTGTCAGTGTTCACATTCTGCATGTGTGATTTATGATATGGCAGACCTGAAGACTGGAGCATGTTTCCCTGTCTAGTGTCACTCTGCCTTGAAAATGGAGGTGGTAAGAGCTCATGTGAACAGAAATCTGCTTAGAAGCTTAACCAAACCCAGGATCAGGCTACCATGATATATTGTTGTCTGGTATCCCCCAAACAACAAGCTCTTGTAAAATTAGTATAAAAATTAATTACTTTTGATTGGATGTCAACTGAAGGACATGGTAAAAGATATAAACAGAAAAAGATCAAGTTAAGGGTGAAATCCAAAATCTGTGACTTTAGGCATTTTTCTTTTTTTTTGAGATGGAGTTTCGCTGTTGTTGCCCAGGCTGGAGTGCAGTGGTGCGATCTCAGCTCACCGCAACCTCTGCCTCCTGGGTTCAAGTGATTCTCCTGCCTCAGCCTCCCGAGTAGCTGGGATTACAGGCATGCACCACTGCGCCCAGCTAATTTTGTATTTTTAGTACAGATGGGGTTTCACCATGTTGGTCAAGCTGGCCTCAAACTCCTGGCCTCAGGTGATCCACCCGCCTTGGCCTCACAAAGTGCTGGGACTACAGGCGTGAGCCACCGTGCCTGGCCTCCCATTAACATCTTTTAACAGTGCAAAGTTCATCTGACAGTTATGGCTATAAGATTATAAAGCCCCACCTAGTGGTCTGTACCTTGGTCGTTGTGGTGAGTTTCTCTGAGGGGTCTCCCTGCTTCTTCCTGATAGTCCAGTGCATTTCCACTTTCCTATTGGGTTAACACACAACAAAGAATACATTAGACATAATAAATGCAAACACTTAAAACACTTCTGTGATCCCATGACCTTTGGTAAGAGGGAAGCCAGTTTTCTTAGTGGTTTCTTCTCCTTCTTCGTCAACTTTTTACTTAAGTCTCCAGGAAGGCTGCTACTAGTGTTAAACAGGCTTAAAGAGCCAGGCAGGGCTAGGCATAATAATATGCACCTGTAGTCTCAGCTATTTGGGAGGCTGAGATGGGAAAATTGCTTAAAACAGGAGTTCCCAGGAGTTTGAGTCCAGCCTGGGCAACATAGCAAGACCCTGGACTCTGTCTCTTAAAAAAAAAAAGAAAAAGCCAGGGCCAGGCAGGCTTGGCACCAGCAGCATCAAGCACTGTTAGCTTTCTGGTTGTACTTATTTTCATGGGGTCTTATCCCATTCATCTGTGCAGTTCTGAATGCCTAAGGCATGTAGGAGTTTACTGGAGGAAGGCGAGAAGAATGTCATGACAGAGGCCAACTAGCAGAAGGAAGCAGGGCACCTCCAGGACTTGAGGGAGGACTAGTGTGACTACAGCAGAGACTGAGAGAACTGCGCAGGGCTGGGAGGAGTCAAACCCCCATGGCCTTGAAGGCAGGTTGAGGACTTTGGTCTTTATCTTGAGAACAAATGGAAAGCATTCAGGATTTAAAGCAGGGGAGCCAAAGGGTCAGACAGGCCTTTTGTGGCATCCTCAGGATTACCACGGATTTGGTTTCTTATCACATTTGATCCCTTCTTCCTTCTTTCCTTGAGTCATACAAGCTGCTTGCAATCCCTCCTCCCAGAAATCTCCATAACTATGGTTACCAACCCTGGCTACACATTAGAATTATTTGAGAAGTTTCAGAAAATGATTCCCAGGTCCTAACTCCAAATAATAACAGTCATACAGCTGGAGTTGGGGCATTTTAAGGCTTCTAGGGTGAGTCTGATATGCAGCCAGGACTGAGAATCATGCTCTTCTCTAGAGTGTTGCAAGAGCAGCTCCTCAGTGCCAAAGTAACATGGCAGGTAGAGTTGGTGACCCAAGTAAGCCCCGTGTGTCTGATGAGGCCAGATCTGGGCCTTTGTCACCTGGATCCCTGCTCAACCCACAGCTTCATCTCGGTGCTAGAGCTGGAATCTGGCATGAAGGGTCCTGGAAGTCTCTCCGGGTTTACCCTCATTCTGTAGTGACAGTCACCTTTCCACTTTGTTATCAAAGCTGCATCCTGCTTTGAGAAGAGACAACTAATTATCTGCTATTTTGGCACTCTCTTTAATTCCCCTCTGACTTCCCTCACTTGGTGGCTTTTTACCTTGTGTGTTTGTTTCTCACTTGTTAGCTTAGTGTTTGTAGCTGATGATATATACTGACATAAAAAGGCTAACACAGGTAAATAATTTTCTTACTTTTGGGTTTCTTATTTTGGAGACAAAGTCAATTTGGCCTGGTACAGGAAAAAAAAAAAAAAAAAAAAAAAAAAATTCCCTGAATAAATGGAAAGGAGTAACAGGCTAAGTTAGAAGACTAGATATCCCTGGTTATAAAGCCTTTTAATCTAACAAGAAACTGTATTGAAAGGGAGAGTCAAGCTTCTTCTTTTGGAAGAATTTTAATGCCAAGAAGGATCAAACTTCAGTCTCAACAACACACAGCCATGAGCCTTCAGGGGCAAGGAATATCTTCTCATTTCACAGAGTGGGAGAGGGAGATAGAGAAACTCAGGGATTTGGAAAAATATTTTCAGGTGAATCTTTGTTAGAAAAAGAAATAGTCTTAATTTGAAACTCTGTCAATTCAATTGTATGTTGCTTAGAAGAGTGTCAAAAGAACTATCTTTTTTTAGATATAAGAATACATATGTGGCCAGGTGTGGTGGCTCACGCCTGTAATCCCAGCACTTTGGGAGGCTGAGGTGGGCAGATCATGAGGTCAGGAGCTCGAGACCAGCCTGGCCAACATGATCAAAACCTGTATCTACTAAAAATACAAAAATTAGCCAGGCGTGGTGGCATGCACCTGCAATCCCAGCTACTCAGGAGGCTGAGGCAGGAGAACTGATTGAACCCAGGAGGTGGAGGTTGCAGTTAGCTGAGATCGCACCACCGCACTCCAGCCTGGGAAACAGAGCAAGACTTCATCTTGAAAAAAAAAAAAAAAAGAATATACATGTGAAATAACTTCTATTTAAAGTCATTCATTCACTGCAACAGATTGGAAACAGCCTAAATGTCCCATCAATTGAGGACTAGTTAAATAAATTATTATTAGCTTATACAATGGAATATGATGCAACCATTAAAAAGCACAAGCATCTCTTTTTTTTTTTTTTTTTTTGAGACGGAGTCTCGCTCTGTTGCCAGGCTGGAGTGCAGTGGTGCGATCTCAGCTCACTGCAACCTCCGCCTCCCGGGTTCAAGTGATTCTCCTGCCTCAGCCTCCCAAGTAGCTGGGACTATAGGCGCCCGCCACCACGCCCAGCTAATTTTTGTATTTTTGGTAGAGATGGGGTTTCACCATGTTGGCCAGGATTGTCTCGATCTCTTGACCGGTGATCCACCCGCCTTGGCATCCCAGAGTGCTGGGATTACAGGCGTGAGCCACTGCGCCTGGCCTACAAGCATCTCTTTATGAATTAACGTAGAACTGCAAGATGTAGTAAGTAAAAAAAAAAAAAAAAAAAAGACTCTGGGCCAAGTGTGGTGGCTCACACCTATAATCCCAGCACTTTAGGAGGCCCAGGTGGGTGGATCACCTGAGGTCAGGAGTTCGAGACCAGCCTGGCTAACATGGTGAAATCCTGTCTCTACTAAAAATACAAAAATTAGCCAGGTGTGGTGGTGCGTGCCTGTAGTCCCAGCTACTCGGGAGGCTGAGGCAGGAGAATCGCTTGAACCCAGCAGGCGGAGGTTGCAGTGAGCCGAGATCGCAACACTGCACTCCAGCCTGGATGACAGAGTGAGACTCCATCTAAAAAAACAAACAAGCAAACAAACAAAAAGACTCTGAACAATGTGTATAATATGCTAAGATTTGCATATAATATCTATCTGTGTATGTATCTATCTGTATTTGCTTATATATATGCATTATACATTCTAGGAAGGGGACACAGGAAACTAGCAACTCCAGTTGTTCAAGGGAAGGGAGCTGAGCAGCTGGAAGGCATACTGTTTTCTACTTAAATTTGAAAAAAAAAACCTTCTGAATATATTTCAGATTCAAAATTTGAATTAAAGAAACTAAACCTAAATAAAATGTGATGTCACTTTTAGTCTGAGTTACAAATGCATGATTAAAACAGAGTGATGGAAACAGGTAATAATACTTGGTGAGTGAGCAAAACAAATGGAGGGACTGTAAATTCAAATCCCAGTTCTGTTATTTTGGCCAGGTTGTTTGCTCTTCCTCTGTTCATTCAGCTAATGAACATTTATTGAGTGTCTGCTGTGTGCCAGGTACCGAGATAGGCACCGGGGGCACAAAGATGAAAGATGTATTCGTAGGATGCTCACTGGCTTGTGGGGAAATGACAAGTCAGTTTGCAATGCAGCGTGATAAATGTTGTGGCAGATTATGACAGGTTTCTGCAGGGCCTCATGGGAGGTGAAGCTAAATTAGGCTGGGAAGGTTGTTTACCAGCAGACACAGTGCTAAATCTTGCAGTGAAGGGAAGGTAGAACAATTCCAAGCAGAGGAAGCAGCATGTGCTGGTTAGGGGATAGTTTGGTGCGGGGGCAGTGTGTGGACAGTGTAAATTAGACACAGGCCAGATCTTGCATGTTACAGTTCGGAGTTTAAGAAAAATTGCACATGTTATATTTTTCTATTTGTAAAATAAATACATCTTTGATGCTTGGAATTTAACCAGAGGGCCAATGGGGACACAGTAAAGAATTTCAAGCAAACCACTGATAAGACTGAGCTGTATTTAGAGCACTGGCAGCAGTGTGGTATTATAAGACTGGGAGAGGAGGAGGAAGAGTCACAAACACTTTGTGAACACAAACTACAGCATTGAAACCAACATGTGAGAGGCGCTTTCTCCGGTGGCTGAAGTACAGGTCCTGCAGTCAGGCTGTCTGCACTCAAGTCCTAACTACTACACTTGATGTCTTACAGACCATAGGAGTTACTTAACCCCTGAGCCTCAGTTTCTTCAACTGGAAACCGACAGATGCTGGACAAGTGATCTTAGGTTATCTTTTCCTTGGAAAACCTTCCAGCCATCCTGCCCTCCACTCTCATGCACAGCCCCCCTGCTGGGCATGTTACTTTTAGGACCACAGCAGGCTTTCTTAGGGAGCTGCTGGGAGGATGGAGGAGCATGTGCTGCAGGAGTCTGAAGTGCGGCCTCCAGCCTGTCTTGAGCCAGCTGCATGACCTATCATAGAACCTCAGCTTCTACACCTGTGAAATGGGAGTAATAATAAATAATTGTAGAGTTCTCAAAAGGCTTAACCAGGAAGAGACATTTGGAAATTCCATGTAACATACCATATGATACATGAATATAAATGACTAATTTCAATACTTTCTAAATGATGGAAGAAAATCAGGATCTCATTCAAAAGTTTCAACTTCAAGGTAGTATAACTTTTCCTGTGTAACAGAAAAGTCCCCTACATTGTCTTTGTTAAAGACTATGATTTTGGCCGGGCGTGGTGGCTCACGCCTGTAATCCCAGCACTTTGGGAGGCCAAGGTGGGCGGATCACGAGGTCAGGAGATCGAGACCATGCTGGCTAACATGGTAAAACCCCGTCTGTACTAAAAATATAAAAAATCAGCTGGGCATGGTGGCGGGCGCCTGTAGTCCCAGCTACTTGGGAGGCTGAGGCAGGAGAATGGCGTGAACCCGGGAGGTGGAGCTTGCAGTGAGCCGAGATCACGCCACTGAACTCTAGCCTGGGTGACAGAGCGAGACTCCATCTCAAAAAAAAAAAAAAAAAAGACCTTATGAAAAATCATAAAGTATCTTGTGTTATTAAGATAAAAAAGATTAATATATAATATCAAATCTCTGCTCCCTTCTTGGGTTCTGCAGCTAGAACAAAGAAGTACAACTAGGTACACAGGAACAGAACAGACAGACCTCATAGATCTCTGATATTGTGGGGATTTTTGGCTTTGAATCCTAGCTCCCTCTGCTGCCAGCCATGTGACTGGTCATCTCTGAGCCTCGGTTTCCTCATCTGCACAGTGGGGATCAGCACAATTACTGGGAAGGGTGACAGGAAGATTATACAAGGCTCAATATGTGAGGGGCCTGGCCCTTAGCAGGGATCAGTGAATGTTCCTTTCTCCCTTATGAATTGAGTCCTTTACAGATGTGAACATTCTTTCAAAACTATTAGTTCATGTAATTCTTGCTTCACTGTTGAGAGGCAGGTATGGAGTTCCCAGTATTATTATTATTTTTTTGAGACAGACTTTTGCTCTTGTTGCCCAGGCTGGAGTGCAGTTGTGCGATCTCAGCTCACTGCAACCTCCGCCTCCCGGGTTCAAGAGATTCTCCTGTCTCAGCCCCCTGAGTAGCTGGGACTACAGGCACATGCTACCATGCCCGGCTAATTTTTTATATTTTTAGTAGAGACGGGGTTTCACCATGTTGGCCAGGCTGGTCTCGAACTACCTGAGGTGGTGATCCACCTGCCTTGGCCTCCCAAAGTGCTGGGATTACAGGTGGGAGCCACCATGCCCTGTCAGGTCCCAGTATTATTATTTCTGTTTTATTAAAGAGAAAATGGAGTCTCAGAAGCATCACAAGGTCACTTAGTATCAGAGTGTCAGAGAAGTACCCCTTGCCCCACCCAGGGCTTCCCAACTACTAGTCTGACACTTTAATATTGATAATATTATACTTAATTCTGTTTTTTTTTTTTTTGGAAATAGAACACACTCATACATATTTTTTCCTGGGAATATTATTCAAGTGTCCTGGCACCATTAAATCTTGAGACCAGCTCGTGATCCCTCTACAACTTTCCTGCCAAGTGGTCATCAAGGCACGTTTAAATGATTGTGGAGACAAGAACTTATCTCCTAAGGCACCCTGCTCCATCTTTGGATGATGTCCTAAGCCAAGCATTATTTTCCTGTTGTATGTGAAATCCACAGGTTTCGGGGCAGCCCCCTTCTGCTTCGTGGGATGCATGTACACCTGCCCACATACGTAATGCTTGGGACTGGTCTCAAAACAGGTGGGGCAGCTCTAACTCCAGGCATGGCTGGCTGTTGTCCGTGTTCAGGCCAATTCCTCTACCTTGCATTTGAGGGCACTATATGCTAACTGTGTGGGAACTGCGAGGTGGAAGCTTATTTCTCATTCTTCAGATGTTCTGGGCATAACATACACATCCTTTGATATCAATGTGGAGTATAAGGATATTCAATTTGATATCTAGCATTAATAGGCATTATTGCTATTTTCTTCCCTACTACCATGACCTAACCCTGATAATTTAAAAAGTCCCTGAAAAAAACCTCTATCCTTATTCATTCATCAATTACCATTTCTTTTTGAAAAAACACAAATTGAGTTTTTAAAAACATGGTTCAAAAAATTTTTTTTTCTTTTTTGATTTAGAAAACAGGCTGGTCTCAGCTGGGTGCAGTGGCTCACGCTAGTAATCCCAGCACTTTGGGAGACTGAGGCAGGTGGATCACCTGAGGTCAGGAGTTTGAGACCAGCCTGGCCAACATGGTGAAACCCTGCCTTCAGTGTTGTAAAGAGGTTCTTAAAATGTGAGAAGTTCACATGCAACAAATGGAAAATGAATGAATGCTCTCCTGTAGTAACGTGAGCCTGCCTCTGCCACAACATTGTGCTATTACCTGTTTCATTGTTTATCTTCCTGTTAGATTCTAGGCTCCCTGGAAGGTCAAGGATAGAGATGATTCATCTCTGTATCCTCAGTGCCTATCACAGTGTCTGATACTCAGAGCATATTTAATATATGTTGGCTGAGGGGGCCGGGCACGGTGGCTCACGCCTGTAATCCCAGCACTTTGGGAGGCTGAGACAGGCGGATTGCGAGGTCAGGAGATGGAGACCATCCTGGCTGACATGGTGAAACCCCGTCTCTACTAAAAATACAAAAAATTAGCCTGGCATGGTGGCGGGCGCCTGTAGTCCCAGCTACTTGGGAGGCTGAGGCAGGAGAATGGCATGAACCCAGGAGGGGGAGCTTGCAGTGAGCCAAGATCGTGCCACTGCACTCCAGCCTGAGTGACAGAGAGAGACTGTCTAAAAATAAAAATATGTTGGCTGAGGGGAACCGAATGATCAGTGGGAGAGAAAGCTTTATATTGTCTCCACAGAACTTGAGTGGGACTGGAGGGAAGGGCAAAATCCTGTGGGGTCAGAAAATCTTCCTGGTGCAGATGGAATGTGTCCATAGGAATGGAATTTTCTAGAAGGAGTGCTGGATGCTTAGCTAACATGATAGGCAGTGTTTTTGATTGGACAGGGCTCAGCTGGGGGCTGCAGTGAGGCTTTATAACAGATGGTTGAGCATAGGCACTGGAACTGGGCTGCCTGACCAAATCTTGCTTCTGCCATTTACCAACTGTGTGACATTCGGTAAGTTACTTAGCCTCTCAATGCCTTAGTTTTCTCATCTGTAAAATGGAGTAATTCTACATACTTAGATTCATTTTATGAATTAAATAAATGCATGCATATACAATTTAGAACAAAGCCAGACACAGAATAAGTCCTCAGTAATGTTAGCAACTGTGATTATTTTTATCTCTTTCCATTCCCTTGTTCTGCCTTGACCTTTCTTATCACCTACCCTCATCCCCTGCAACGTGCAATGCTTCCTACATGCCCCAGGCAAAAATGAATGACATGCCCTGCGGACAGGCAGGAGATACACAAATGAATGTATAGGATGAGTTGGTTTCCACACAGCTCCAGGTGTGGAGGACAGCCTGTGTGCTCTTCTCTGTTTGAACTCATCATCTTTGTCTGTACTACCCTGAGACTGTGTCTTACTACATGGCAATCCCCAGGAATCTGGGAGCTACCACATCCATAAGGAGAAGGTCTATCTAGGGAGAGCAGTGAACACTGAACATTTCCAAGAGAAGGTCTTTGGGGCAAAGACTGGTCTGGGAGTCAGAAAGTGTACCGAGCGTGTACTTCGTGAGTCCTTTGGAAGCAGGCTGAGTTGCCATTTCTGTGAGTCTTGAGGGAGGTGGACAGGAAAGTGGGCCTTAGGGATGACAACACTTTTCCTTCTATAATACTGTGCCAAAATTGCTGGACAAAAAAAGTGTAATACAAAAGCATTGTGGATACTAAATATACAAGCAATTATTGTAAAATTCCCCACTTTGAATTCTGCGTTCTTAGATGCTCCATATTTTCTTTTTGAGACAGAGTCTCACTCTATCACCCAGGCTGGAGTGCAGTGGCGTGATCTGGGCTCACTGCAAGCTCCACCTCCCGGGTTCATGCCATTCTCCTGCCTCAGCCTCCCGAGTAGCTGGGACTACAGGTGCCCACCACCACACCCGGCTAATTTTTTGTATTTTTAGTAGAGATGGGGTTTCACCGTGTTAGCCAGGCTGGTCTCGATCTCCTGACCTCGTGATCTGCCCGCCTTGGCCTCCCAAAGTGCTGGGATTACAGGCGTGAGTCACTTTCTTATCTCATTTCCTTAGCAGCTATCACCTTTGAACATGCTACACACTCTGCTTGTGTATTAGGTCTGTTGTCTGTTACCTGTACTATCCTGGAGCAGGGTAGGGATCTTGGTCTGTTTTGTTTACTGATGTATCCCAAATGCCCAGAAACTGCCAAACACATAGTAGATAGCAGGTGCTCAAATATTGGTTAATGAATGGTGACTGTGATGATATTTCCTCCCAGAAAGTACGATTCATAATTCTCTCAGCCCTAAGTGAAGAACTAAACTGTTGCTAAGAATAAAAGGGATAGTTTCACCAGATAAGTCATGGAGTATGGCAGTATTTTTTGAATACTCGTAACAAATATCTTTTCTTTTGACGTCCAGAATCATTCTTCTTTCTTGTAGTTTTTTTTTTCTATAGAGATGGGGTCTCACTATGTTGCCCAGGCTGGGTTGCAGTGGCTATTCACAGGTGTAATCATACCACACTACATCCTTGAACTGCTGGACTCAAGCGATCCTCCCACCTCAATCTCCTGAGTAGCTGAAATTCCTTCTTATAGTTTTCAGTACCCCATTTTCCTCTGTCAGACATCCTTTCTCTTCCCATTTTCAGTCCCTGTGGCTCCAGGGTGGGCCAATGGCATTTCATTTGGGTATGGATAAGTGACCCACATTTGGTTTATATTCAGTACCGGAATGACCTGGGAAATAGAAGCTGGTGGCCAACTTGCCACCCTTGGGGAAGAGCCTATCTAAGAGGAAGCCCCGAAAAGCAGAGCCCAGTCATGGACAGAGACAGATTTTGGGCAAATGCATGACTCTTAATCAAAGCCCCACCTTGTAGAATTGGGATTGGGGCAGCCCAGGGAATTCGGAGGGTGACCCTCATGACCTCCAAAGGCCCTGCCAGTCTATAGCACTAGATAGAGCCACCATCATGCACTCCGCAAGTATTTGGTTTCTTCTGCCCCATTCCTGTCTTTCTCAGTCATTTCTTATCAAAGGCCTGGAATATTTCCTCAAGGGTACTATGAAGGATCTGAGATCCTTCCATGCCAGGCCTGGCTGTGTTCCTGGTCAGTTTCTTTCACTCCATGGCTATTTATTTCCAGTTCAGTAAGCTCTGAGGAGGGCAAAGAATGGGTAGGAAAGGGGCCCTAAACCAGAGAGTGTGCGATGAAAAGGATGGGCCAATTCATGGAGCATTTAATGAGCACCTTCCATGTGTCGGGCACTGTGTTCGATGCTGGGGTGGGAGGGAGTATTGCAAAGATGGACAAATGCCACCCTCACTATAGAAACCCTCAGAACCCTTAACTTGAAATGAAGCTGAGCTTGTGAGATCAATGAACTCTTAGAGAACAGAAAGCAAGGCCAGATATCCAGAAAGGAATTTGCAGTTGACGTCTAAATAGTTAACTCAAGAATCAGTCTTCTCTATAGTAGTAATATCAACTCTACCAAGTGACAGTGGTAAAACAGTAACAATTATTTTAGCTACTGTCAAGATAAAATGAATTATATTTGACTGTTTTATGAGGTGGTTTAAAGTTACTCTTTCTCCTCTCTGTTCCCTGTCCCCCACCACCCAAACCAGACACCCGACTGATTTGTCCCCGATGGCTGGCTGTGATTACTGTCCTAATTTGTTCTTTCTTCATCTGCTACAAACTGCCTATTTTCTGTCCCTTCTGATAATGCAGGAGCTCTGAGGGACTTCTGAAGCTGTTTTTGTACCATGCAGAAGTGTATTAACTGGAATTCCTGTGTTTGTGTCTATAAAACCCCTCGTCTTCTCAGTGTGAGATCACCTTCAGGAACGGCGTCATGTCGATGTGCAGCTTGCGCGTGTAAAATTCTTTTCTGTTTGAACATATCAGCGCTTTATTTATACAACTTTGAGGCTCTCCTGTCTTCTGAGCTGCTGCCTCCAAGGACTGCTGGGCTCCCTGTGAAGAGAAGCAGAAAGCCCGAACTTTCATATGAATGATATACAGTGCAACAAGAGCTAGTCCAAATCCCCAAATATTTACAGAAGGCAATTTTAAAAATCATTGAAACAATAATACGCAGCAACTATTGTTACTGTTGAAGACACAGAGGACCCTATAGAGAGAAAATAGCCCAAGACTGTTTATTAATTAATGCCTACGGAAGTGGAAAAAGGGACCTTCCTAGGTCCCAGGGCTTTAATTATTTAACCCTCACAACAACCCTGTAAGGCAGGTACTGTTACTCCCATTATACAGACAGGAAACCAGGAGGCTCTGGGAGGTTAAGCAACTTGCCCAAAGCCATTAGCTGCTATATGGCAGAGCTAAAATTACCATCTGTTGAAGGCTCCTTTTTAATGAGATATTTTTGATACTTATATAGTGGCTGAATGGTTATCAAATCTGCTTTGCAGCAAATATGGTTATAGCAAGATTCCAGTTTATTTCCAAGATGACAAAAATGAATTTGATATGTTAGGAAGACTGATTTGAACAAATGTAGCAGAGACAGAAAGAAGAATGAGCTAACAGAGGAGTCTGGGAGGCCCCGGGGGCTCTCCGAGCTTCTGGGCTGTACAAAGGGTGTCACATTTCAGGACACCACAGAATTGGATCTGAAGTTGCCCTCCAGCCCATGCCCCACATTGCAACCTGGCTGCTCCTTCGAAGATGCATACTGGACCATATCACTTCTCTGCTTGATACCTTCAAAGGCCATTGTCCTCAAGAGGAAGGCCAACTGGCTTACAAGGTTTATAAGCCCTTCCTGCCTGGCCCTGGATGATCTCTCCTGCTTCATTTAGTCACACAACAAATATTTATTGGGTGTCTTTTCTATGCCAGGCAGAGCAGATAGGGCAGTGCCCAAAGGGATGAAAGTCTCCACCCTCATGAAGAGTGCACATCCATTCCACTGAAAGGGAAGACAGAATCAATAAGGAAGTGGAACATAAGTACATCTGAAGGTGGTTTGTGACAGGGAGAAAAATAAAACACAAAGTGGGCTGAGGGAATAGCTGGGGATGGAAGTGGAGGCTGCAATTTTAAGCAGAGAGTCAAGGAAGGTCCCATGAAAAAGCAATGACTGAGCAAAGCTCTGAAGATGGTGAGGGAAGGTTCTAAGGTCTATCTGCATGAAGTGTTTACTTGGCTATGGGAATAGCAGGTGCAGAGGGCCACATGGGCACCAGCCCTTGAGCTCCTGGAGCAAGACCTTTGTAAGTGTCCTTCCCTCTCCCCTTCTTCTGACTCTTCTTCATCTTTCAAGTATGGCTTCCCTGTGCCCCTGTGACCACCCAGAGCATGAGCACCTCCCCACCATTGACCACAATGATTGCTGAGGCTTGTGCAGCCATCTCTCCTCCTCCTCTAGACTGGAAGCCCCCTGAAGGCAGGAACCATGGCTGTTCCGTTCCCATTGTCCCAGCAGTTTCTGGCACAGGGTCTGGAAATGAACACACACTTGATACATATTGGCTGAACAAAAGAGTAACTAACAGGTTATGGCCCACCTCAATTCAAAGGAGGAGGGAGCAGTGAAGATACCTTTACAGGAAGTATGTGTTGACTTCCAGAAGACAGTCCTCTAGGTAGCACTGGTTCCTCATTTCCAAAGATAAAATTTATTATTTTTGGGACAAATTTGCTGGGGTCACATACATTAATATGTCATGAGATCACCCTGAGTGTGGATTTGATAATTTCCATATTTTCTAGGAGACTCTCAGAAGGCCATCTCCCTGGGCAGTCATAAACTCTCCCTCCCATAACATTTATATTACTTTTAAACATTAATGATGAATTAACAATTGGTGAGTCCCCACAAACAGTCATCATTCCAATGAACACCCACACCCTTTTCTTTTGCTTTGAAATGTGGCTAGAGATAAAGATTTTTCTGGATAAACACACATCCAATTTTTTTATCATCTCAGCCACATATCTGATTAGCTTTTCAGGGTGAGACAGTCCCTCTCCATTTCTCGATAAAATGAAAGCATTTGGTCCAAGCTAGACTCAGACAAGGCATTTCAAGCTTTCTAGCCTCCACAATCATGCATGAATCACTGGATAGAATAATAGAAATCAGATGATAATGATTTGAGGGAAATTTCTCCATTATCCCCAAGAGAAGATTTTGTGTTAGATGGGAGAACAAAAGGCATAGTCAAGACGAGTTCCAACGCCTGAAATTACTTTAACTCCTTATTTGGGGCTCAGATTGAAGAGTGGGGGAGTTGAGAGGCTTTGAGAAAAGTCTCCCCAAAGCACTTGACCTATAAATCTTTCGATAAAACAATTCTCCTGACCATATGGCTCATCTCCCTAATGTTCAGAGGCCATCAATTCTAACTTGATGGAATGTTTTGAGTGAAGGCTCTATACCCACTGGAATGTGAAGTACTGTTTTTGCTCATTACGTTCAAGTGTTCTAATGAATGAATGATAGTGAAAGGGGATTTGGGATATGGGAGGAAAAAAAAGATTAAACATATAAAGAAGAGGTAGTGATGGGAGAAGAAAAAGTCAGAAAATTGAAAGCAGGAAAGAAAGTCGCATGCTAGGTCCGGTGCAGTGGCTCATATCCGTAATCTCATCACTTTGGAAGGCTGAGGCAGGAGGATTGCCTGAGTTCAGGAGTTTGAGGCCAACCTGGGCAACACAGTGAGATCCTGTCTTTACAAAAAAATTTAAAGAAAATTAGCTGGGTGTGGTGGTGTGTGCCTGTAGTCCCAGCTACTCAGAAAGCTGAGGTGGTAAGATCCTTGAGCCCAAGAGTTTGAGGCTGCAGTGAGCTATGATCATGCCACTGCACTCCAGCCTGGGCAACAGAGTAAGGCCCTGTCTCTAAAATAAATAAATATAAAAGTAATAACAAATACAAAAATAAAAATGAAAGTCACGTGCTTGGTTGGTTTTTCATTTATCCATTAAACTGATATTTATTAAGTGCCTACTATGTGTCAGACAAACAAACACACACATAAGCAAGATGATGCTTTTAGGTGGTGACTAGTCTGTGAAGACAACACAATGGTGCTAGGAGGGAGGGTAATGGGAAGGGGGTGGCCGCTTGGCTTAAATGGTCAGAGGAGGCTGCTCTGAGGAGAGAGCTGGATGACAAGCTGGAGCCAGCCCTGGATGAATCTATCTTTAGCAATCAGGGTAGCTGGTATCTCTGTGGTCTGATTATTTATTTATTGAATTATTTTATTATTATTATTATTTTTTGAGACAGAGTCTTGCTCTGTTGCCCAGGCTGGAGTGCAGTGGCGCAATCTTGGCTCACTGCAACCTCTGCCTCCCTGATTCAAGCAATTCTCCTCCTTTAGTCTACCGAGTAGTTGGGACTACAGGTGTGTGCCACCATGCCCGGCTAATTTTTGTATTTTTAGTAGAGATGGGGTTTTGCTATGTTGGCCAGGCTGGTCTCGAACTCCTGACCTCAGGTGGTCCACCCGCCTTGGCCTCTCAAAGTGCTGAGATTACAGGAGTGAGCCACCGTGCCTGGCCCTGTGGTCTGATTATTTAGAGGTAAGCAGGGGATCTTTTAAAAGGAAATTGGAATTCCTGATTTCTAGGCCTGTCTGCCCCAGTCTTCTGGGCTCCATCCTTGACCCCATGAGGCACCCCTCTGTTTTCTGAGTGGCAGAGCAATCAAAACTGACACTTGCAGCTCTTGGGTATGTTGAGAGCAAAGACAGAAGAATAAATAGTGATCAGGAGTCAAGGTCTCTAAAGGTACAGGAGAGAGAAGAAAACACAAGGTTAAATGGAAGGGAAGGAAAATGGGGGAACTGAAGAAAGCAGAGATGCCTGAAGGTTTTTTGTTTCTTTTATGTGAATACTTTGGTGGAGATGATTTAAAAACTAATGGAATGGACAGGTGCGGTGGCTTATGCCTGTAATCCCAGGACTGCGGGAGGCTGAGGTGGCTGGATCACTTGAGGCCAGCAGTTCAAGACCAGCCTGGCCAACACAGCAAAACCCATTTCTACTAAAAATACAAAAATCAACCAGGCATGGTGGTGCAAGCCTGTGGTCCCAGCTACTTGGGAGGCTGAGGCATGAGAATTGCCTGAACCCAGGAGGTGAGCGTTATAGTGAGCGGAGATCGCGCCACTGCACTCCAGCCTCGGCGACAGAGCGAGACTCTGTCTCAAAAAAAAACACAAAAAACAAAAAACAAAAAAACAAACAAAAAAACCCCACACCAAACAAACAAACCAAAAAAACTGATGGAATGGTGAAATGTTTAGCAGAAAAACAGAACCCATCCCTTCACCTATATTGTACTGCAAATACTTTAATATTTTTATGTTCTGCTAAAAACACCTGGAAGCCTTTCTCTTTAGTAAATGAAACAATAAAGATTAACGAGTTAATTTGGTAAAGCTGATTTGAATTGCACAGAAGGCATTGCGTAAATACTTGGCATTTAAAAAGTTATCTGACATTTAAAAGGAGATGACTGTTAATGAATTCAAGAGCTAATCTTATACTCTGACAGAGTGAGCCATGGAAAATCCAGGATTATTATCTTGCTGTAAACACAATGTGATTCAGTTGAGCTATCACACAGAAAAAAGGGAGAGCTATTGGTTCCGTACAAATATCTAGACTTACACACATATATAATATAGCAAAACTTAAAGAGAACATCCATTAAAATTACAGACGCATCTTACTGTTTCCTTTCTTACTCTTGGATTATAATATCTGAGCTACAGACCCAGGGAGAAATCCTTCTCCCCAGTAATTTTTCCTCCTCCTTTCAACTGTTATATTTTAAATGGTCACTACCATGGGTTGGCTCTCCAAACAGACTTTGGGAAGTCTAACCTTAAGAAGGAGATGAAATTCTAAACCCAAGTGGCTGTGTCTCCACCCTGGGTCCCACAGAGCCACCAGAGATAAGGATCTGTCCTGTAGGTGTCCCTCCGGCCCTCCTCATTACTTCTCCCACTCCTTTCTAATTGGGGTTCCCCATCTTTGTAGCTGCGGTTTAATGGCTCCAAGAAGAGCGATTGTCTCTCATTAAGGAGGCTGCAACACTCTCACTGTCTAACTCCCTCCCACGCAGCTCACAACTTCATTCTGCCGGAGAACAGGCTGCCAAGAGGCTCCGGGAACCTGCGGGCAAGCTGAGCTGGAGGAAGAAAACAGAAAGGAGGAGGGCCTTTGTAACCAAGATCTGAAATGTGCTGGGGCACACACCCCGCCATTATCTTAACGTTTGAAGAGCGGGTCGGGGGAGCCTTTGCTGAAACCCTTAGGTGGTCTCTCAAGTTGCCACATCAAACCTCTGTGCACAAAGGGCATTTGTCGCCTCCTGTGAGTAAACAAAAGGAAGAGTCAGTCCCTCCTCTGACCCCCAGGCTCCCCTCGTTGGCTGATAGTCTGTCCTTTGACTCCCCTTGGTTGGCTCTGAGTCCCAGGGGCACACAGAGATCTGAGAGATTTAGTCACTGGGGGTAGGGGAGAAGGAGGGCTGGGATTCTGAGCTTCCCTGTCCTCCCGCCCCCTGCTAGGGTAGGGGAACTAAATCCTGGAAGGGGCCCTTCCTGCAGGAGCAAAGGGCCTGGCAACTTTCCCCGTGTTTGGCCTTCCCGGGCCCTGTTGTTCCTTGCCCATGGCAGCCTGCGGACCTAAAAGCGGGCAGTGGGAATGGGGCCAGACGTGGGGCTGAGCGTACCTGGGACTCCGTGGGCTCCCTGAGATGGGACTGCCTAGGAAGGGGATCCGAATGGGCCGGGCGTTGTATACATTGTCAACCTCAGGCTGACTTGGAGGGCACTCTGTCTGTGGCAAGGCCGACCACCCTGGCCACCCCCAAAGTCCTCACTTTGAGGTTCTGTCTCTGTCTAGGTTTCCCTGGCTGGAAGGGAGGAGGCCTCCAGTGTGCAGGAGGTCAGATGGACGCCTGGGATCTCAGCTCAGCAACCCAGCCTGGCCGCATAGCCTCTTTCTGAGGAGCAGCAGAACCCCCGAGCCACAGCGGGCTTCCACCCACACAAATGTGCCCAGCAGTCTAGCACCTGTCACCTGGGGTCATCCTGCTCTTCTTGGCCACGTGAGGTCTGGGCCCACTTTTTACATTCTGCAGGGAATTTGGTGCTGGTGAAATGGGCTGAGTGGGCCGTTTTGCGAGGGCTCCACAAGTAGGCACGGTGGAGACAGTTAGTTTGGTAGCCAAACAAGAGCTTTCTTGTTCTCCGCCTGTCAGGAATTTTGGTCTTCATCTATTTTTTAATGTCCTCAACTTTATAGAAGGAGATTTGACATCCTCCTGAGTGTTTAGCAAATTAGCCGAACAGCTAGCAAACATGAGCCTCGGAAGAGAAACATGGCAACCTCCAATCTTTGCTCCTGTGAGGGGCTCATTTCGTGACTTTGGCTAAGTCATTCTGTGCCTCAGCTTCCCTACCTAGAAAATGGGGCTAAGCTCATTGTTCTCTTCCAGGAAATTCTGAATGAAACTCTGGACACTTTCATTCCAGAGCTTCTACTATAAGTAAATCTTAGCTGTGAGTTCTAATTGCTATTGTCTTCAACATTATTACGTGCTTTGTTGATACAACAGAATCACTGTTTATCTGGCTCAGCAGGAGCTGGAGGAGAAAAATTTCAAGCCAAAACAGTGATCTCTTCTGCCCCAAGGGAGGTAGAAGCCAGCTTTTTCTGTGAGGGGGTGGCTAGCTGTATTCAGGCCGGAACTGTGCCTGTGTTTGAGAGATGACACATTCTATTTTAGACTGGGAGATGGGACGTCGAGGGGTGAAAGGTGGGAAATCTGAACAACTCCCCAGCTCCTTCTAACTCACAACTTGAACTCAAAACTGTGTGACTTCCTTGTTTTGTTGGGTCTGGTGGGACTTTTGCAATCTGACAACCGACAGACAGGGAATCTCAACTTGCAAACTGATTCCACTGTGAAAAGGTCATTTTTAAATCAGTCGATTTTTACTAGGAAAAAAAAATGGTGTTTTGATTCCCAGACTCGCCCATAAAAGTTTAACCCAAATTCAGCCGGACTATGGAGTTGAAGTAGTCCTGGTCATGCGTGACAGCAGAAGGCTGGAAGAAGAGAAAGAAAAATGTCCTTTCTTTTACTTTCCTGGCCCTCCACACTTTCCTGACCCCTTCCCCTCCACTGGGCTCTTCTGTCCTCCGACCTCTACATTTTCCTCTGCAGCCCTGTGCTGTGGGCCGTGGTGCCCTGCTGACACAGTGCTCCTGGCCCCCAAATTCCCTGCCTCCCCTCTGCCCCTAGACCTTCAGCTGTGCGCCCTTAGGTATATGGCGAAAGCAATTAAGAAACTTTCACAAAGAGGTATGAGGAACCCAAAATAATCTCTAATGGTTAGAATTTTAAACAGTGAAACACAGTGAACACTCCAGAAGGCATGGAGGATATTTGGGAGGCAGAGAGAGGGATGCTTGAATTGGGGGTTGGGGATGGGAAAGGGAGGAACAATTGGTAGATTGACTCATTGTCCTCCTTTAAATTATTCCTGCTTTTCAAGCTTCTCCTTTTCCATGTCTAAACCTTTAGATTGTATACAAGCTCCAAGTTCTGTTTTATAATGGCTTTCAAGGAAAGGGACAGGGGAGTACAACAGTAATGATTATAACGTATTGGGGGCTGCCTACTGCCAAGCATTGTGTGAATCCCTTTCAATATGTTTCATCTCATCCTCATCATGACCCCATGAGGGAAATATTATTACCCTATGAGGAAACTGTGCCTCAGAGAGGTTAAATAGCCTGCCTAAAGCCACATAGCCTATAAGGAAGAAGTTGGGATTTATTTTATTTTATTCATTTTTGAGACAGAGTCTTGCTCTGTCACTCAGACTGGAGTGCGGTCGTATGACCATGGCTCACTGCAGCCTTGACCTCCCAGGCTCAAGCAATCCTCCTGCCTCAGCCTCCTGAGTAGCTGGGACTACAGATATGCACCAACACACCTGGCTTTTTTTTTTTTTTTTTTTTTGAGATGGAGTCTTGCTCTGTCACCCAGGCTGGAGTGCAGTGGCGCAATCTCAGCTTACTGCAACCTCCACCTCCCGGGTTCAAGAGATTCTTCTGCCTCAGGCTCCCGAGTATCTGGGACTACAGGTGAGTACTACCACACCTGGCTAATTTTTTGTATTTTTAGTAGAGACAGGGTTTCACTTTGTTAGCCAGGATGGTCTCCATCTCCTGACCTCGTAATCCACCCACCTCAGCCTCCCAAAGTTCTGGGATTACAGGCGTGAGCCACTGCACCCGGCTGCTACTTTTTTATAGAGATGGGGTCTCACTTTGTTGCCCAGGCTGGTCTCAAACTCCTGAGCTCAAGTAATCCTCCAGCCTTGGTCTCCCAAAGTGCTGGGATTATGGATGTGAGCCACCACTCCTGGCCTAGAAGTTGGGATTTAAATGCAGCTTTATTGGATTTCCAAATGACTAGGCCTCTTTAAAGTGCGGTTCATGTGTGAAAGGGGCCCTATTAGTCCTGACATCTATTTCCTTATCTGTAAACAGGGATAATAACTGTACCAACTACATGGGGATGTTGTAAGGATGAGATAATCCTAAACCCTGTGCATAGTAAAACTCAAAAACATTGGCTGTTTTTACCATTTAAAAAGACCCTCTTGGCCAGGCGGGTGGCTCAAGCCTGTAATCCCAGCACTTTGGGAGGCCAAGGTGGGTGGATCACCTGAGGTCAGGAGTTCAAGACCAGCCTGGTCAACATGGCGAAACCCCGACTCTACTAAAACTACAAAAATTAGCCGGGTGTGGTGACGGGCGCCTGTAATCCCAGCTACTTGGGAGGCTGAGGCAGGAGAATCGCTTGAATCCTGGAGGCAGAGGTTGCAGTGGGCCGAGACTGTACCACTGCACTCCAGCCTGGGCAACAGAGTGAGACTCCATCTCAAAAAAAAAAAAAAAAAAAAAAAAGACCCTCTCAAGAGAATGGGGAGATAATTGTTAAAGCTTGTGATAGGTATGTGGAGGTTCATCATACTATCCTTTTACATATCTTTGAAATTTTTCATAATACAAAGAAAAAAGGAAAAAAATTAACTACGCAGATATTATGTGTCACTAGCAGCCAAGACATCGATTAATACAGACTTATTGGAATAAATGATAGTTGCAGTGAAAACTCAGCAAATAAAAGCCTTCCTTTTGTAATTAAAAACAAACCCCTCTCAGGAAATTAGCCTTAAATTGTCTAGGGCGTTTTGGGGCAGACAAAGTAATCCTGTGGGTAAGGTTGAACCAGAAGATGAAGTTTGCTTAGATCTTCAAAAAGCCTTTGAATAAAGTTCCACAACCAAAGCTATTTACAAAACCAGAGGGGTGGGGAGAGAGAGAAGGGAGAGTGAGCACAGGCATGGAAATAGGTGAACGTTGGCAGTGTCTTGGAAAAGACAGCTGACTTTAGAAACAAGAAACAAAGGCAGGGTAGGGAGTCAAGAGCACTTCTCTTGATGGGGAAATGCAGAAGCGAATTCTCTTAGGCATTGGTGTGGAGACCAATCTTACTTGTCAGCCTCAGAGAGATCTCCAAGAAGGATGCCTAGTGACATCCCCGAGTCTGCACATGACCCAAAGCTTTTCCAGAGAAGGAAAAACCAAATCATAATGACCAATGGCAGGAAATGCCCAGAGATTGTGTGAGTTGTGGGGAAAATATCAGTTGAACTTCCATCTCATTATCACTGAAAATAAAACAAGTGCAATCTCTGAATTCTACTTAGAGGAGATAGGGTTTTTCTATTCAGAACATGGATCTTAATGTTAATGACAGGTTTAGTTTCACTTTGTTGCCCTGGCTAGTTTCGAACTTCTGGTTTCAAGTGATCCGCCCACCTTGGCCTCCCAAAGTGCTGGGATTACAGGTGTGAGCCACTGTGCCCGGCCTGTTGATTTATTTTTGAGTGGCTCCCATGTACCAGGAACTGTGCCAGACACAAAGGATACAAAGGCAGATAACAGCCTTATAGAAGGCAGGGTAGGGTACGGCTTAAAAGGACACTGAAATAAAAGGTTACGATTGTACCCTTGTACAAAACATAGTGTGTCTACAGGTGTTTTATCTTTTGTTTTTTTTTCGTGTGCATGTTGTTTTTGGTCCTGAAAGAGGAGAGCTGACGGGGATATGAACACCATCTGTGAAACCACCAAGGAAACAGATGGCGGTAAACACAGGTTTATTCAAACCAAATCCTAGTAAGCTAGAATTACAGGCTACTCTTTGAAATCCAAAAGAGATACACTTAGGATACATAAGATTAAATATGAATTTATACTGTTGTAAACTTATGAAACCTGAACTCAAGAGATAGTATAGGTTGAAACAGAAGTGAAGAAAGGGATATAACACCAATTTAACAGGATTTTTAGGATACTATCAAAGTTCTAAGCCCCACAAAGCAACAAAACAAAACCCAAGATAAGGCATGTGAGAAAGGATGTTTGTTCTCCCTAGCCTGGAAATAGTTTAAACAAAGGGAGAAAAGTGACAATGTGAAAACTGGTGAGATGCTTTCTTTCTTATTTTAAACAAAGAGATGCAATCATTTTTGGGAAATCTAATTAAGGTTTGAGCTTGTACTTTGATACTCTTTACTGACAACCTCTGCCCTGACAGCTCTATAAACAAGTGGGCTCAAGCGCCCCTCTTTTCCCAAGCTTACATAGATGGATCTGGATGGATGAGAGTTTTATGCTCTGAGTTCCAATTTTTCAGAAAGATGAATTCATTGTCCCCCAAAGTCTAGAGTTAGAGGGATAAAATGCCAAAAAGGGATTGAGATCCTTAAAAAGAGAATGCTGATGACTCTATTCAATAAACTAATAAAAACCTGATTAATGTTAAATATTTTAAACCAATGATAATTTGCTAAAAAATAATGGTGCTATGGTGTTGACCCCGTTCAGCTTGCTGAATACTTGTTGTATACACTGAGTCCGAGATTATTTTATGCTAGACTTGAATAAAACCAGCTCTCCTCATGATCTGTCTTTCCTTATAGGTAGAATTTAGAAAAAGGCAAAACAATGAAAAAAAAAAAAAAAGCCCAGGAAAACAAATAACATAATCCACCTCGATTTCAAGTTAGCATGACAGCACTTTTTTCATGCATTATTTGCAAGTCTTTTCCGAATAGATACATTTTTTTTTTTTACATAGTTGCAGTCATAGTTGACTTATTTTGATTTCCACTTTTAAAATGTTAAATCAGGCTGGGCACGGTGGCTCACGCCTGTCATCCTAGCACTTTGGGAGGCCAAGGCGGGTAGATTGCCTGAGCTCAGGAGTTCGAGACCAGGCTGGGCAACACAGTGAAACCCTGTCTCTACTAAAATACAAAAAAATTAGCTGGGAGTGGTGGCATGATCCTATAATTCCAGTTACTTGGGAGGCTGAGGTAAGAGAATTGCTTGAACCCTGGAGGCGGAGGTTGCAGTGAGCCGAGTTTGTGCCATTGCATTCCAGCCTGGGTGACAGAGCAAGACTCTATCTCAAAAAGAAAAAAAAAAAAAAAAAAAAATTAAACCAGTGGTTGTCAATTGGAGGTGATTTCGCTCCCCAGTGGGCATTTGGCAGGGTCTGGAAACATTTTTGATTGTCACAACTGGGGAGGGTTGTGCTACTGGCATCTAGTATACTGCTTAACATCCTGCAATCAACAGGAAAGTTCCCCACAACAAAGACTATCTGGTCCAAAATGTCAGTGATGTTGCCTGTTAGTTAAACATTAGTATTAAATCTCAGTTTCTAGTATGAACAATCATTCTTTTTTAATGCTTGAAGTCAACCCTTCACTGAGGGTGAAACTGCCATTGCCAAATTATAACTGAGACAGTGAAACAGATCTGACCTAACCAACTCCATCTTGATTCTAACCTCCAGGCTGTCCTTGTTCATTCCTGGGTGTAGGCTGAACTAACTTTGGGAGGATCTTAGTTTACAGTTTAGCTTTGAAACAAAGACGATAACAGCCCTTTCCCAAAACAAGTCCCCTTCCTACTTGTGAACCAGACTGCCTTTGCAGGACTAACAAATTAGCCACAAAATTAGAAATTATGGTTTAGGAGTCATGCGGCTGGAGGCCACAAGATTCTAAACCTCCCCAAAATCATTTCTCTGATGTTACACTCTTAGGCTGTTTCCAGATTTTCTCTGTTATAGATAATGCTGCAATGGACATCTTCACTGACTTTTTTCTTTTTTTCTGTTGAATTATTTCCTTAGGATAAATTCCCGGAAGTCAGAAATACATAATCAATGGATATTTCATGTTTTTCATGTTTCATGAGTTATATTGCCATTTTGCTTTACAAAGGGATTGAACCAAGACTGTGTTCCACCAGAAGTGTATAAGTATACCAGTTTTACCAAAACTCTGGCAGCCCTGGGTGTTACCATTTAAAAAGAGTAAGAGAAGGCACAAATCTCAGATATAAGATGGTACTTACAGTTTGCCTCAATATGCATATAAATTGTTAATCAAGATGAATGATTTTTTTCATATTTATTTTCTGTTACTCCTTTTAGGATATGAATTGTTTCTGTCTTTTGTTTATTTTTCTCCTGGTTCTCAATGATTTTCTTTTAAAATTGGAGGTAATCTTTACTGAGTATAGATGGTAAAGTTAATGAAACTATTTTACTTTTTTTTCTAGTTTTACTTCCTCCCACCACTGTCTAGCTATATTAATATTTCCTCTTGAAATTTTCATTTATAATTTTAATACTCTTTTTAGGTGCTGGTCACCTTACCCAACCTGCGGCCTCTACACAGAGAGGCCTTGGGGGAGAGGAAAAGCTTCTCCAGTGATTGATGTCAGCAGCTCACCGAGGTAAGAGCAATACTCTGTCTCTGAAAGTATCCCGGGAACTAATTTCCCTTAATCAAATGAAGGGCCTTAGGAGGAGCCACGAGGCAGAAATGAAAATAAATCTGAAGAATACCAAATTCTGTGAGGAGTTTGAAAGACCTGCATTAAAAAAGGGCACTGTACCTTCAGGACTGCAGCTCTGGCAATGTTCCATATGCAGCTATTAATATGCAAAAAATGCCTTCATAAATACTTGATTCTGTTCACAGTGGGGAAGCAGTTCATTTGAAAGAGGAAATGGGAGCTTGGAGTTGAAACATGTCTGGTTGTCTCCTTTTTCTTTTTTCATTGCTCTCTTTTCATCTCCACATTTCCCCTTGTAGTTTTCTTACCCCTGCCCCCACCACCTCACCCCCTCTTCCAACTCCTAGGAAGTTGCTGATATCAGTTGCTACTCTCGTTTCTTTTGATGGATTCGCTGCCTAGGCCCCGCTCCTTGGGTCAGGTGTGGAAGGGGTGCCTTGGGAACCATTCCCACCATTTGCCATCATCGTGTGCTGGAGGAAGGAGCCTAACCGTTTCTGCTCCCACTGCAGCTTGGACAGCCTCTGAGGAGACAAGGTGAAGGCTCTCCCATCACAGCGGTAGGGCCTCTGCAGAAGCCTCCAGCCCAGGGAACGCCGTCACCCCAGCCTCTGCAGAGCACCCTGTGGCTTTCTCTCCAACCCACACGCCAGAGATTGTTTTCAAAATCTAGGTCTGCGACTTCTCATTAGAGGGTGGTAATACCAGAATATCCACCTTTGACATGTCTTCCCCTCGCTCAGCTAGCAGGGTGATAAAAGTACAAATCTTTCATGTGACTGAACCCCTAATAGGGTCAGATCCCAAGGAAGGGAGGGAGGGGGCAGCCAGTGGGGGAACTGATGGAAAGGAACGGTGCTGCTAAGATCAGTATTGTGATGTCCTCTGCTTCAGGGTGGGAAAGGCCGCAGGGAAGGAATCCCCTGGATTGCCAGTGGCCCATCAAGGTAGGGAACTGAAATCAGCTGGACAGAAATTTGTTCTAAATGTGTTCCAGATGCTTTATAATAAACATGAAATTAGTCATTGCCATGGAGTAGGCTGAGGAAGTAGTTAAAACTGAAGTCAGTGATTAATCTAATAAGAGGCCATTAGCCTCGAGAAGTAAGCGGGGGTGCAGGAGGCCAGGAAGTCACCCCCACCTCCCTCCCACCCTGTTTTCTCTGTGTTTGGGGCTGGTGGGGCTCCCTAGACTTCTCCTCAGATGCCCTTTCTTTCCAGGGCTGCTTCTAAAGGAATTGGGACTACTGCGACTTGGACAAACCAATGGGTTCTGGTGGGAGCCACCCCATCATTTCACAAAGGAGGCAGGTGCATGGGCTTCTCAGGGAGCTGACTTTCCACAGCCTCACGGGGGGAACCAGCATGAGAGTTTAAGACCCCTCGCTCTGGTGTTCCTTCTTCTGACTACAAAGTTAACAATTCAACCTAGGATTTAATGTGACATGGTTGAGCCCCTCTTTCTTTTTTTTTGAGACGGAGTCTTGCTCTGTTGCCCAGGCTGGAGTGCAATGGAGTGATCTTGGCTCATTGCAACCTCCATCTTCTGCATTCAAGCGATTCTCCTGCCTCAGCCTCCCGAGTAGCTGGGATTACAGATGTGCGCCACCATGCCCAGCTAATTTTTGTATTTTTAGTAGAGACGGGGTTTCACCATGTTGGCCAGGCTGGTCTTGAACTCCTGACCTCGTGATCCGCCCACCTTGGCCTCCCAAAGTGCTGGGATTACAGGCGTGAGCCACTGCACCTGGCTGAGCCTCTCTTTCATTGCAGGTGATAGTAGCTCTTTTGGAATAGAACCGTGGGGCTGTGTGAATTTGGGGTGTGTTTAGGGTATGTGAGGCCTTTGCATGGCCTTTGGGTTGCAGAATTATCAAAATACACCATATTATGTTTTCCTTAGTCACACACTCTTTCAAAAACTCTGTCTCTAGATCCCGTAAATGGGATGTCTGCAAAGTGGGCATTTAAAATATGCAAATGTTGGTTCTGCAGCTCCTTGGCAGCAGGGAGGAGCCGCTCAGCTGCGTTTCACCTCAGTGGAGGCCTGACCCAGGCCTAGGGTTGTCACAGAGAGTTCAGGTCCTACCTCAGAGCCCAGCTCAGGCACGCAGATGAAAGCAAACCCGTTTCTTTATCATTATGTATAATGAGTGCTGGGGAAGAAGAGATAGCTAGGCTGTGGCAGGAAGGAAGGTGGACAGAATGGAGAAGTCAAGATCATGGCCTGGAGGTGTCACACAGTAGGATGAGACCTGGGAGTCCCCTGGAGCTGCATGTGCTGCCTCTGCCTCAGGTTCTCCGAGGCCCTGGATTCAGTTCTAGGAATTCCCCTGAGTTGTCTCTCTAGAGAGAATTTGGAGACAGTTCCAGCTTCAAAGCTTCCAAGGAAGGAACAAACTTATAAATATTTGTGAACATATGTCCTTGAACCACTAATAGATATTCTTTTTTTTTTTTTTTTTTCCTGAGACAGGGTCTCACTCTGGATTCTGGCTGCAGCATGATCTCAGCTCACTGCAACCTCCAACTCCCAGGTTCAAGCGATTTTCCTGCCTCAGCCTCCCAAGTAGCTGGGACCACAGGTGCATGCCACCACACCCGGCTAATTTTTGTATTTTTAGTAGACACGGGGTTGGTTTCACCACGTTGGCCAGGCTGGTCTCGAACTCCTGACCTCAGGTGATCTGCCTGCCTCAGCCTCGCAAAGTGCTGGGATTGCAGGCATGAGCCACTGTGACTGGCCCGCTAATAGAAATTCTTAATGTATCTAGATGAAGCACCATCCTCCTTTCTTCATGATTACCTTTGCACTTTGTTTTTCTTAATTGCTAATGTTTATCTCTAATTACGAATTACTAATTTTACGAATGAAAACTAGTGCCTACTGCCTCACTGGATGCCACCTTTCTGTGTTCCCTTATTCCCTTTCTGACTTTGCAGAAGTCAGGGAAAGACCTTGAGCTTATTCACACAAGTAAAGAGCCAAATAATACAGTCCAAGTTAAGACATTCCAAGTCTAAGAGTAAAGGAACCTCTGTGATTTCATAGTCTACTTGTCTCATTTTACTGATTAGGCAAATGAGGCCCAGAGAGGTAAAGAGTCTCACTGAGGGGCACACAGCAAGCTGAAACAAGAACCCAAGAGTTGTGACTCCTAGTGTCATCCTCATTCAGAGTCAATACTATACCTGCTTCTCTGTTGTTTGGGTCAACGGTGAGGTTTCATAAAGGTTCATGTGAAGATTGGCTCTAGGTTCAGTGTTTGCTGTAGTGAAAATCAAAGAGGAAAAAAGATCAAGGTGGTCAGATCTGGATCTCATGACTTTTTATATATACCATACACACACACACACCTAGTTCATATGTATGTAAGATTATAAGCACATATACACCCATGGCATTCATAATTTACTCACCAAAAAACACCTGTAACCTCTATAGGCATAGCCTAAACACCATGTTAAACATAGTGTTAAGACCTTATATTCAAACATATATTATTCTTGTTTTGGTTGCTCTTTAAAAGAACAAAAGTAAATTCTTTATGCTATTAAAATTCAGATAAAGCTGAAATTAAAAAGGAAATATTGATGGAAAAAAATCTGCTGATGCTGTTGAGTATAAATTTTGTATGACTGCACTTCACTGAAGTAGGAAAAGGCTTCTGCAAACTTCCAAATAGAGAGATCAGAGGCTTCCCTTTTTCCTCATAATGTGGAGGGGCAAGAGGAAGGGTGGAAACATGAATCAAACAAAGGCAAACGCCAAAGTGGGGATGGAGGGAGGGGACTAACAGAAACCATGGAAACCGCGGAGCCAGCCGGGAAGAAGGCACCACCCGGACACCAGCATGGGGCTGTCGTGTGATGGCCATGACTCCCCTCCATGTTGTCATTGTCAATGTTCTCTATAGGTGTGGCAGCTGAGGTGCAAAAGGTATAGTAACCCACTCAAAGTTGTACCACTAGTGAGGTTTTGAGTAAGGATTTCCCTCCAAGACTGCCCGACCCTAAAACTCCATGGCGCAAAAGGATAGGTTTTATTTTGCTTTTCTTTTTTTTCCCTTAAGAAAGTAAATTTGGTCAGGTGCGGTGGCTCATGCTTGTAATCCCAGCACTTTGGGAGGCCGAGGTGGGTGGAGTGCTTGAGGCCAGGAGTTCGAGACCAGTCTGGCCAACAAGGTGAAACCCCATCTCTACTAAAAATACAAAAATTAGCCGGGCGTGGTGGTGCGCGCCTGTAGTCGCAGCTACTCCGGAGGCTGAGGCAGGAGAATCACTTGAACCTGGGAGGCAGAGGTTGCAGTGAGCTGAGATCACGCCACTGCACTCCAGCCTGGGTGACAGAGTGAGACTCCATCTCAAAAAAAAAAAAAAAAAAAGTAACTTTAATGTTCTAAAGGAATGTTTATTTGAGGAATAGATTTAGCTAAGCACATGGCTCTACTGACGAAGGGTTTAGTTTCTTCTGTGGGACGAATGTCCAACAAAAAGTTCTTTCCATACTTGATACTCATAAGTAGCTCTTTTAGGAGCCAATGGCCATATATGACTCTGTATCTTTGTCTTTTTGAACTTAAGCCTCTACTCATTCTTTGTGGGCTGACCTTCCCTTTTCTGTTGTTTCTCAGCTATCTTCTTCTCTTTGAAAATGGCTTTTGCACAGATTTAAAACATTTCTTAGCAGAGTGGTGGCGCGTGCCTGTAATCCCAGCTACTCAGGAGGCTGAGGCACAAGAATCACCTGAACCCGGGAGGTGGAGGTTGCAGTGAGCCGAGATTTACCACTGCACTCCAGCCTAGGTGACAGTGAGAGGTGACAACGTGCTAGCAGCCCTTGCTTACTCTCGGCGCCTCGTTGGCCTCCGCGTCCGCTCTGGCGTGCTGGAGGAGCCCTTCAGCCCGCCGCTGCGCTGTGGGGCCCTTCTCTGGGGCTGGTCGAGGCCTGAGCCTCTGCTCGCCGGGAGGTGTGGAGGGAGAGGCGCAGGCAGGAGCCGGGGCTGCGTGCAGCAGCTCGCTCGTCGGCCGGCGCGGGTTCCGGGTGGGCGCGGACTGGGCCTGTCGCGGCCGACGCCTGCTGGGCTTGATCGGGGGATGAGCTCCCTCTGGGCTGCCGGAGTGCCTGGGCTAGGTGCCGCAAAGTCCCGCAGCGAGTGCTATTGAGAGGTGAAGCCTACTGGGCTTCTGGGTGGGGTGGGGCCTTGGAGAACTTTTCTGTCTAGCTAAAGGATTGTAAATGCGCCCATCAGCAATCTGTGTCTAGCTAAAGGATTGTAAACGCACCAATCAGCAGTCTGTCAAAACGGACCAATCAGCTCTCTGTAAGGACGAACAACGCCAGACAGGAGGAATGAACAACTCCGGATGCGCCACCTTTACAAACTGTAACACTCACCGCGAAGGTCTGCAGCTTCACTCTTGAGGCCAGTAAGACCACGAACCCACCGGAAAGAACGAACAACTCCAGACGTGCTGCCTTTAAGACCTGTAACACTCACCATGAAGGTCTGCAGCTTCACTCCTGAAGTCAGCGAGACCACGAACCCACCAGAAGGAATAAACTCTGGACACACCACCTTTAAGAACTGTAACACTCACCACGAAGGTCTGCGGCTTCATTCTTGAAGTCAGCGAGACCAAGAACCCACCATTTCCGGACACAACAGAGTGAGACTCTGTTTCAAAAAAAATTTTTTTTTTTTTTAAATTTGAATCAGCTTGGGGGAAACTGAGGCCCTGAAAGCATTTTCATTCAATTGGCTCAAGGGCACACCTTGAAATAACACAAGACCAGGACCCAGAACCCAGATGTCCTGACTTAGTGTCTTGCACTTTCCCCTCCACATCACACTGCCTCCCGTTAGCTTCAATGAGCTTGCCACATCACAGCTGCTTTGGCCATGATCCACACTTGGGACAAATCCAGCCCAGCAGAATTGTGTTGTGATGAGGTTCACTACACTGTGGCTTGGAAGGAACCATGGGCCTCTTAGAAATGAAACTTATGAATTCTAATGCATAAGGAAAGTTCTTGCAACACCAGGAGAATGAATCAGTCAGCCAGAGTTCAAGAAATGTAAACACATTTTTAGATAGGAGACTGAAAAATCACTTAGGACTTCTCCATCTCTTGGGTCAAGACCTTGGTAATTTACTGAGGTCCAAGCTGTCAAGGAGGAGACACAACTCAAACTGCATTCCTGGTAGACAGAACAGTGGGGGTGGTAAAACCTCCTTTCAGAACGATGCGGCAAGATCAAGTCAAAGAAACTGTTATCAAGTCAAAGAAACTGATTAACCCATCGACCAACCCAGGTAACTGGCTGCAAACAAAGGCCTGGTTCTTTTTTGTCATTCAGAAACTGGTGTGCACATTCCAGTTTTTACAGTGTATACAGGTTATACAGACTATAGGCTGCACAACTTCCAGGCATGCCTGAAACTGGGAGTTCACAGTCTTTCTGTGATGAACATTTCTGCCACTAAAGAGATAAACAGAAAACACATTCCTTCCTTGGCTGCCCACCATCAGGCCTTAGCAGATTTTCAAATGCTAGCATTAATCTAACCACAGGCTTTTAGTGAGGAGATAGCATTCCCACCAGATAATCAGGCAGTTTTAGAGATGACCCTTACTAGATGGGGTTCTCATCCCAAGCCTCTTCTGCCTTCTTCAAATCATGGACTCCTTCACCAAACACTCAAAACTTGAAAAGCAGGAAAGGGCATCTGATTCTAGCAGGGAATATGGCTCCTTAACATTTCCTTCTATTTAAATCTGCATTGGCTATGTTTAATTCCCAGGTCATTGTTTGTTGTTTTCAATAAAAATGAAACATAGTCGGCAGGGCGTGGTGGCTCACGCCTGTAATCCCAGCACTTTGGGAGGCCAAGGCGGGCGGATCACTTGAGGTCAGGAGTTTGAGACTAGCCTGGCCAACATGGTGAAACCCTGTCTCTACTAAAAATACAAAAATTAGCCAGATGTGGTAGCGGGCGCCTGTAATCCCAGCTACTTGGGAGGCCGAGGCAAGAGAATCACTTGAACCCAGGAGGCGGAGGTTGCAGTGAGCTAAGATCGTGCCATTGCACTCCAGCCTGGGCAACAAGAGCGAAACTCTGTCTCAAAAAAGAAAGAAAGAAAGAAACATAGTCATATTTATTCCCATTGTTTCAGGATGCATATTTGCCTTGGTATGGGACCCTCTTTTGGGCCCCATCTGGTGTCAAAATAGAGATCAGCTCCAAAGAGTCACCTTATTAGGCCAGGCGGGCCACCTGGCTCCTTCCTAGATACATGTCAGGGTTTGGGAAAGAATATCACACCCGTAGGGTCCAAAGTGGCCAAATATCCAGTGGTTACAAGGGCAGTAGCTGTTGGAGGTGCTGGCAGGAGCTTCTTTAAATCCGTTCAGGGCCTTTGTCTATGTATATCATTTCTGAGGCATGCACACCCTTTGATGGCTAACATGCTGTCATGGAACATACCCCATAACTTGCAATGTTTCATCACCATGGAGGGGATATATCCATTGCCAAACAGGTCTCAGAAAGCATCTTTGCCTTCTCATAGCTTTGCACAGGGACTTGCTGGCCCCAGCAGGAACCAATGGGAGAAGGCCTGAAAGTCAGCCTCAGTCACTTCATGGTTTTGTGTTTTTTTGGTCATAAATGGAAAATGCAAATGCAAATTCCAGATTATTAAAAAAAAAAAATTCTCCCCAGTATAAACTTAACCATAAAAGGAAGGATAATTTTGGTCCTTCTGACCTTTCCTTAAGAATATCTAAAAATACTTTATTTTATATGATGTGACTCAAGACACCTATGACCTACAGAGTGTTTGTAGTATTATAATAAATTTTGAGTCTGCTTGTTTAATGCAGGAGACTAAGACCCAAGATGGCCTTTTGGTATTGTCATTATCAAATTCTTGGGACGAGATTTAAGATCCTGTTTATGCTACACATTTTCACTTTAAATCTTCCTGAATGAGGAGGAGGGTGAGATGGGCGTAGGGAATAGTTGCTGGAGGCCTGAATAAGTCTCCAGGCAAAAGACATCCCCCTGGGAGCTCTAACTAGGGAGTCAAGTAGACAGATCTAGAAAATATGAGTCAGTCTGAATTTAAATATGGAAGTACCCAGTAAATGCAAGGGCAATATTTTTCTTCCAATTTGGGATAACAGTCCTTTTACTTATATCTTTTTAGATTAAGCCTAGCTAAGTCTCAAGGGTCTAGCTTTAGCTTTGGGAATACCAATCTCTCTCAAAAGTTCATAAATTATTTTTTATGGAAAGGTCTAAAGGCACATGGCAGTTTACCAAGCCCAGAATGAAAGCCTAGCTAGAGGACTGAATTTAAATTCGAGATGCATAACAGCAAAATGTCAACCACGCGAGAAACCCTCCAATCAAGAAACATCACAGGATTAATAAGGATATCTATGGTGGAAGACTGTGTGGAGGAAAGTAATTCAGAAAAAAGGCTGAAGGTGGAACTGCATACAAAACAGCCAGCAAATGTCATTCACGTGGTGGTCTCCATTCTCCAGAAAAAAAAAAAATATATATATATATATATATATTTTTTTTTAGACAGTCTCACACTGTCGCCCAGGCTGGAGTGCAGTGGCACGATCTTGGCTCACTGCAAGCTCCACCTCCTAGGTTCACGCCATTCTTCCACCTCAGCCTCCTGAGTAGCTGGGACTACAGGCACCTGCCACCTCACCTGGCTAATTTTTTTTTTTTTTTGTATTTTTAGTAGAGACGGGGTTTCACCGTCTTAGCCAGGATGGTCTCGATCTCCTGACCTCGTGATCCACCCACCTCTGCCTCCCAAAGTGCTGGGATTACAGGCTTGAGCCACTGTGCCTGGCCTGAAAAAAAAAATATATATATATATACGCATATATATATGTATATATGTATATATATACATATATACTATATATATACATATATACTATATATATATACATATATACATATATATATACATACATATATATATATGTATTTTGTGAGGAGTCTTGCTCTGCCGCCCAGCCTGGAGTGCAGTGGCACAACCTTGGCTCACTACGACCTCTACCTCCTGGGTTCAAGCAATTTTCCCTGCTTCAATGTACCCCTCCCGCGTAGCTGGGATTACAGGTGTGTGCCACCATGCCTGGCTAATTTTTGTATTTTCAGTAGAGACGGGGTTTTGCCATGTTGGCCAGGCTGGTCTTAAACTCCTGACCTCAGGTGATCTGCCTGCCTCGGCCTCCCAAAGTGCTGGGATTACAGGTGTGAGCTACCACAACTGGCCAGAAAATATTATTTTTGGTCACTTCTTCTCAAACAAATAAAGATATCTGGGGTCCCAGTCCCTAGTCTTATCTCTTCCAATCCAGTCTCTACATAGCTGGGAGTCATTTCTATAAAATAAAAATCTGGTGATGTCAATTCCTGTGTAAGCAGAGTCCCACCATCATTGGCGTAAATTCCTTAGCTGCTTTCATTTTTAAAAATTTTTTGAGATGGAGTTTTGCCCTTGTTGCCCAGGCTGGAGTGCAATGGCATGATCTCGGCTCACCACAAACTCTGCCTCCTGGGTTCAAGCGATTCTCCTGCCTCAGCCTCCCGAGTAGCTGAGATTACAGGCATGCACCATCACGCCTTGCTAATTTTGTATTTTTAGCAGAGATGGGGTTTCTCCATCTCTGGTCAGGCTGGTCTTGAACTCCCGACCTCAGGTGATCTGCCTGCCTCGGCCTCCCAAAGTGCCAGGATTACAGGCATGAGCCACCGCACCAGGCCTCTTAGCTGCTTTCTATGGCCCTTTATGATCTGGCTCCTGCCTCCTTTGCAAGGTGCATTTTTCATCACTCCTTCCCCTGCATGTACCCTGGGGTGCAGTCATTACAAGTTGCTTCAGTTTCTCCATGCTGCCATGCTCTCTCACCTTTATATTGTCCTTTCTCCTAGAGCATCCTTTCTTTACCACTCGGCTAGTTCCTACATACATTCTTAGAAACTCTGCTTAAGTGTCCTCTCCTTCCAAAAGCCTTCTCAACCTCCAGGCTGAGTCAGTCTGAACTCGTTCATAGCTCTCAACACATTCCACCCCTGTGGACTACTTTAAGGCATGGACGTGGTCTCTCAACTGTATTTTTGTGCCTACCATAGTATTTGTCACTAGTAGATGGACAATTAGTGTTTGTTGAATAAATGAATGAGCAATATCTTTCTGCTTTGTAAAACATACTCACAGACTGGGCCCAGTGGCTCACGCCTGTAATCCCAGCACTTTGGGAGGCTGAGGCAGGTGGATCACCTGAGCTCAGGAGTTTGAGACCAGCCTGGCCAACATGGTGAAACCTCATCTGTACTAAAAATACAAAAAATTAGCCAGGTGTGGTGGCGTGCGCCTGTAATCCCAGCTACTTGGGAGGCTGAGGCAGGAGAATGGCTTGAACCCGGGAGACAGAGGTTGCAGTGAGCGGAGATTGTGCCATTGCACTTCAGCCTGGACAACAAGAGCCAGACTCCATCTCAAAACAAACAAACAAAAAAACATACTCACAGATTCTTTCTGTTGAACACAGTCTGATTCTGATGTCTACATTAATTTTCAAAGGAGGGATTATGGGGAAACCAAGACAATAGCAAAATCCTCAGGCCACAGAGAGATGTATGAAAGGAGCAAGGGAGAGAAACTAGGCGGGAAACATCCTTAAGAAAAGACTCATACTTCTTTCTTTGTTTTTTATTTTATTTATTTATTTATTTATTTTTGAGATGGAGTCTCGCTCTGTTGCCAGGCTGGAGTGCAGTGGCACAATCTTGGCTCACTGCAACCTCTGCCTCCTGGGTTCAAGTGATTCTCCTGCCTGAGCCCCCAGAGTAGCTGGGACTACAGGTGCCTGCCACTGTGCCTGGCTAATTTTTGTATTTTTGGTAGAGATGGGGTTTCACCATGTTAGCCAACCTGGTCTCGAACTCCTGACCTCAAGTGATCCTCCTGCCTTGGCCTCCCAAAGTGTTGGGATTACAGGTGTGAGTCACTGCGACTGGCCTTAAGCTTCTTTATAGTTGTGATGAGAAGACAACATAAATGTCTGAAGGGTGATTAAATAGAAAATACTATTTAAGAATTACTAGTTAATGAAAGTTATAATTTTTGATCACTCTGACAGAAGAAAATTTAATATTCTAAACTTTAATATAGGTTGAGAAATATAACTCACACACAAAATCCTAAGATCTACACCTGCTTTAAAATGCATTGTGCTAAGTATTACTTCACTACTTGGGCAAGGTCCTGATCCCTTAATGCATATCATGCACTAAATGAACAGCAGATCCTGGCTACTTGGGAAGGACACATCCTGAGAATTTTAAGAATCCTTAGATTTGTGAATACTCCTAGTGTGTATCTATTGGTGATAAAACTAAAAAAGAATTGGAAAAAGAGAGAGAGTTCTTTGGACTCTTAATGAGACTATAAATAAAGGCTTAGAGTGATTTATTAAACTATTTTTTTGGCAGAGAACCATCACATTGTTAGACCACTTCACTTTCTCTTACTTCCATCACGAGTCCCAGCAGTCAGCTTTTTTTTAGGGCCATTAAAAATGCATGTGTATGTATCTATGTATATGTAAAGAAATCAATGTTCTTCTGTTTGAAAAGTAACTGCACAAGAGCTATTGCAGATGTTATAATGAATTATAGACCACAATATGAGACGTGTGAGTGCTGCGAGGCTGGCTAGGCTCACTCACTAGCTCAGTAATAGTCTCTGTCTCCCAGCCTTGCAATATCAATGATTTGACTTCATGCCTCTGTAAAATGACAAATTGTGTGTGTCCCTGATGTTTTATTTATTTATTTTTTAAATATTTTTAGAGACAGGGTCTTGCTATGTTGGCCGGGGTGGTCTTGAATCCTAGCCTCAAGTAATTCTCCAACCTTGGCCTCCCAAAGTGCTGAGATTACAGCCATGAGCCACCACACCGTGCCACTCCCCTGACTTCTGAGGTCATTTCAAATAGCTGAAATCAACCTTCATGTCCACAAATACCCAAAGACTACCATCTACACAATCCTTTCAGAATCCTATCACTTTTATCTGAAAATAGTAATTAAAACCAAATGACCAAAAAGAACACAAAAAATTGTGAAAGCTCTAGGCCAGGCGTGGTGGCTCATGCCTGTAATCCCAGCACTTTAGGAGGCCGAGGCGGGTGGATCACCTGAGGTCAGGAGTTCGAGACCAGCCTGGCCAACATGGTGAGACCCTATCTCTACTAAAATTACAAAAATTAGCCGGGTGCGGTGGCGGGTGCCCGTAATCCCACCTAGTAGAGAGCCTGAGGCATGAGAATCACTTGAACCTGGGAGATGAAGGTTGCAGTGAGCCAAGATTGTGCCACTGCACTCCAGCCTGGGCAATAGAGTGAGACTCTGTCTCAAAAAAAAAAAAAAAATTGTGAAACTTCTATAGGTGTTCCAACGAATAGATGTTTTAAATTGGTCTTTGAACTCAGTTCCAGGGGGTATCAGGTATTTTATTTTTTTATTTATTTATTTTTTTGAGATGGAGTTTTGCTCTTGCTGCCCAGGCTAGAGTGCAATGGTGCGATCTTGGCTTACCGCAACCTCTGCCACCGCGACCCTGCCGCTGGCAGGAGAAGCAATTCTCCTGCCTCAGCCTCCTGAATAGCTGGGATTACAGACAGGTGTGAGCCATTGCGCCTGGCCCAGATACTTTCAAAGTAGTGTTATATCTATTCCCTTAGCAACAAATGGGGAATATTAAGCACAAAGTGATGTAAAAATGTTTTTGTTAAGGTCATTGGGCAAATCAAGGGAACAAATAAGGTTCTAAGTTGTGAAAGAGGCACCCTATGCTTATATGTGGAATGCATTTTCCTGTGGAGGCTGTTCTGCATAGTGATTAAGTTTCCAAGTCAACCTGAAAAAAAAAAAAAAAAGGCCTGTTTCACCCATGTTGTAGCTAAACCTTTTCAATCATCAAATGCTTATGCTGCACTGACAGTAGGTATGTGTTAGCAGCATATTACCAGGTAATAGGGTTGCTGGTGGGCCCCTGCCCTTAAAAAGATTGCAGTCTAGTGACTGAGTGTGGTGCCTCACGCCTGTAATCCCAGCACTTTGAGATGCCAAGGTGAGAAGATGGCTTGAGCCCAGAAGTTGGAGACCAGTCTGGGCAACATGGTGAAACCCCATCTCTACCAAAAAAAAAAAACCCCCAAAAAGACAGGCATGATGGCAAGCACCTGTAGTCCCAGCTACTCAGGAGGTTGAGATGGGAGGATCGCTTGAGCCCAGGAAGTCAAGGCTGCAGTGAGCTGAGATCCAGCCACTGCACTCCAGTCTGGGCAACAGAGGGAGACCCTGTCTCAAAAGAAAAGAAAAGAAAAAAAGCTTGCAGTTTCATGGAGAGAAAAGTCTAGTCAGTGGACAATGCAGTGAGTGAGCTGCTGTGGCTGTAACTGGGTAAGCATGGTTCATTGTGCACATGTTGGTGGTGAGTGTCACCCCATCGGCAGGGAGGGGGAAGGGAAGGAGGGTGAGGGGAAAGTGGAAAAACCTTTGTGGGGAGGTCAGTTTGAGGCCTAAATTGGGAAGTGAAGGATTAGCAGGAGTTAACTAGGACAAGGGGTAAAAGTCAGGGGATAACAGAAAGTAGAATGGTGGTTGCCAGGGGCTAGGGGAGGGAGGAGGGGGAGTTGTTTAATGGGTATAAAGTTTCAGTTTTGCAAGATGAAAAGAGTTCTGGAGACTGTTTGCACAATAATGTGAATGTACTTAACGCCACTGGACTGCACACTAAAAATGGTTCAGATGACAAATTTTATGTTATCTGTATTTTACCGCAATTAAAAAATGTTGGATAGGAGATGAGGAACTGTGCTCCAGGCAGAGGGAACAGTACATTCTAAAGCCTGGAAATAGGAAAGAGATTTGCATTAGTCCAAGGTCTTTTAGTTACTAGGAATAGAGGCGAGAAGGATCAAAACGTTCTCTCCATTTCCTGGATCTACAGCTTTCTGCGAGGCCTCCTGTAATAGGCTAAGTTAGCCTTTGGGGCACTGTCATGGCCCCTTCTGTACTTTTCTCCTTCTAGTGTCCCCTTCTCCATGCAGCTGATGTTCTGCTGTTCATCTGAGCCCCCTGGGGCACTCCATGGGCCAGGCATATTTCAACCCTTAAGCTCTATATACTTCCAAATTACTCACCTTTGTTTCCACCCCATCAGAATTTTTAGTCCCTCAGAGCAGCTGTTTCTAGCTAGGTTGCAAGAGAGCAACTATCTGATTAAATACACTTTTACTAAAGTGTGACAGACTATTCACCTCTCTGAAGTTTCAGAATCTTAAGAGGATACTTCTTAATCCAAGGTTAGTTTTTTATTGGTGAGATTTTAATAGTAGAATGAAGGGAAATGGTAACATTTTAGGTGCTATTAGAAAGAATATTTTGGTTTGCAGAGCTAGCCGGTAAACAGGCTTATCTTGCTTGAAAATTTGTTTCAGGACTTTGATTCTCCCAAACTGTTACTTTTTTTTTTCCAGCTTCTCCTCTTCTCCCTATGATATCTCTAGAAGTTGCAAATCCTTTTTAGTGTTACCCACAAAAGGGTGTCTGATGCTGAGTAGGGGGAATTGGAGGGGGAAACGGAGGTTGGACAGAAGCCATTTGTTTGCATATGTCATTACTAAGTCAAGGACTTCCTAAACTCTCATATATTGTCAGATGGAATTGCCCCTCTTTAGACCAATGCTACTATGAACCATGCTTAGTCATAAAAATACAGGTTCCTTGGGTTCAAATCCTAACTTTACTACTTTGTGTGACCTTGGGCAAGTCACTTAACCTCTCTTGAGCCACATTGTCCTAGATGAAAAATGAAGATAATAATAGGATTTATCTCCTATCACTACTGTAGGGATGAAATGAAATAATGAATGCAAAGCACTCAGCATGATGTTTGGCATATCAGGAATATATAACAACAGTAGCTGTCACCACCACCACCACCACCACCACCACCACCACCACCACCATCATCATCATTTTTACTGAGGGCTCCTATTTAAGAGCTGCTCTGGCCCAGTTCTAACCAATGCATGAGAATGAACAAAAATGGCATGGAAACTCTTTCTACCTTCGTCAGGATGTCTGCCCAAGGAAGATGGCAAGGGGGAATGCAGAGGGCCAGACTCCCAGATATTTCTCTGCTTACAGATTTTGAGATTGGCAAGGATACAGTTGTGACTTTTCTCTTAGTTTTGCAATCTCTGGCAAAAACAATCCTTCCACCCTGATTTGCCTATAGCCCTTGATCTGTGGCACTGCCTCCCGCCTGTTCCTACAGCAGCTTCTTCATGCAGGATTCATTGCTGCCCAGCCCCAAAAGAAGCAGCCAGGAGGCCAGGAGTGGTGGCTCATGCCTGTAATCCCAGTACTTTGGGAGGCTGAGGTGGGCAGATTACGAGGTCAGGAGTTCGAGACCAGCCTGGCCAATATGGTGAAGCCCCGTCTCTACTAAAAATACAAAAATTGGCCAGGCTTGGTGGCAGGCGCCTGTAATCCCGCCTACTCAGGAGGCTGAGGCAGGAGAATTGCTTGAACCCGGGAGTCAGAGGTTGCAGTGAGTCAAGACCTTGCCATTGCACTCCAGCCTGGGCGACAAGAGCGAAACTCCATCTCAAAAAAAAAAAAAAAAAAAAAAAAAAAAAAAAAAAAGCAGCCAGGAACACCACTCACATTTCTCTGTTAATCAAAGACTATTTTTAGGAGAGAAAGTCTCCAGGTCATCATCCTTCCCTTGGTCTGAAGCAGCAGCAGCCATGTCTGTGGGTGGAGGATGAGCTACAAAGTCAACCTATACTCCCAGTTTTTGCAGATCTCTCCATGGGGGAAATGAAATAGAAAAGGAATCTGAGGAGAGGCAGACCTGGCCTCAGTCTTCCATTGAAAATACAAGCCTGAGTCTTTCCCAGATCGGCTCCTAGCTTGTGGTGTGTGCAGGCTGAGGGATGCACGACTCCAGGGGACAATGTCTACCTCATTATTTAGGGAATTGTGCAGTGGATTACCTGCAGGACCCACAGGACATCCCTGCAAATTATCCTTCCCCAGGCCAGCTAAGCCCAAGCACTTGGTTCCACCCGACGTCTCTTCCTCACTAATATTTACACTCAGACCACGGGGCTGTCCATGAGTAACTCAACAGAACAACACATTTCTCAGGCTTTCCAAGAAGCAAATCCTCTCTGCTACTTATTGGTATATTTGGGGAGAAATTGTGGGTTTCTGGAGGTCTATATATGAAATAATATGATCATGAGTCAAATTACATAGAGAAGTCGAGGTGACTTTTTAGTGGAAAAGCTTACCTTTTAGGAAATGCTGACTACTAGGCCCTTCCTCTTCATGGCTGATATTTGAATTGACAGATTCATAGGCTGAAAAACAGTAAGATATTTTACCTGAGAGCGGGAAAAAGTCTTGTAAAAATTTATTCCCTTATCCGAAGACAGGGGAAAACATGAAGTGATTGCCTCAGTGTTTAAGCTTTGCAATGAACTGTTTCTTTTTTTTAAATTTTTGAGATGGAGTCTCTTTCTGCTGCCCACGCTATAGTGCAGTGGCACGATCTCGGCTCACTGCAACCTCTGCCTACAGGGTTCAAGCAATTCTTCTGCCTCAACCACCTGGCTAGCTGGCATTACGGGCATGTGCCACCACGCCTGGCTAATTTTTTGGATTTTTAGTAGAGATGGGGTTTCGTCATGTTGGCCAAGCTGGTCTCGACTCCCGACCTCAAGTGATCTGCCCACCTCAGCCTCCCAAAGTGCTGGGATTACAGGCGTGAGCCACCGCACCGGCCTTGAATTGGATGTTTTTGAAAATCCACAGATGATATTCTGGAGAGAAGGTTGATCTAGGATTAAAAAAGCATTGAGGAAAATAATGTTTTTATCTAAGATGTTTAAAGGTAAAATTCTGTAGGGTCCATGATGATAAAATTCTGTAAGAAGAACTTTTGACAAAATAAGATCATGAAACAGTTAACGTTTGACACATGCTGCAAGATGCCCAGATTTGAACAGCAGCTGTGTCTCAGTGTGTGCAGCCATGGGGGATGACAGACACGCACAAAAAGCCCCCCTCTCCAGTTGTAGCACAAACAGAGTGTTGGACCAGGGGAGCCAGGAGGGATTCTAGTCCATCTGATTCTAGCCAAAAAGACAGACAGGCTTTTTCACAGCCCCTGATGAATTTTTTTTTTGTGATCTGCTAGTCACCTGGGGTGAGAATTATTTTCCTAGCTACCCTTGTCAGTCAAAATGAAAATTAGTTAAAACAATGCTGTCTTAATGACTGATGAGAATTAGAATGAGACTTGTGAAAGTTAAGGGAGAGGTAATAGCAAAGAGGTCAATTGAGTGGGTCCTATATGAAGGGTTTTTTATTTTTATTTTTTGAGATAGAGTTTCGCTCTGTCACCAGGCTGGAGTGCAATGGCACAATCTTGGCTGGCTGCAACCTCCACCACCTGGGTTCAAGCAATTCTCCTACCTCAGCCTCCCAAGTAGCTGGGACTACAGGTGCCTGCCACCAACACCCGGCTAATTTTTTTTGTATTTTTAGTAGAAACAGGGTTTCACCATGTTGGCCAGGCTGGTCTCGACCTCCTGACCTCAGCTGATCCACCTGCTTCTGCCTCCCAAAGTGCTGGGATAACAGGTGTGAGCCACCATGCCCAGCAGGAAGAAAGGTTTTTTAAAGGGAAATTTGGTGTGTTTGTATGAGAGAGAGAGAGAAGCGGAGAGAGAGAGAAGGGAGAGGGAGGTGTGAGATATCGGGGAGAGAGCAACAGAGAAGAAAAAAAGGAATCCTAGAAAATTCAAACCGGAAAAGACTTAGAAATCTTCTAGTCTGCCTAGCCACCAAACTCATCTCCAAATAATTTTATTTATTTATTTTTTGCTTCATCGTCTCATTACCAATAACAAATAGACTAGAGAGGATGCCAAGAAAGAATGTTTGGGTTTTACTGATTTGCTAAACTGCGGTGGGGCTTGACAAAGCCTGCCTCTCGGTGCTCCTGCATCTCAGGGCACACACACGGTCACGTGCGCACCGATAGCTGAGGCTGAGCAGGCGGCCTGGGATTCTGAGCATCAACACTGGAGAGAGGAAAAGCCGTAATTAGTGTTAATTGTTGACCCTACGGTTCAAGAATAGATGCTCTGGAGAATGGGAAATGAGAACAAACATTAATTATTGAGTAGGGACCTTGGAGACAGACACTCTGGATTAAACGGAGAGAGATAAATTGCATAATGAATGTTAATTTTCCCTCAAAGAATTGAGTGGTGGGTGGTTGAAAGGGAAAAGGAGGCTAAAAAACAGTCACGAAAGAGAAAGCTCTGTGTGTCAGGCGAGAGGGCGGAGGAGGGCTACACGAACACCGTCTGTCACCGCCACCGCCCTGCCCTTTGCCTCGTAGCTCCCAAGAAGTTTGCTCTCAGGGTTTTCCTTAGAACTCATTATTTACCACAGCTGCCTGCTAGGAAGCTCAACCATTTCCCCTACAGCCCAGGAGCCAGAAAACAGCCACACTGCACTGCTGACAAGCTGAGAGGCACATGGCATGGGGATCTATTTTTTTCTGTGTGCTGGTGGGACTTTTGACTTGGCTTGAGGGAGGCTGCCAGAGCGGTGGCCCTGTGGGTGCTGCTGTGGGGACAATGTGGGCTCCAGGCCTTAGTTGTTGTTTTCGCTTAATTACAATACAGGAGACACACATGCCCCCCTTTCCGAAACAACCTTCTTAACTGAAAGTAAAAACAGAATAAAGATAATTTGGGCTGGGCGCTGTGGCTCACGCCTGTAATCCCAGCACTTTGGGAGGCCGAGGCAGGTGGATCACCTGAGGTCAGGAGTTTGAGACCAGCCTGACCAACACAGTGAAACCCCATCTCTACTAAAAATACAACAAATTTAGCCAGGCGTGGTGGTGCACCACCTGTAGTCCCAGCTACTTGGGAGGCTGAGACAGGAGAATCTCTTGAACCCGAGAAGCGGAAGCTGCAGTGAGCCGAGATCGTGCCACTGCACTCCAGCCTGGGCAACAAGAATGAAACTCAGTCTCCAAAAAAAAAAAAAAAAAAGAGCGGATTTGAGTAGAAGATTGGAGATGAGCATTGTAGCCAATTTTATAAAGAGGATCTGCAAACAGTCTTGTCATGGGCGACCCAGATCTCAGAGTGCTGGTTGAGATGCTCACGTCCAGTCAGTGGCCCTAGGGAGCATGCCTTTTAGGCATGGCTGCTCACTGCCTTGCACCAGGGCCCTCACCCAGTGTTGTCTGGCTGATTTTGCAGTAGCCTGAGCCCTCTGCCTTTTCTCTTGTCTGTTCCTTCATGCTAGCTCACGTGTTGGGTTGCATGACATCCCTCCTCAAACATCTGTGATTCCTTGTTGCCTAAACAGCAGCATTTTGGCTCTCTCCTGGCATACAAGGCTTTCCCTGGTCTGGCCCTGGTCTGCCTTTCAGGCCCAGCTCCTCCTCACCCCCAGCATGAAGCCCCTCCACAGTCCACTCACACCACGCTGCTCCTCATTATCCACGTGTTCTCTACGTTCCTCTTTTTGTTCATTCTGGTGTCTCGGCTGGCTGGCCCTCCCCTTCTCTGTCTATCTACTTCTCGTTTCTCAAAGGTCAGTGTAAATGGAACTTCCTCTGTAAAAAGCCCTTCCCAACCTCCTAGGCTAGAATTAATGGCTCCTTCCTGGAATACCCCTGGATTGTGCTCTTAGGCCTCTGTGATGGCACTCATTTCATTCTGCCTTGTGGTACAGTTACTGGCTTGTGAATCTGTTCTCCACGTCGACTCTGAGGTCCTTGAGGGCAGTGACTGCAGTGCCTGGGGTGGAGCTTTGGTATGTGGAGTGAGGACAGACAGGCCTGGGAATGAAGCCCAGCTCTGCCCTTACCACGTAAGTGAGCTCCCTGTGTTTCAGTCTCCTTACCTATGATATGTGATTGAAAATACTCACTTCCTAGGATCGTTGGGATAAGGGAACAAGATGACATGCATAGCAAGGTGCCTGAGAGTGTTTGCTCTCAATATTAACATCCTTCCATGTCCCTTGCATATGGGAGGTATTCAGTATATTGTATCGAAGGAGTCAAACACACATGTAATGGGCCTTCTTTGAGGTTCAACCATATTTCATATTGGAATTTTACTTAATACTTTACAAGATGGAGTGCAAGTGTGATCTGATTTGATTTTCACAAAGTAATGTGAAGTATGTTGGCAGATATTATAGTTGCATTCTGTTAAGGCACAAGGTAAGCTGATGTAAAACAAGAGACGCAAAAAGATAAACATTTATTTCTCTTGCACATACAAGTCCAGAGGTAGGCAGGCAGGCCGATCAGGGTGGCTCTGCTCCGTAAAGTTACCTGAGCACCCTGGTTCCTAATATCTTAGTACTCCATCATCCCATATGGAATTGTTCTCTTCCACATGGTTGAAGCTATTACCACGACCAAGTCCAAGGAGAACGAGGAGGGGAAGGGCAAACAGTTTCCTTTTAAGGAAATGACCTGGAAGTTGCATGTGTTACTTCCACTCACATCCCATTGGTCAAATCTTGGTCACATGGCCATACCTAGCTGCAAGTGAGTCTGGGAAGCATAATCTCTGGGTAGGCAGCCATGTGTTCAGCTAAAATCCAGGGTGGGGGATTCTATTATTAGAATTTAGCTGAACACATTCTTCCATTATTCCTTTTATAAATATTATTCAGTCAATATTCATAATATTCAGTAAATATTATGAGAAATACTCTGGGAGTACCAAATGTGTTCTCTGTGATATTCAGAGGTAGATGAGGGGGATCTACTCACAGGAATTTTAAATCTAGGAGGGGAAAGAAGAAAAATAGTACAAAGGATAAAAGATGTGAGGGAGTGCTTGGTAAGAGACCCAGGTGGTAAGAATGAGTGGAACGTAAGGAAATAGCAATCGTTGTGGCAGAGGTGGTCAGGTAAAGCATCACAGTAGAGAGGGAACTTTGAGGTCCTTGAAGCTTGGAAACCTGGATAAGAGGGACTAGAAGCTGTGTGATGCAGTGGGAAAAGCTCTGGCCTCACTGGATGAAGGAAGATCTGGGTTTGAGCCTTGGATTTGCCATATAAAAGCTGTGTGGCTTTGAGCAAATCATACCTCTTTGGGCATCAGTTTCCTTATCCATAAAATCAGAGGTTTTCTTTTCTCTTTTTGAGACAAGGTCTCACTCTATTACCTAGGCTGGTGTGCAGTGGTGCAATCATGGCTCACTGCAGCCTTGACTTCCCAGGCTCAAGCAATACTCCCACCTCAGCCCCTGGAGTAGGTGGGACCACAGGTGTGCACACCAGGCCCAGCTAATTTTTAAAAGTTTTTGCAGAGACGGGATCGCACTATGTTGCACAGTGTATTAGTCTGTTTTCATGCTGCTGATAAAGACATAACTGGAACTAGGCAATTTACAAAAGAAAGAGGTTTAATTGGACTCACAGTTTCATGTGGCTGAGGAGGCCTCACAATCATGGCAAAAGGCAAGGAGGAGTAAGTCACATCTTACATGGATAGCAGCAGGCAAAGAGAGCTTGTGCAGGGAAACTCCCCTTTTTAAAACCATGAGATCTCTTGAGACTCATTCACTATCAGGAGAACAGCACAGGAAAGAGCTGCCCCCATAATTCAATCACCTCCCACCGGGTTCCTCCCATGACATGTGGGAATTGTGGGAGTTACAATTCAAGATGAAATTTGGGTGGGGACACAGCCAAAAGATATCACTCAGGTTGGTCTCGAACTCCTGGGCTCAAATGATCCTCCTGCCTCAGCCTCCCAAAGTGCTGGGATTATAGGCATGAGCCACCGTGCCTGGCCCAGCAGGTTTTCTAATTGTCACATAGCTCTAGTGGCCCTGCATAGTCCCCCACCCCCACTCCTAGAACCATCTTAGGAGGGGAAGAGTTAGTTGGGTTCAGAGAAGTTGGGAGGGACATAATTAGACCATCTCCACTTCAACCAGATAGTTCTGCTTTTATCTGTTTTATTTACTGGTATCCTCAGAAAGTCTGATTAAATGCTTCTTTTGCTTAAATACTGATGACGGTGATGCCTAAGTTCCCTCTTGACTCTAGGGTTCTCTGAAACAGAACAAATGCAAGGGAGGTAGAATTCATAACTTCACAGGTTCTGTAAAAAATGACATAAGTACCATCATCTTAAAAAAAAGAAATAATACATTCTTCAGTACTTTGTATTGATTTTTTCTTCAAAAAATGAATAGCTAGTGGATTCAAAGCAAGCTATTATTCTTTTTTTTTTTTCCTGAGACGGAGTCTCGCTCTGTTGCCCAGGCTGGAGTGCAATGGCACTATCTTGGCTCACTGCAATCTCTGCCTCCCAGGTTCAAGTAATTCTCCTGCCTCAGCCTCCCGAGTAGCTGGGATTACAGGCACCCGCCATCATGCCTGGCTAATTTTTGTATTTTTAGTAGAGTCAGGGTTTCAACAACTCCTGACCTCAGGTGATCCATCCTCCTCAGCCTCCCAAAGTGGATTACAGTCATGAGCCATCGCGCCTGGCCGCAAGCTATTATTCTTGACATGTTTCTTCTTCGGAAGCCATAAAGTGGTGATGATGCCACCTTTTCAGCTACATATGAGGTAGGGAAGTCTTTATGTTTCTAGGAATCACAAGAGGTTTCTGTCAAAGGAAATGAAGGAGAGTCCCTACTGTGTTTTAGTAGCTCCCTACTGGTGGCTATCAGGACACCTTCCAGAGTGGGCTGTGAGGCCTTACTGGTCTCACTACAGTGAGGGAAAGAACACTGCTTCCTTCTGAAGGCTGGGACAAATGCAGCTATCACAGCCTGCCCTTCTACAATCTCTCAACACTGTGGTACGTGTGATAGACCTAACTTAGCGCCATGCCAAGCCTGATGGGAATCTCCTGTAATTTTTGTAAGGAGAGCTTTTTAGTCAGGGTTCAGCCCAGAACAGAAACTGCCCAAATATTTTTAAGAAGAAACAGAGTTACTATACAGTAACTGCCTCTTATCATGCTCAGTCTTCATGAGCTCAGTGCCCAGAGCTTTGATGCTTCTGCCTCACTTCTGCTCTCCAAATCTCATGCAAGCACATCTAATTGGCAGAAAATAATTTGCATCCAGCTCCCTAGCTGCAAAGATTATCTGGGAAATGTAGTTTTTAGCCTTCTAGCCTCTGTAGTACAGGAACACCCACTGGAAGGAAATGCTGGGTGCCCAGAGACCATATCCAGCCACATTTTCCTTTACTCAAACATTTGACCAGAGATCACTAGTACTGGTAACACCTGCCAACATTATTTCTCATGAGGGTTATGAAAAACACTGAAAAGGCACAAGGGGCAGTGTACACTATAACCACGTGGGGCTCCTATCTTCCTGTATTTCTTCCTATCCAGAGATGGATGGATTGTGGACTCTATGATTCAGAACTGATGTTTAGAGAATAAAAATAATAATAGTCACAAATGATTAATGGCTGAAATCCTGTTTCAGGATTTAGACACAAGAACTGCTCCACCGAGAGAATCTCCTTGGGGAAAGGGGCATATTTAGAAACATGCCATGTTAGGAGAACCTTAGAAATCATCAGTTTAGCATTTTCCAAAGTTTGCCAAAAACTTTTTAGATCCACATGATGCTTTACCAAAAACAAAGGGATTCAGTGATCAAATAAGTTTGGGAAACAGTGCATATCCCCATCCTGAAGAACCACGGTGCACATCAGCATATCGGAGGCTCTAGGAAGTCCTGCGGTAAGGGATCTGCTTAACTTTGGTCCACTGGTTTCCAAATGTATCTGGCCCTAGAACCTTTCCTTTTTTACACAATGCCTGTTAACCTTCTGAGGAATTGGAGTTCGACGGGACATGTGCTGTGAGGACTGGATCTAATACCAACTCCTCTTTTTCCATATGAGGAAGCTGAGGTCCAAGGCAATGAAGTTATTTGCCTGTGATCACAGAAATCCTGGGCAGTACAGGTGGGAATAAAACCAGAGTTTTTTCTTCTTCCTCACATGGCCTTATCAAAATTAATTGTCCTCCCTTACATCTCTCGGCATCATCAGTAAGGTAACAGCTACTAAGAGATGGGCTACTTAAGGAAAATCATACTTTAAACAGTACCCCACCAACATGGAAGGATTCTTTTACCCGTGGGGTCCCACAACCAACTTATCACAAAGGAAAAATGGGAGAACAGTCACTTAGCCTATGTTTACCCCTAAATGATCAGTGTTTTCAGACCAGCTGGGATATTCTTAGACTCATCTTTCTGTCAACCAAATCACAGACCATCACAAAATGACACCAAGAATACTAGTTATCTAGAATACTAGTTATCTATTACTGCAAAATAAATGATCCTGAAACCTAAAACAATAAACCTTTGTTATGCCTCAGTTTCTGTGGGAATCTTGGAGTGGCTTAGGTGTGTGGTTCTGGTGCAGCCTTTTGTGAGGTCACAGACAGAGTGTCAGCCAGGGATGCAGTCATCTGAAGACTTGACTGGGGCTGGAGAACCTCCTCTCAAGGCAACTCCCACACAAGCCTAGGAAGTTCATTCTGGCTGTTGGCAAGGGGCTTCTGTTCCTTGCCATGTGGACTGCTTGCCATAGGCTGCTTGAGTGGCCTCATCACAGACATGGTGGTTGGCTTTCCCCAGAGTGAGTAATCCGAGAGAGAGAGCAAGGAGGAAGCCTTGGTGCCTTTTATGACCCCAGTCTCAGAAGTCACATACCATCAATTCTGCCATAGTCTATCTTTATTTAGAAGTGAGCCATCATATCCCACTCACACTCAAGGGGAGAAGAGTTAGTTTCTCCCTTTTGAAGGGGGAAGTGTCAAAGAATTTGTGGATGTATTTTAAAACCACCACACCAAGAAAGAGTTGCAAGGGGGAAGGATGCTAATTAAATGACAAATAACAACAACAAACAAACAAGAAAGGCTGGGTGCAGTGGCTCATGCCTGTATCCCAGTGTTTTGAGAGACCTAGGTGGGAGGATTGCTTGAGGCCAGGAGTTTGAGACCAGCCTGGGCAACACAGGGAGACCCCATCTCAAAAAAAAAAAAAAAAAAAAAAAAGCCGGGCATGGTGGCTCGTGCCTGTAGCCCCAGCTATTTGGAGGCTGAGGTGGGAGGATAGCTTGAACCCAGGAGTTTGAGGCTTCAGTGAGCCATGATTGCACCACTGTACTCTAGCCTGTGCGACAGAGCAAGACCCTGTCTAAAAAAACAAAAAACACCCAAGAAACATTTTGAGGGTAAAAATCCATTTAGAACAAGAACAAATACTAAACAGAAACTCTGAAAGAGACCAGGAATTTAAATTTACATGGGACTTGATGCCCAACCTGAATCATTGGCATAAACATCCTTGAACTTCTTTGTAAAACAAACTTCTGAATAAAAGAACTTCTGAGAGAAAACTTCTATTGCTGGCACTGTGACTAGGGGAGTAGATGAAGGATTTGAATCAAGGATAAGCAATTCAGAGGGCATATCCAGTGGTTTGACATGTATCCTTCTAAGTTAACTTTTCCTTTCTCAAGACTTTCAATTTTCTAAATGTTCAATATCCCAACATGACCAAAAGGGTCAAATTCCAGCTCTAGTCTTCACATCTTTTTTTTTTTCCTTCTGAAGGTTTATATTCATTTCCCTATGCTGTCTGAAAGAAGATACCATGATCTAATTGCCTAAGAATTTATTTCCAAATAGTTGTTGACAGAGCCTGGAAGTCTCAGAAAGATCAGATGGATCGTATTCCTTCCTTTACTCAAGAGTTTTTTTTTTTTTTTAATTAAAACAAAAAACAAAAAACCCAGCAACAACTATGATCCCTAAAGAACTTTCCTTTGTGGCACCTGGAGTATTCAGTCAATCAACAAGCTTTTCCTGGACATATGATGGAGATGAGATGTTCTCTAGGACTCATATTGGAAGCTAAACAGAAAACAGATGCAGATACATACAATAATCACAAAAGTGGGATTGAGAAAGAGAGAGAGGAATGGGGCTGAGGCTACATCTAGGCAGCTGTGTGCAATGAGGTGGATTTATTAAGGAAAATGTTCCAGAAAAGATGAACTTAAAGCTATTCTAAATATTTGGGGGAAACTTGAGCAAAAGTTTGGAGAGAAAAGAATGAAGACTGAATTTTTAGGTCATCAAAGAGATGAACAAGGGGTGGGCTGGAATATAGTAGGAGATGAGGCTGGAAGGGGAGGGTGGAGACGGTGATTAAGATGGTTTTGAACAAACTGATCTGCAAAGAGTTCGGTGTGGTTGGAGCAATTATAGGTTGGTGCAAAAGTAATTGTGGTTTTTGCAATTAAAAGTAATGGCAAAACCGCAATTACTTTTGCTCCAACCTAATATTTTGCGAGAGGAAAAATTTTTTTCAGTATACTGTCTCCCAAACCAAACCAAACCAAAACAAACAAACAAACAAAAAAGCCCAAACCAAAAAAATCTTTGCTTATTAATAGAGACTCTTAGAAAGCCAGACCTTTATAGGAAGATGTGGGTTTAAGATCTTTCACCACCTTCTTGAGCAACATCCTGTCACCATCAAGACTGAAGGTCAACCAACTGCCCATGGAGGAAAGGCTTGAGAAAGGTCAGTGGCTAACTCATTCATTCATTCATTCATTCAATAAGCATGCAGTGAATGCCTTTAGGTTTGAGAGGCAAGTAGGATTAAATATACCATCTGTGGGACTGGGACAAGATGGCAGGCATGTCTTCATTTATCAGCATAAGTTTCATCTTTCTCTTTCTCCATGTCATGGAAATTATTGAAATATTTTTCAAAAAATTTAAATGAACATTTATTGTGACCCTTCTATGTATATGTCAGGGACTATGCTAGGTGCCAGGGATACTAAAATGACTGAAGCATCATATTGACAATGGTGACAATAAACTTACAGCCTAAATATTTCCTTTTCTGCTTCTAGCTTTTGCTGTGCCAAAAGGGGGAACTATTTCTCCTGGAACAGAGTGGACAAATGTGCAGCAGGTGAACAGAATCATATTTGCTTTCCAGCTGTTGCACCAGCTGTGTCATGCTGACAGTGGCCTCCACCTGTCTAACTCCTGCTTCCACCAATTCAGAACCAAGATATTTTTATACTCATATCCTGGTATAAACCAACTGCTGATGGAAGTTCTTTGATGCTGAATTTGGAATCAAATACATTCTACTTTCTGGAAATCCATATACTGGGTGGCTGCTTCAATAGCAGCGGACACAAGATGTAAAATGCAGCAATGGTCAAGGAATTTCTCAGGGGAGGAATCAATCCTCTCATTTTGGTGGAGGAACCTTGGATACAGGGAGGATGAGGGACTGACTCAAAGTCATCTGGCAACTTAGAGACGAGGCCAGAGCTCCTCAAATCTCCTAGCTCTGAATCCATGTTCTTTTTATTGAGCGGGTCATGACGTAACCCCCCAGATGAGTGCAGCTTTTAATCTCCCACATCAAGGAGCCTGCTGGCTGCAGACTCATGCATACACATCACGGTGGTTTCTGGGTGGTTGATGCTCATCACCCTCTGACTTCATTTATTTTTTCCTTTGCAAAATGGCTATTGCCCAGAGGCAGCATCTCTTTTCTAAAAAGTGAACATGCCAGAAGGGTTTTTGGAAACTGCCTTGCTATCTGTAGGAGCCAGATGATTCACAGGGATGAACCAATGTACATAACAAGGATACCTGATTGGATTACCAATTAGCCGTCTCCACCTCTGCAGGGTGGTTGGAAAGAAGAGAAAAGGCAGTGTTTAGTTTGGGCAAATACCAAAAGGACTTTATCATTCTCATCAAGGCATCAGCGTGGCACATTAGACCTCTTCCAAGCCATTCCACTGGAACTTCTCTCTCCAAATGCTCCAGCAAGAGTAAACTTGTTATGCAAACATTGGATCATTGTCTCTGAGCTACAGAAGCACCTCTGTGTCGGTGAAAGGGGAGAAACTGGCTGACTTGCGTCTGTTTTTAATGATGTCGCTGCTGCTGGGAAAATTTGGAAGCTGCAGGTAACATCTTCCCCTTTGAAAAAAAAAAAACAAGGCTGCCCTGGAATGTGTTAGCTTACCTTTACCCGATGGAAGCGCCTCGGTTTGGGTATGCCCTGGGAGGGACAGGCAGACTTTTTCTCCATCTGGACCCAGCAAGAAGTGTCCCAGTGTAGGGTCGCTGGAATCTTCTTGAAAATAAGCACAAGCATAGGCAGTGTCAGTACCGTGTTGGTGAGGGAGACAGACCAAACCTGGGCCATGTTCCCCTGGTCCCCCGCGGGCACACACCCGTAGATGCCTATGTGCTTGGGTGCCCACCAGAGTATAGGGTGAGCCCTACTCCTGGGACTCAGCAGAGCAGGGCTATTGTTCAGGCCCTGCCTTCCGGGGGTCAAGGTGGGATGAACAGGGAGGGGCTACCACTTGCCTACATCATGCCTTCAGGAGAGCCTGGCTACCTCAGGGGCAGGGCTAAGTGAGCGGGGGCACTCTGTGTGAAGGAAAGGGAGTCCCTTCCTTCAGCTGTATGCAGCCCAGCCCCTGAGAACAGGGCTTCCTGCTTCCTGCCTCTGCTGTCCGCCTCCATCAGATGTCCTGTGCAGTACTCAGCATGCACGGCCAGAACCTCTAGATGAAATACTGGGATGGCTTGGTGATGCCAGGGGCTCAGGTCAAGATGAAGGATGCTGTGTCTCCCTAGTTACTTAGAAAGATTGAAGGTATTTTTTATAACCTGACTGTAAAAGTAAAAAACAAGTCATTTATTCCCCACTTGAATCTCAACGCTCAACCCAGAACACTCCTGGGACTAGATTGCGGGGTTTCCCCCATGCCAAGCAATTCTCCAGCAGATACCAACTGGTTGTCCTATAATTTAATTCAGTTCTGACACTCTTTACCTGGAGATGGTGTCAGATCCCACAGGGTAGGGCTCAGTCCACAAGACTGCCCCCCACTTCAGATGCCAATTGCAAGTCCCAGATTGTGACCTGTACTTCTGACCGACCAGCTCTAAATTGGGCCTCCACAATCCTCCCTCTCCTTGGGTTCAACAATTTGGTAGGACAGCTCGCAGAACTCAGGGAAACGCTTACTTATATTTTCTGGCTTATTTATAAAGGACATTAGAAAGGATATCGTGAACAGCCATATGAAGAGATGGGCAAGCATGTGCCGAGCTTCCGTGCCCTCTCTGGGCCTGCTGCCCTCCCACCTAGACACGCTCAGCAATGCTGAAGCTTATCAATTCGTGGTCAACAGCTAATAAAGAGCTTGATCTCCAGTGTCCCCTCCCCTTTCCTGGAGGTTGTGGCTGGAAGCTCCAACCCTCTAATCCTCTTATCGCTTGGTCCTTCTGGTCACCCATCATGAGGCTACCTAGGGGCCTTACCCTACATCACCTCATTAGCATAAACTCAGGTGTTTTCAAAGGGGCTCATTATTAATAACAAAAGATACTACTATCATTCAGAAAATTCCAAGAGTTTTAGCTTAGTAATAGAAACCAGGGACAAAGATCAAATTTATTCATATTATACCATACTTACCTTCCCCATCTCCAAGACAAAGAGTCCAGGAGTCCAGCTACCTGGACTAGCAGGCCACCAGCTAGAGTGGATGCTAAGGAGTACACACATACACATGCACACTTACAAACACACTGACATATTCACACAGGGGCACACACACATATATGCACACTCTCACAGGGCAGGCATGCACACACACCCCCATACACATGAACAGTGACATACATGAGCATATGACACATACATTCACAGGACTGAATATGTAGACATGCACGTGCATATGCAGCCATGCCTATATAGATGTGCACAATGACATGCATGCACACAAGCACATACAGGTACTCATGGGCATATAAGCACACATCCCACATTCACTTACACACATGCACACACCCAACACACATACTTGAGGCTTCAGGCTGCTCTCTTTTCCCAGTCCTGGTCCTGGCATTCTATCCTTTTTTTTTTTTTTTTTTTTTTTTTTTGAGACAGAGTCTTGCTCTGTTGCTCAGGCTGGAGTGCAATGGTGCTATCTCGGCTCACTGCAACCTCTGCCTCCCAGGTTCAAGTGATTTTCCTGCCTCAGCCTCCTGAGTAGCTGGAATCACAGATGTACACCACCATGCCTGGCTAATTTTTTTTTTTTTTTTTTTTGTATTTTTAGTAGAGATGGGGTTTCACCTTGTTGCACAAGCTGGTCTTGAACTCCTGACCTTGTGATCCGCCCACCTCAGCCTCCCAAAGTGCTGGTATTATAGGCATGAGCCACCACGCCCAGCCACTGGCATTCTATTCTAATCAGATTCTCCCTTTATAAGGATGTCTAAAGTAGGCCTGAGTATCCATTTGCTGTGATTTGTCCCAGGCCATGCAACTTCCTAGGAAGGCCCCAGGTGGGGACATAACAGTACACCAAGTTTGGTTCAATTGTATCAAAATGAAAAGAGCATTGCTGTCACACAAGTATAAAGGGGAGGGGGTTGTGAAAGAGAAGTTCCAACCCTGGAACGGTTTCTAGGTGAAAACAACGTCTCTAGGGATAGAGAGAATGTTGCGGGGAAGGAAGGGATTTAATTTTGACCATCTCAGCCTGAAACAGAAGCTGCAAACACAGAATGGAACTATTAATCTGTGGATTTAATTTATGCTTAAAGAATTCAACTATATATGCTCTGGGGAGAGAATGAGAAGGGGGTGTGCTGGGCAGTGGGGGAGACAGAGAGCAAGTGAGACTGATTTAAATACTGAGGCATTCTGTCCCTGAGTGAGCATGAAATGAAAGATGTGAAATCTGTTGCCTCTGTGATGGCTCTCTGTTCCCACATGCCTCTCAAAGTGTGAGCTTCTCACAGCCCTGAGTGTGATTCTGCTGTTAACAGAGATACCTCTTTCTTTATACAATCTGTCCCCCAAACACATGTCATCTCCTTCATCTGGTGCTCAAACTGAGAAAGCAGGCCAAGCCTTCAACGAAGCAGAAACAGCTGCCTGGACCACATATTCCTGAAAATGGTCTGTCAGTCTCCAGCGTGGCACCTTCCCAGGGATTTTTCAGGGGTAACTTGGGCTTTAAGCCATTTTTGCTCTATGAGCTACCTTTAGATGGAAGCCCCGGGGGAGCTGCTCTTGCACTGTCCTTGCATTATTGCTCTGTATAAGCATCTTAGTCCCCTCCTTGACTCCTTAAGGATAAGTACTTGAAGTGAGGCTAAATCCTAGAGGGAATGGCCTTGCCCTGCCTCACCCTTCCCTAGAAATTAGGGTCTTTCCGTCTCTGTGAACAGGCTCTGCCCTGGGCTGGAGTTGACTTCTGTCTGGGGACTCTTCTGTTGGCAGGCTCATCGGGCTCTCTTGCCTCAGGGGGCAAGGGTTATGGCTCAGTTTGGAGTGTGCCTGGTAAATCCAGTAGTGTGTCTCCCCCAGGAGCACAGGGAGCTGTGTCATCAAATGCTGCTGCCAGGAGTGAGGAAAGCCCAAAACAGCGTAGCAGTGCATGTTGCTGCAGCAAACCCTTAAAACATGTACTGACCCTTTAGAAATATGCATGGGGAACATTAATCCCACTGACATCATCAGAAACAGTGTCAATTACCCCTTTTCAATGGAATGCCTTTCAGAAAACTTACATCATAGCAGCCATGCGGCCCTGGCAATGAGCCACATTCAAGCCAGTGGGGGGCGTCTATGCACTCTGGGAATGATTACCTTGAGCTGCTGGCAGTGCCCTCCTGGGCACTCTCATGTTCGGGAGACTTGGGGGGCTGTTGTGGTCTGATGTCCTAGGGCTGTCCACGCCCTTCTGGCTCTCAGGACTTTTTTTTCCTTTAATCGGGGGTAGAAGATCCAATGGTGGGGCCACATCGTGAGGTGGGGCATCATCATCTTTAAAAACAAAAGGGGAAAAAGCCTGTGTGAGAAAACAGAATCAGCAGGAAGGAGAAGGAAGCTCTCTTCTAACTTGGTTGAAGGACCTCTGTGTGAAGACTGCTATGAAGAACTGGTAATTGTATTGTGGCTAGAAGGGAGAAATTGTCCTGGTGTTAGGATGGTTTATTCCACTCATTCTCAGGTTTGTCCCTCTTTTCCAGTCCTGCTAAGCACCAGGGACCTGATATCTCCGGTGGCCAAAATGACATGACTCTTGGCTAGAATCGTGGCTGTTCATTTGGAAAATTGCCAAGAACTGGGAGGAATTGAGTGGTGGTGGTTTTTATTCTCATCTTACGGATGAAATCCTGAGATGGAAGGAGGACTGGAGAGGGTGCAAACTCCTTCCAACCCTAGTCCTAAGGCTCTGACTAGGGAGATCCCAGCTTTAGAGCTGATGAGATTATTGGATACAGATTTCTGAACAAAAAGTAGTTGTGCTAGGCAGAGTCAATGATTGCATTCCTTCCTCAGGGTTAAATAAAAAGTGCTACCTTCCAGATGGAAGTCAGAGGGTATCAGGATTGATGGTAGCATTCCATAGAGCATACCCTACACTCTGCTTCTGTTTTCTCTTCTCAACAGCAACAGGGCCTGCTCTAGGAAGCAGGAAACCCAGGAACCCAAGTGACTGAGGCCTCGGCTTCACCTCTTTCAGAGGGAGTGGTCTTTATTTCACATGTAAAACAATAGTTGCTATTAATATTTGGGTTTAAAAATTGGCTTCATGTGGTCTCAAATTATCACAGACTACTTATTCATTAAAAAGAGGCAAAGTGTCTTTACAATGGAAAAATGGGGCAGATATCACCTTTAACCAAATAATAAAATTTAACATCACTTACAGTGGAAGAAACTGACATTTTTCATCCCTTGATATGATGGGCTGAGAGGGACACAACATCACCTCTGTGATATTCCTGCCAAAAAGGTTTGATCTGAATCTCATTATGAGGAAATAGAAAAATCCAAATCGAAGGTAATTCTGCAAAGCAACTGGCCCATCTTCTTCAAAAATGTCGATGTCATGAAAAACAAGACTGGGGGACTCTTCTAGATGAAAAGATTCTAAAGAGTGGGACCACTAAATGTAATGCATGATCCTGAGTTGAATTCTAGGTTGAACAAAAGCTATAAAGGAACATTATCGGTATAAATAGAGAAATGTGACTATGAATTAGAAATTAGAAAGTACTATTACACCAGTGTTTGCTTTCTTGAGTGTGGTAATTGTATGTGGCTAGGAGGGAGAATATTCCTGGACTTAGGAGATACGTGCTGATAAGGGATTAATGGTACAATGTCTGCAACTTACTCTCAGATGGTTAAGCAATAAAATAAAAATATATATGTGTGGATGCATACATAAAAGCTGGCTTCATTTCTGTGGTATTAGAGGTGAAGTAATCCAGGCCTAGGCAAGTAAATAAATATGTGTCGCCTCCGTGGCAATGGAGCAGTCCCACTCAGCATCAATATGCCCGTGCAGCAGGGACCTCTATGTGAAGACTGCCATGAAAAACTGCCTCTTTGTTGTTGTTGTTGTTGCTGTTGTTGTTTAGACAGAGCCTCTCTCTGTCGCCCAGGCTGGAGTACAGTGGCGTGATCTTGGCTCGCTGCAACCTCCGTCTCCTGGATTCAAGCAAGTCTTGTGCCTCAGCCTCCAGAGTAGCTGGGATTACAGGTGTGTGCCACCACACCCGGCTAATTTTTGTATTTTTAGTTGAGATGGGGTTTCACCACGTTGGTCAGGCTGGTCTCGAACTCCTGACCTCAGGTGATCTGCCGCCTTGGCCTCCCGAAGTGCTGGGATTACAAGTGTGAGCCACTGCGCCCAGCTGGAACTGCCTCTTTAGGTCCCTTTCTTTCTGCATTTACTCCCAGGTTCAGTCGCATGCATAATTTATACCAAGGGGCTTCTTAAACCAGTTTCCTCCTGGCAGAGTGGCAGAGGAGGGACAAGTTCTGGTACTCAGTTCCTGGTGGTCATGGCAGCTCAAAACAAATGTAGGGCAGTGCAAAATGAACACTATGGAAGATGAAATTCACTAGTGTCCTTTATCTCGTGGCTCCAGCTGTGCATCTCGCATTGTGGCCCATAAGTAGAAAGGTGCTTTTTTCTCTATTTGCAGAGTGATCTCTGCCGATATTTGGATTTTTTGAAAAAGGAAACATTAAAGTCTTTAGGATAATTAACTCCCACTTAAGAGATAGACCAAATAAGCCTCTGCCTCAATAATCAAAGGACATTCTCGAAACCTGAATGTTTCGAGAACGTCCTGACCTAGGTTCATTGTTTGGTTTATTCTTTTATTCTTTTTTTATTTTTTTTTTGGTATTAGTTAGAAAAGTCACAATGTTGGGCTTATACTGAAAGGGAATGTAGTCTAATGAGTAAGAACATGGATTCTGGCACTGGAAGCCCTGAGCTCCAATCCTAGTGAGGCCACTTATAGTTATGTGACCTCAAACATACTACCTATCTCTCAGGGCTTCCGTTCTCTGATCTGTAAAAGGAGGAGAGGATTGCTGTGAGGAGTACCTGAGAGAATACGTTGAAAACTAAGAACAGTGCCTGGCACAGAGGAAGAACTCCAAACACATTAATGTGCATCTTCCTATTTCTGATACCAGTAGTCAGAGGTCACTTGACATCTGTGATACTGTCATCTTGCACGTGCCCTTTGGAAAGGAGGCTCAGTTTTCTGAAAATGGGGAGCTTTCTAAATATGGCTTGTTACTTCCAACCTATCCAACACATAAACACAAACACTTAGATGCACCCATGTGTATAATTTCAAATGTCCACGTCATGGAAATTGGAGTGAAGACTTTTATCAATATTATGGACTTTTTAAAAAAAATTTTTTTTTTTTATTTTTAGACAGGGTCTTGCTCTGTCACCCAGGCTGGAGTGCAGTGGCACAATCTCAGCTCCCTGCAACCTCCGCCTCCTGGGTTCAAGTGATTCTTGTGCCTCAGCCACCCGAGTAGCGGGGATTACAGGTGTGCACCACCATGCCTGGCTAATTTTTTTGTATTTTTAGTAGAGACGGGGTTTCACCATGTTGGCCAGGCTGGCAAACTCCTGACCTCAAGTGATCCCCGCCCACCTCAGCCTCCCAAAGTGCTGGGATTATAGGCATGAGCCACCGCACCCCGCCGATATTATGGACTTTTTAATGAATAAATACATATTTATAAACAGATTAGAAATGAAATTTCATTGTTTAAAAATACAGGATAAACTATAAGGCATGCAGGAAACTTTTGGTAAGTTTGACGCTTTTCTACATCTGCAACCAGAAAATAGTGGTGGGATGAGTTAGGGAGTAAGTAATTGGTGAGCTGGACACTGTTAAAATATTAGTAGTGGGATGAGTTAGGGGGTAAGTAACTGGTGAGCTGGACACTGTTAAAATATTAGCAGTGGGATGAGTTAGGGAGTAAGTAACTGGTGAGCTGGACACTGTTAGTTTTAGTGCAGCACTTTGGTGAAGGCAGCTGCTGCCTGCACAAAGGCCATCTTCCAGTGGCTGCTGGTGAACTAACCTCCCTTCCAGACTCCTTTTCCTTGGCTGTGGACCCTTGTGTGTCTTGCCTTGCTTCCCTTCAGAGTGAGGTTCCCGAGGGATGCTGGAGGGAGGGAGGAGCTACCTTGAGGTGAGAGTGTGTCCCTGCTCGCGTCCACTGGGAGATGCACTGTTAACTCCCATGGTGTTTCTAAGGACGCATGCTTCAGGGGAGGTCTCCACACAGGTGTGGATTCTTCGCTGCTTTCTGGTTCTGACTCAGGGTGTGGAGCACCTAGGAGACAAAGAGGAGGCTGAATTGTAGCAGAGGTCTGTTGTTTTTGCCTAATGTCTCTTCTTTTGGGGACCTATCCCTTCCCTGCTCACACCATGTGGTTTGGTTGGAGCAGTGTCCATTTGCTGATTCCAGAGAGGGCTATGGAACTGAAGCCTGGCATGAGAGTACCTCATTGCCTTAGCCACAGAGATTGGTTCCGGGGTGGGCACATGGCCCAAGTCTGGTCAATCGGGGTGATTTCTGCGCTTTGCAAGAGCTTTTAAGAGGCATATCCTTCCTATAGAGGTTAACAGGAAGGAGATTAGCATGGAATTGCAGGAAGACATCTTTATCACCTCATGGTAGGAGCCTGCTTCAGAGGAAAGGCTAACAGAGTTGAGAGAAAAGTACTGCACACATATTTTCTGAGGCCTGGATTCAGCCAGTCCTGCAGTTACCTGATTCTTGCATGAACAAATTCCTTCCTTCCTTCCTTCCCTTCCTTCCCTCCTTCCTTTCCTCTCTCCCTCCCTCCCTTCCTTTCTTCCTTTCTTCCCTTCCTTCCCTTCCTTCCTTCATTTCTTCCCTTCCTTCCTTCTTTCCTTTTCCTTCTGTGTCTCCCTTCCTTCCATCTTTCCTTCCTTTTTCCCCTTTCCTTTTCTTTATTTTTGCTTAACACATTTTGAGTTAGGCTCATGATGCTTTTAAAGGAGGGTCCTTATGACATGTAAATGGGGAAGAACTCCATGAATTCACTGTCTTTGTACCCGATTCCTGTGTTTCATTGTCAGTGTGTTGGTAAGCTCAGTGCATCTGGCTTTAAGAATCTGGTTCATGATGGCCTGGTGGTTTTCCTCACCTTCCTATCAGGGTCATCATGGAAAATAATCAGATCGAACCCAATCTTGTGAATAGTATTGTCTGTCTTTTTATTAAGTGTATCTTTTCATTCTGATGTTTTGATGTCTGGGACCTGACTGTCCCTCCCAGGGCTGGCCAATTCCTAGACACAGTAAATGACTCACCTGGGAACATACCTGTCATATGCACCCCAACCAACCCAGAGTTCCTGACCCTCAACAACCTCCTTTATCAAACTCTTAACATTCCCAGGCTACTATCTGCCTGCTGTAATTATCAGAGGGCCAGTACCAGACAGCAAGGGATAGCCCCTATGCTGCAGAGCTGGCTGAATTATTCAAACTAGACAATTCTAAATCTGCTTAGGCTGCTTGCTCTGCCTTGCCCATATTCCTTCTGTGAAAACCACAATACAGCCTCTTGCCTGTGCTCCCTGCCTTCTGCCTCCTGGAGGCTGGTGCGCCCCCGTGTGGCCCTGCATGGTGTGGTGTGCCTCCTCCTCTTGGAACTGTGAGTAACAAACTATCTTTTCAGTGCCAACTGTCTCCTGATCTGTTGGCCTCACCACACCTGAATAAGATGACCTGCATTTTAAAACACTGTGTTGTTGATTTTATTTATTATTATTATTTTTTTTAGGGAGCTGAGTAATTTTTTTTGGCAAGGTAAAATCTACATAGAGTGAATCGCACAGATCTTAAGTGCACAGTTCAATGAGTTTTGACAAATCTATAATCCATACAAGCAACCCAGAGTGAGAACATTTTTCATCACCCCAGAAAGTTCCTTCATGTCCCCTTCCATTGGTCTTTTAAGCTCCACCGTTAGGCATTCTTTCCAGTAAGAAGTCCAAACAGGCTTAGAACAAAATGGCTGCCTGTGTGATTCCCAGGAGTCAAACTCTCCAAGAAGCCAGTGGCAGTCTCTGCTGAAATTTCTAGAAAACTCAGAACTAGGACCCCTGTCAAAACTAGGACACTTTTTGCCCCAGAGGGCCCAGAGAAGTCCCTGGAGCAAGAATGTGTCTTAAACAAGAGTACTATGGAATGAAAGGAAAGTCAGAAAGAGTTTTTCCTTGTGACACAGGATGAGAGGTCACTCAGAAGCCTCCCCTAAAAAGCCCACGTCGCCAGTTGGAATTGAACTCCTTTGCTCATATTCTCTTAGAACTTTGCTTAGAAGCACATAATCTCTGCTGTGGCAAAGATTATAGAGGTCATCCCTTACAAAATAACCTAATTCAAAATCAGGAAAATGACTTTTTGGATAAACTTTTATCTTTCTTTTATAAAATGGAGGTGTAAAGATTCCAGTGTCCTTTTTACCTTGGCTGCCAGGAAACTCAGCTAAATCCAGTACTTACTTCAAACCATGAATTCATCTCAGATGTCTGATAACATCTATTTCTCTACTCCTTTTACCCAGGTTTTTTTTTTTCCAATTTCAATTTTAGTTGTCTTGTTTTATACAATTATTTTTTTGTAAGCTGCCTGAAAAATTCTTGCCCTTTTATAACACCTATGGTGCATTGGACTTACTTATGTAAATACCTGTCTTCCTTTCTCTTCCACAGCTTAACAAAATGCATTGCTTAATGAAGGGTATAATAAATATTTTAAAAATCCAATTGAATATGATCAGAAGAGATCTTCTTCTAGATTTTATCCTTTTTCCTTCTTTAAAAAATATTCTCTGAAGGGGATGACCATAGGGAACGTCAGCCATGATGTAGGAGCATGTAGAAGTGGCAGGACCCCCCATCCCAGGCTCTCCCTCAGGAGTGCCCATGCACCCGGGACCTACCTCTTCTGTGGGCTTTCTCTTTTGGGGGTTGTTTGGTGTGGTAATGAATCTCCACCGGTAAGATGAAGAGCTCTGTTGGGGGCTCATTGGCTTTAAATTGGCTCTTCAGGGGCTCCAAGACTCTGGGTGGTTCTTCTGAGATAGGAGGTAATTTCAAAGCCTTTGGTGCCTGGAGAAAATTTAAAAACAAAACGATCATGGCAGGTATCCAAACCCTGCTGCCTGCAGGGGCAAACGATACTGTCTCTTATTGTATCTCTTGCACCAGGAGCTGCTGAGAGAGGTAAGCTAATCCAGCTGGGAGCCGGTATCTGACTTCAGTGGTGCCACTTGGTCTCCTGGGATCCAGCATATGCCCCTGTTAATCCTGCCTGTGAATCCTCTGAGAATTATAAACATGCTCAGTTTAAGAGCCTTTGAGAGGATATAAAGTCTTTCTTTTTCTTGCAGCTGGAAAGACTGAGCCGGACTAAAATGACATAGCTGAGATCTCTTTGAACTGATTGGGAGAAATCTCAGCATATGCTGTTAAGGGAAAAAGCAAAGTACAGAACATTGTTTGAGCAAGCTTTCCACTAAGAAGGTGCAGGAAATAGCATTTGTGATTGCTGACCTTATCTAAGCCAAGCTACAATTTCTTCCTCTGTAAAACAGGAGTAATCATACTACTTACCTTATAAGGTTGTTGTAAGGATTAAATGAGCTAATATATGCAATTATAATAGTGTTTGAAACTAGGATTATTTCCATATTTCTTTGAGAGTAGACTCTCCTCTCGTTAGCATTTATCTAGCCACTAGCAGAAAAATTGAAGTTTTTCATACTTATGTAATATGAACATAGCTGAAAAAGAATCATTGTGTGTCAGAATCAGCAACTTTGTCCAGTTTTTTTTCTGTCCCCCAAAAAGTGTGTGTGTGTGTGCGTGTATGTGTATGTGTGTGTGTATGAGAGATTCACTGGGGGTAGTAGTAACAGCCTCCTGTTTCTAATTATTCAGAGGTTGCTGAAAATTTCTCCTTTTAGTTTGCAACTTTTAACATATGAACTTGGCTCTGTGAAATGTGTACATGTTCTGGTTTCAGGAGTTCAGTTTCATAGGAGGAAAAATAAAAGCATTAGGCCTGCTGTTTGCTCCTGGGCCAAAGAAATCTGGGAAGTCAGACACCCTTCTAGTGTCTCCTTTTTAGTACTCAAAAAGAAAAAAAAAGATCAGAAGCATACATAAGCAACCTATGTATTTAGAGTTGATTGAAGAAGGAAATTCAACCAAATCTATGCAGGGTAATATTTATAATTTTGAGACATTAAGAAAATGATAAACCAAACACACGCACATAGGATCTTTATGATCCTGGAGACCCTCACTGTCCAGGTGCCGGCTGCCCACACCAACTGCCCTTTTTTGAATACTGACCTTGTGCATTTTGTTTGACAACGTTTGCATTGAGAAATCAATGTGGAAACTCAAATGATTTGTGTGAGGTATGGCTGACGAGCCAAGACTTAATTTCTTTATCCTAATTAAAAACTTACACAGAGTTTTAATATGGTGGAAAATATTGCTTTCCTCTGTGAAACCATATACATGGGTTGAGGGAAGGGACTCCTTTCCTCTGGGCCTGGCTCAGTTCTGGCCTGACCCAGGAGCAAAGTCGAGGGCTTTCCTTGGGCCTGTGGTGAGCTTGGCAGGTCAAGCCTGCTGTTCACTCCTGCACCAAAGGAACCTGGGAAGACAGAGGCCCTTCTGGTGTGGATGGAAAGGTTTAGATCAACTCAGACACAGGAAATCTGAGAAAATCTTGAACAGACTGTAAACAACCTCCCTCACTGGCAGCAGGACCACCTGGAGTGCCCATGGCTGCTTCAGGAACACTTCAGATGACATGAATCCCTGCAATTAATCAACATCACTGTAGATCACAGTCAGATACAACATACTTTCCTAAAAGTGCTTCATCTCTTCTACCAGCCCTGTAAGGTTGACATTATTATCTGGATACACAGATAAAGTCACTGTGCTCAGAGTGTGTGAGTGACCTGCTCATGTTCCCATAGCTACTCCGGGCAGAACATCCGGGGGCCCTTGCTTGTCCCCATTCATCACTGGTGCCTCCAAACACCAAAGAAAGACCCACATAGAACTGCAAGGCAGGACCAGGCCAGAGACAGCCAAGGACATCTCTAAAAAAGGTGTATTTGACTCCCAAAGGAGGTTGATAGACTTGCAAAATTTCCCCTGCATTTTCAAAGGTGATAGACCCTCAGTGGAGCCAAACTGTTGCTGGATTCAAGATCTCCAGCATTTTGAATCTGAAGTAAGTTAACTGCTTACAAACTCAAATTCTGTCCTTTAAAACGTTTACAGATAATCCCTTGCCCCTTAAGAAATCAAAGAATTCTGTTGCTATCAGGGAGTGTGGTAATAACACATGCTTTAAGGTAGAATTGGTGGCAGCTGAAATTCCTTGCACTTCGTGATTTTCAACCTTTAGTAAATTACTACAGCTCTATTCAGCTCCACCTGGTCAGCTCAGACGCTAGAGAGGCCAGTTCTCTTTTGAGACATCCTTTCGAGTCACCTTATTTCTAGATTAGGATTAAACTTTCTCTCTTCCCTCCTCTCTCTCTCTCCTGTATGCACAAACATACATATACACACAACCTTTTTCTTCTTCACTTCCCCAGGGGTGATTATTCTGGAGCCAGTGGCAGATGCTACAGGAGGGAAGAGGCTTCTTTCAGCAGGAAGCACCTGTAACAAGTGGCTGCTTCTGGCCTTGTGGAGTTTCACGTTCCTTTGTTTATCTTTAAAAACAGGATGAGAATGAGAATATATTAATTGCAGGTAGGGGGATGAACAGTTGAGTTTTGACTTTTATCACGTCGTAGTTAATGGGGAGAAAGGCAGGCAGTGTGCTGGGGCACTGGGACAGCCCTAGCTTTGGGGGAGGCAGGTTCAGAGAGCCCCAGTCTCCTGATCTGGGTTTTTACACAATAGCCTTATGGGGTAATTATTATCCCCATTCTACAGATGAGAAAACTGAGCATCAGCAATATTGGTTAATATGTCCAAGATCACAACTGTAAGTGGGGGTAACTTGAGCCCAGACAGTATGATTTCCGAATGCATGCAGCTAAGCACTAGGCAAAGAGGAGCCTGCCAGAGTCTCATTCCCACGTCCAGCTAGATTCTGGCTTTTATTTTGTAAGGTGAGTGGCGCAAGGAAGTGATGTTTGGCATGCCTCAGTGTCCTTAAATGAACTCTGCATGACTGGCTTTACCCAGATCAATGAGCAAGACATTTGAGTTCTTACCGCTGAGATCTGCCTTCCTATTAGGGAAGGCGCCTCCACAGAATGTAATGTGGGATTTGTCACTTGGGAGCCAAGAGTGATCGATGCGGCCATGCCCAAAGGCCTTCCTGGAGGTTTGCTGTGTCTTTTCATTGTAGCTCTCCTTTGAAGCATATAAACAAAGGTGATTCTCTATTGACGTGTCCTAGGGAACGACAGATACACATTCCTGTAAACAGGCTGTCATAAAGGGGCAGAGCAGGTTTCTTTAACAGCCCTTGTGGCTAGGCTTATGGTTTCAAGGATGAAATTTCTTTTGCAGGTTGGGAAGAAAAATAAGGTTATAACAGCAAGCTCTTTAATGCTGTTTATTACAATAAAACATTTTATTGTTGATGATGGAAAGAATGATACTTAGCCATGCCTGACATATAGTGCGATCTTGTGAAAAAAAATCACAAGATTTTGATTAAAAATCAAAATGAAGTGCTAGTATTGGTGTTTTTATCCATTACGAAATGTTTCTCAGGCTGAACGCAGTGGCTCACACCTGTAATCCTAGCACTTTGGGAGGCCGAGGCAGGAGGATTGCTTGAGCTCAGGAGTTTGAGACCAGCCTGGGCAACATAGTGAGACCCAATCTCTACAAAAAAATTTTAAAAATTAGCCAGGCATGGTGGCACACACCTGTAGTCCCAGCTACTCAGGGGGCTGAGGCAGGAGGATTGCTTGAGCCCAGGAGGTCAAGCCTGCAGTGAACTGTGGTAGCACCTCTGCACTCCAGCCTGGGCAAGAGAGCAAGATCGTGTCCCTCCCCCACCACCCCCCAAAAAGAAATGTTTCTCCCCTCTGCCCTTCCACTCTGTGGCTCTTCTCCCCCTTTCCTCTTCTCCTTGGCAGATGACCTTCTTGTTAGTCAAATGAGTTTATTCAGGATGGGAGCAGATGTTGTCTATGTTGCTCTGAACAATTGTTATCCTGCGCGCGCGCGCGCGTGCACACACACACACACACACACACACACACACGGCCTTAGAGTTTAGAAAGTGTTTCTACATTGTAACTCATTTAATTCTCACAGTAACCTTGTTAGACATATGATAATAGCTCCATTTTACAGAAGAGGTGAATTCAGGCTCAAAGTTAGTTACGATTCTTGGACAGGCTCATCACAACTATCAAAAAGCAGGACCCAAAACAAGGCTTTTCTGAGTCTAAGGCAATAGCTATTTTTCAAACAAGATTAACAGCTGCCAAGATGAGCAAAGAGTCAGGGGAGAATCTGTGGTTACATAAGTTTGGAAAACCCAGAGTTTAACAAAGTTAAGCTGGTGACTATGTTATAGAACTTCTCCAAGCTCTCTGTATCTAACTACACATGTGACTTTCCAGGAGGAGAAGGCGTGCAGCACTTCCCCAGTGTATTTGCCTATGAAACCCTTATTTATTTATTTTTTAGAGGCAGGGTTTCACTCTGTTGCCCAGGCTGGAGTGCAGTGGTGCGATCTTGGCTTACTACAACCTCCTCCTCCCAGGTTCAAGCGATTCTCCTGCCTCAGCCTTCTGAGTAGCTGGGATTACAGGTGCCCACCATCATGCCCAGCTAATTTTTGTATTTTTAGTAGAGACGGGGTTTCACCATGTTGGCCAGGCTGGTCTCGAACTCCTGGCCTCAGGTGATCCACCTGCCTTGGTCTCCCAAAGTGTTGGGATTACAGGCGTGAGCCACCACACCCAGCCAAAACTTTGTTAAATGGAGCATCTTGCAATGCTACAGTTCTATAGGTGACACTTTGGGGAAATGGTGGTCAAAAAGGTCAAAGTACTCTTCCCTTCTCTGGAAGTCTCAAGAAATGGCAAAGGGAGAGAGAATCCTCTCTGTAGTCAAGAACAATGACAGAAGAGAGCCCATTAGAAGTGGTACCTCTGGCTAGGCTCGGTGGCTCATGCCTGTAATCCTAGCACTTTGGGAGGCTGAAGCCAGCAGATTGCCCGAGCTCAGGGGTTTGAGACCAGCCTGGGTAACATTGTGAAACCCCATCTCCACTAAAATACAAAAAATTAGCCAGGCCTGGAGGTGCTTACCTGTAGTCCCAGCTATTCAGGAGGCTGAGGCAGGAGAAATGCTTGAACCCAGGAGGCGGAGGTTGCAGTGAGCCAAAATTCTGCCATTGCACTCTAGCCTGGGTGACAGAGTGAGACTCCGTCTCGGGGAAAAAAAAAAAAAAAAGAAATGGTACCTCTGCCTGCGTTTCATCTTCCTGCCAGGGCTGCTTCCTGCGTGGTGGCAAGCGAGTCCCCTGACTGCCATGGTTCTTGGCTAGAGGGCCCTGGTCCACGTGTCCAGCAGCTCCAGCTTCCCCTTCATCCAGGCCCTGTTGACCTGCAATGGTGAACAATGGGTCAGCTTGTCACCCTGGAAATGGACGTGGTGTTCTTGCTGCCTCCAAACTGCCTCCCTTCTTGCTTCTCTGAGTAAAAGTGCTCAAGGCCCTCCCTTGCTCCCCCTCCTCCCTTATTTTGTATTTCTGATAGTGCCTCCTCGGAAGTGGCAGCCAGGTCTGTGGAAACAGAGCTGCACTGGCAGTCAGGAGGCTCAGGGTTGAGTCTTCACTTCTTGGACACAGTTTCCCAATCTGTAAAATGGGGATACAGATTTCTTGCCCTCACTTCCTTGTAGAGTTATTTGGAGCTCAAATAAGATAATGAATGTGACAGCCCCTTGTAAACTGTGAGGGATTAGTGGATGACAGTGCTGTGATTATGGTGGCGTGACCTGCAGCCTGCTCTGTTGTCATGGAGGTGCTCAGCCTGAAGCAAGCTCTTGGGATTCCCGGGCTATCTCCTGGCTCTTTACTTGTGGAAAAGCCTCTGCCGAATGCACTGAGGTAAGACTGCTGTTTAGCTCTCTGAACTTATCCTGTCTGCAACCCTCAGGAAGGATCTGAGTCAACAGATGACTCCAACATAGTTAACAAGTCTTTCATCAATGGTTTAAGGGGTCCTGCAGCTGTTTTCATCACTTTCTCAAGGTAGATTTATTGCTGAAGCAGTCTGGCAAAGCTTCCTTGTTTGGAGCCAAGCTTTAGCAATACCTTTATTCCCAGCATGCAGCTCCATGGAACAATTTGGGGTTGTCTTTCAACTAGGGGCTCTGGAAGGCTTCGGGCCTGTGTGTGATGGATCACAAGACTTCTGCGAGCTGCTTCTCCTCCTGCCTCCAGCCAGCCTCACTTTCCCTCTCTGCTCCCGTTCATTATTTCCATCCTTGGTGTCACTGGGCCAAGAGTCAATTGCCCACAGGTGGGGCTACTCCCTCCCTCCAGCTCTCCTTCCTTTGCCCACTGGCTCCTGAAGGCCATGCTAGATGTGAACTGAGGCTGAGTGTTGGTGGAAGAAATACAGGCTCAGGCTCAGGTTCAGGTTCAGAGGGTCTGCTCTGGTTTTAGTGGCCCAGGGAAATCTGATGGGCTGGGGACTCATTAATATGAGGTGACCCAGGGCTACATTAGGCCTGCTCCTAAGAGGACCTCAACTCCATACAGAGTGCAGCACTAAAGACCTTTGGGGATATTCTGGAATGATCCCTTGTAGAATGATTCCTTGGGGTCAAACCAGACACTAAACTAGGTCCATCTTTTCTGGTCAGATTCACCTGGAACCAAATGCATTTCTGAGGGTGGAGGAAGTGAAACTTACTAAATAGTCTCTTTTTTTTTGGGTGGGGGGTGCGGGGGACGTAGTCTCACTCTGTTGCCCAGGCTGGAGTGCAGTGGCATGATCTTGGCTCACTGCAACCTCCACCTCCCAGGTTCAAGCGATTCTCCTGCCTCAGCCTCCCGAGTAGCTGGGATTATAGGCATGCACCACCATGCCCAGCTAATTTTTGTATCTTTAGTAGAGACGGGGTTTCACCATGTTGGCCAGACTGGTCTCTAACTCCTGACCTCAAGTGATCCACCCGCCTCAACCTACCAAAGTGTTGGGATTACAGTCATGAGCCATTGTGCCCAGTCTGAACAGTCTTACACATTGGGTATCTAAGTTGGGGTGGGCGGCATTGTGAGTAGGGGGATACAGAGACAATTTTCCCTTTGGTAATATCCCAGGTGAGTTTGAATATGTGACTCAATCAATGCGAGGGGAAACAGAATTTTTTTTCTTAGTAAACATCATCATCTGATTCATTTATTTGTGCTTAATAGAAACAGGTTTGCAAGCAAAGTATTGGAAGCTTTAGTTGTTGAAAGGAGACCACAAAACTTAGTCTCTCTATATCTCAGGCATGGATTCAGATAATCCAGATAATGTGCATTGGAGTAGCTCTGTCCTCTCCTGTTATTCTTCACAAACAACCCAGGGAGGAAGGAATGCAGACCCCAGTATTTGCATTTTACATATGCACAAACTGAAGATGCAGGGAGCATAAGTGACTTAGCCAGCATCACATTATTGGAGACCTGGGATTTGCAGCTGGGACTTTTGCTACTTCTTCAGATAAAGTGTTGGGCAAAGAGAGGGAAACCAGTGGAAGATGAGGTTCAAACAAATGAAAACATCAGTCAGGGTTCAAGTTACAGCCACTGAACTATTTTTGCTTCTTTTAAAATAGATTTTTTTTTGGCCCCTATGATCATGGGCAATTGGGCATTCCAGTTAGTAATTATGCTTAAAACACAAGCTAAGGAGGTATAATGAACATTTATTGAGCACATAGTATGTGCCAGCTTCTATTAGTATATTATTTAATTCCCACATGCAACACTGTGAGATAAAGATGGGTATGGTCATCTCCATTTTATAAATGAGAAAACCAAGGCCCAGAGTGGCTATATGGCTTGGAATCGGTGCTAATGGCCACATGTTTAATCACTATTTGATACAGCCTCTTTGTTTTCTGCCTGATTGTGACAGCTCCTTGGTATATGGCATCAATTAGGAAAGTCACTTTATCCCTCAGGTGTGCACTGTTAATCCAGCCATAAAATGAAAGCCCTGAGGCCGAGAGCGGTGACTCATGCCTGTAATCACAGCACTTTGGGAGGCCAAGGTGGGAGGATCACTTGAGAACAGGAGTTTGAAACCAGCCTGGGCAACATGATGAAACCCCATCTCTACAAAAAATACAAAAATTAGCTGGGAGTGGTGGTGTGCTCCTACAGTTCCAGCTACTTAGGAGGCTAAGTGGGAGGATTGCTTGAGCCCAGGAATTCAAGGCTTCAGTGAGCCATAATCACATGGCTGCACTTCAGCTTGGGTGACAGAGCCAGAGCAAGACCTTGTCTCTAAAAAAAATAAAAAATAAAATAAAAGAAAATAAAAAGAAAAGAAAGAAAAAGAAAAAAAAGACTCAAGTGAGATGTGTGGTTGGTTGAAATGTTTAATGGCCCCAGGCTCTGAGAACCTGCCATGTTCACTTCTCCATTCATTTGATAAACCAGATTCTCTACTTATCCTGACCGGATCATTTCCCCAAAGATGGGGGTTGGTCAGGCACTGCCACTGTTTCTGGAAAATTTCATTATACATATTTTAGAGACAGGGTCTCACTTTGTCATCCAGGCTGCAGTGCAGTGGTGCCATCATAGCTCATTACAGCCTTGAACTCCTGGGCTCAAGTGATCCTTCTGCCTCTGCCTCCCAAGTAGCTGGGACTACAGGCATGTGCCACCACGCCCAGCTAAAATTTTAAATTTTTTGTAGAGACAGGGTCTCACTATGTTGCCCAGGCTGGTCTCAAGCTCCTAGCCTCAAGTAATCCTCCCTCCTTGGCCTCCCAAAATGTTGAGATTACAGAATGAGCCACTGAGCCTGGCCAAAAATCTTATGTTGGGCTCTTGCTCTTTTATTTTCTCAAGAACCCTGCTACCAGCCAAGGCTCTCGTCTTTGCCTATTACTGCTACCCAGTTGTCTTTTCCCATCTCCCTTACCAAAGGTGACTTCTGGCTCTTTTAATGCTTCAAGTTCCATAGAATAATATTGGGATTGACAGTGTCAATCCCCATAATACTAAACAGTTTACAGACGGCTTGCAATAATTTTCTGTATAGCTACTATGTAGATCTTACTGTGCCCATTACAGAGATGAGCAAACAGAAGCTCAAAGAGGTTAAATGACTTACTTAAGATCTTACACTAGTAAATGAGAGAACAGCCATTTCGATACACATTTCTGGCTCTAAATCCTATATATATATTTCACATCATATTGCCACAAAAATCACAGGATTCAGGAATATAAGAGTGGAACAGATCTAAGAAATCATCTAAAATCTAAAGTCTAGACCTACACTGCCAAACACAGTAGCCACCAGCTGCATGTGGTTATTTAGATATAAATTAATTAATATAAAATAAAAAGCTCAGTTTCACTGTTGTACTGCTACATTTCAAATGCTCAATAGCCACATGTGGCTAATGGCCACTTTATTGGACAGCCCATATGGGACATTCCATCACTGTGAAAAGCACTATTGGACAGTGCTGGTCTGCACTAACCCCTCATTTTACAGATTGAGGACTATGCAACCCAGAATCTCAAGACCTTGTTTTGGGAAATGCCATTTTAAGGTGTTAACAATTCAAATATCTGAGAACTGGTCATAAAATCAACATGTAAATCAACACGTACGTTGTTCAAAAGATTTTCCTTGTTGAATCCAAAATGAAGGGAAGACAGGCAGGAGATGGTATTTTGGGGGTACACCTGAAAGATCTTGTTGTGGCCTGAGCTTCTTTGGTACATTAAGTTGACTGTCCTGGAGTAGCACAGAATCCTTGATGTATCCTGAAGAGTAGATCAGGAGATATTGATAGAAATAGTGGTAGCCAACTTCAAGTTCTTGGTGGTAACTACAAGGTTCCTCACTTACACTAGTCTTGGCTTTGGACATTGCCCATTAGGGAAGACAATTAGAAGATGAGGGAGATTAAAAAGTCAGATAGAACCCACAGAGGCCTTGTCTATCTAGTGTCTTGGGTGCTTCTGGTTCTGTGCTACATGTGTACTTCCTCCACCCCATCATTCCCAAGAACTGGGTCTCCCTGGTGGAAGGAGCATGGCTGCTGCTTTGGAGCAAAAAGCTCCTCCTGCCTCAGGAGGAGATCCAGTGGTAGTGGATGTATCCTATTTGCTTCTGTAGGCCCCATGATCAGCAGCCTCCTCAATCCAGTCATTCTATAAGTATTTATTGAGGACTTCCCAATGGGCCCACCCCTCGGCTAGCCAGTGAAGTAGATACAGTGGAACCAGACTTGGGCCCTTTTAAAAGGCACTCAGTAGTCTATTGGAGAGACAAAGCTCTCTTGTGTTCTGTATGGCTCTGAGTGTCAGTGTAATATAAGTTCAGAAAACAAGGAGCTCAATATTGACTGGAGCTTTCAGCAAAGACTTTGTAGAAGGTGTGAGCTTGAAGGGTGGGGAGGATTAATCATAGGGGTGTAAAGAAATCCAAGAGAATATGTACATTAGTATCATAAAGTGGGGAGCTCTGAGATGTGCAGGAAGAGGGTGGTAGGGGCCATTGGACTGATGGGCTTACACCAGATTCTTGCCATTGTGCCTCCAGCTTGAGGTCCTCAACTTCAAGAGGGGCTTTGGCAAGGAATTATGGCAAGGAGCTCAAGAATGCATGTGTGTGTGTATCTTTCCTTAAACCACACATTTTAGCCATAGACTCCAATGGAGGACTCGACCTTTTTTGAGGTCAAGAGGGGCCTTCATTCTGGGGAATGTTGGACCTAGGCTATAGGAGAATGGCCTGCTCTGCCCTCTGCCCCACTCAATGAGAAACACTTCTTTGGTTAAGGGGCTCTTTCTCAAAAGTTTCAAATAAATGGAACTGCCTATAACTGTGGAACTGCCCTGAGAGTAAAACCAATGACTGGAGGAGCCCACAACTTTCATTTTGCTTCAAGTCACCACTTATTGGGGGAGTGAATTGCTTTCTCTTCTTCCTCAGGGTAAACCTATAAAGCAGGAAGAAAGTCAGTCTTTCTCTAGTCCTGGCTGTTTGTTGTTGCTGAAGAAATGGCAAACAGCCGAGTGGGTACTGGCACATTCTCTGCTCACTCTTCTCATCCCAAATAGGCTTGCCAAATAAAATACAGGATGTCCAGTTAAGTTTGAATTTTGGATAAACAATGAATTTTTTTTAGTAGAAGTACATCCCGAAGATTGAAGATTGCAAGCGTAACTGTTTATGCGTGTTGCGGGGGTGGGTATGCATGTGCTAAATCTGGCAACTCTAATCCCCAACCACTTCCCATTTTTGTTTTCAAGCATCTACAGAGTGCATTTAGGGTCTGTTCATCAGAAGGGTGTCCATCGCACTCCTAATGGATTGCGCTGGAGAGCCGCCATTTTTAAGAGGAAGAGTCGTAACATTTCACTTCCGGGAGGACCTGGGATCACCTCAGATGGGGTACTAAGGAATGTTGGGAAGAATGTGGAACTGTGGAGGTGCAGGGTGGATCTGACTTCTGGTCCCAGCTCTGCTTTTGACTGAATGATCTTGGACAAATTACTTTGCCTCTCTGGGCTTCTTCTTCCTTATCTTGTAAAAGATGGGTGTTGAACTGGAGGGTCTCTGAGTGGAGAAGATTGGGAAGAAAGTTCTGGCCTGGATGTGGCATGTGAGGCTGCTGAGGGCAAGGGATGGGAGTGAAGGCAGGACTTCAGGCCGTTCTTCCCTCTGCAAATGCGTCAGAGGACAAAGGACGGGAGCCGTGAAAGGGGCTTGTGGGCTACCAAGCGTGGGGACTTTGCTTTAACACAGAATTGGGCTTGAAATCCTGGTGTTTCAGGTCTTGATGGAAAACACACTGTCACACCAGAATGGGAGGTGGGGCAGTTTGGGGTGTGCCCCCCTCCCATTTCCCCACTGACCTGCGCACCAGAGCCTATACATGGCGTCTGGGGGCCAAGTCCGCAGGAGGCCTCGGAGGTATCTCTTGGCTGAATGCCCTGGCTGGATCTGCCGTTGGGCCTGGCTCTCCAGCTGGCTTCGGAAGTGGAGGTATGGTTGCCAGGCTCTGTCCTGCTCTCCCTGTGGGGACACCAGTCAGGAAACAGCACAGCTGCTGACCCCTGAGCCACCCAGTGATACAGGCTGGTTAGCACAATCTTCATCAGTAACCCAGGAAACTCCCAGAAGGTGCCAGAAGGCACCAAAAACAGATGCCTCGGCTAATAGACATGAACCAAGAGCCCTCAGAGCAAAGCTCTGAAAGGCCCCTGCAGGTTTGCAGTTGGAAGCAGAAGGAGAAATGACATATACCAGATCCCATCTTGAGATAGAGTATTAGGAAAGGGTAAAAACTTCAGAAGAAAACACATTACCTAGTTCAGCCTGTGAAAATCATTTTAGTATCTTCAAAAATGGCTCTGTACTGTAATGGGAAAGCCAGCTCACAAATCTGCATTGGCATTCAATGTTTGTAATGTGAATAATGGGACAGACAAATCATGTCCATGTTCATGGGGAGCCTGGCATTTTGAAAATATCTGGCTCTGATGCATTTCATTTAAGCTGGGGAGAATTTTCTGGGAACCTATCTGCCAAAGTCAGTGCCACTGTGCAAGACATCATAGGGAATAAATATGAATAATAACATCTTACAATTGACTAGGAATTTACATTATACAAAGAACTTTCACCTCATCTGTAATCCTATAAGGTGGACTGAGTTACTACAACCACTTAAGTGATGTAGAAACTCTCAGAGGATGATTGCTTAGGCAAAAGAATAGCAAATGTGTGATATTTGTGTTGACATCTCTCACCCTTCCCAGTGTCCATGGCAGACATCCCTAATCAATCACAGGATTCTTGACTGCTGAACTGAAGGTGATCTCAGAATCCATTTTCTCCTTAAGAACATTTTTGAAACTGAGGCATAAATTATATAACATGCACAGAATATTTAGATGTTCATTTGATAAATATTGACAATTGTATATACCTTTGTAACCACCACAGAAAACAAAATCCAGAACATTTTCATCCACCCAGGAAGTCCCTCATGCCGCTTTTTAGTCAGTATCCTCCTACCCACCAGGTAATTGCTATTCTGATTTCTAACACCGTGGACTGTTTTGTTCTATTCTTGAACTTCATATGAATGGAAACATACAGCATATATTCTTGGATGCTCCATGAAAGTGATCCACACAGTGTTCCAGTGAGAACTGGCATGAGAAATGAAACCCACTTAGTCCCCTTTGGCTAAGGAAGTCTCCCAAGGCAACAATATAGCCTGGAAGGATAGAGAGCAACTGTGTGGAGCCAGTTAGAAGTGGAGCTGGGCTTGAATCTAGGGCTTCAAAATTCACATCAGTGCAAAGCTTCTTGTTCTTCAGTAACTGACCATCTCATCAAAGGACCAGATCAGGAGTTAGCACCATGAACCAGCTTGATGTCAAAACAATAAATAAAGATGTTTCGAAGCAGGTGCCTCAGTGAGTTTCCCAGACTGTAAGAACTATATTCTAGAGCGACCAAAATTTTCATACAGGTTAGGATGCAGTAAATCCTGACTCAACAGGCTTGAACAATGAGAAAGAAAGTTTGTTATCTCATGTAACAAAAAGACCAAAGGCTAGAGAATACCAGGGTTGGTTAATTCAGTGGCTCAATAGCTCTGGTATCCTGAAACTCATTTTGTAGGCACCAAATCTCTTTCTACCCTTCAGAACAGTCTTTCACTTCAGTCTTATGGGCCTGCAGAGGCTGAACAATGGACATAGGGAAACATCAAGTGGGTCCAAAAAGCACAAGCCAAAGAGTGGGAAGGAGACAGCCTGTGAGAAAGCTTGGGAAAGAGCCTTGGATTTACAGCCAGAGCCCCTGGGCTCAAGGCCTGCTCTGCCTCATGGGAACTTTGTGATCTTGCGTGAGCTCTGGAACCTTCTGAACCTGTCTCTAAAATGGAGCTAATATAGTGGTAGAGGGAATGGAGAGTGCATGGGTTCTGGAATCAACCCGAGAGTCAGGTTTCACAGTGCCTGGCACATACTAGGGGCTCGATATTGTGGGGAAATGAATAAATGAACAAATAGTTCCAATCTCAGCCCCACCACTTCTCAATCGTCTAATCATTATATAATTTAGCCCACAATACTGACATAATACCTCGTTTTTGGTGTAAATGAAATAATGTAAGTGAAAGGGTGTTCCACTGAGCCAGCTTATGGTAAGGTGAGAGGGTGCACGCTCTCACTCCCTGCCCACCCTGCACTTGTGAAAGCACTTTCTAATCTCTCAGTACTCCTAAAGGGAGCTGAGGAGAACACAGTGGAGACTGAGCAGAGGCTTTGCTTGAAGATGGAATTGATCTTGAGATCTTGCCCCATCCTTGGGCATGTTAATTTCTTCTCTGAATAATTTTACTCAGTGTCCTCAGTTTAAGGATTATATGAGCTGAGGTATGTAAAATACTTAATGCACATAGTAGGTGGTGAACAAATATTAGGTCTTTTCTCCTTTTTCTTGTCCAGGTGGTGGGAGACTATGCTAACTGCCCAACACTTATTCCCCCTCACTTCTTTCTGCTAAAAGAGTCCCAATTTTTTGTCAGCAGATCCCCTTTCCCAAATAGTCATCCCTCGTTATCTGTGGGGAATTGGTTCCAGGACCTCTGTGGATATTAAAATCTGTGTATGCTCAAGTCCCTTATATATTATAAAATGGTGGTAGTAATATTTGTACAGTATAGCCCATATGCATCCTCCCTATACTTTACATTGTTTCTAGCAACTTATAATACTGAATACAATGTAAATGCGGTATAAATAGTTGTTATACTTTTTTTTTTTTTTGGTTTGGATTGTTATTTTTTTTCCTGAATATTCTCCATCCCTGGTTGGTTGAATCCAGGAAAGTGAAGACATGGAGGGCCTTGCTTTCCCAGACTCCGTTGCATCTCAGAATGGCCAAGGGACCTAGCTCTGGTCAATGAAACTAAGGTGAAACTACTGGGAGCCTCTGGAAGGTCTTTGTTTCTTTAGAGAAGGAACAGCTGTGCAAGGATTGCTTGCTGGCCCCTTTCTTCTGCTTTGAACCCAGATGTGACCTCTGAAAGTATGGGACCATCTTGTGAACATGCACTAACAAGCCTAATAAGAAAAACCAACATTCAAAGGATGGTGGAAGGAAAAGATAGCGCTTGAGTCCTTAATGGCATTGGCAAGCAGCTGGGCAAGCATGAAACTCCTGCCCCTCCACTTTGTGTTACTTGAGATAATTAAATCTCTTTATTGCCTAAATCAGGGGTTAGCAGCCTTTTTTTTTTTTTTTTTTTTTTTTTGAGATGGTTTCGCTTTGTCAACCAGGCTGGAGTGCAGTGGCACTAACTTGGTTCACTACAATCTCTGCCTCCTGGGTTCAAACGATTCTCCTGCCTCAGCCTCCGGAGTAGTTGGGATTACAGGCATGTGCCACAATGCCTGGCTAATTTTTGTATTTTTTGTAGAGACAGGGTTTCACCATGTTGGCCAGGCTGGTCTTGAACTCCTGACTTTAAGTTATCCACCTGTATCAGCTTCCCAAAGTGCATGGGACTCCAGGCGTGAGTCACCATGCCCAGCCTGGAAGGTTTTTTATAAAGGGTCAGACAGTAAATATTTTAGGCTTTGCAGGCCATATGGTCTCTGTTGCCACCACTCAACCTGTCCTTGTAGTGCAAAAGCATCCATAGGCAATATGTAAACAAATGGTCATGGTTGTGTTCCAATAAAACTCTATTTACACAAACAAGTAGTGGGCAGGATTTGACCAGTGAGCAGTGTTTGCTGATTCCCCAACTTCAACCATTGGTAATCATGAACTATGTTGCTTGCAGCCAAAAGTATTTCTGATATGTGGATATAATATGGGAGCAACAGATTTAAAGCTGCTACGGATTGGAGGGATGGGAAACAAGCACTGGAAAAAAGGGGATGATCAAGATGGATTGATAACTAATAAAATCACATCAAGTGAGCCCAAAATGCACAAGCAGCAGAGTGGGAAGGAGACAGCTTGTGAGAAAGCCTGGGAAAGCGCTCTAGATTTAGGGCCAGAGTGCATGGGTTCAAGGTTCAAGATAAAAGAAAACATGGCTTACTATTCAATTGGCTTTACTCCTTGGGGACTTATGAATTAAACGAATGCTTAGAATTCAAACATACAGCATCACCTGCTCCTTGATGTCTGGAAAGTTTATGTGGCAGGTACTTCAAGTGCAAAAACAGCCTAGAAATTCAGTCTCATGTGGTCTTGAGGCTTTTCCCAGAGGACGTGAAAGAAAGAATTATAGAGAGGATGGTGGAAGCTAAATGACACTTTCACTCACTGCATTTTTTCACTCAGTCATATGATAAATATTTGTTGGGTACTTTTTATATTCCAGGCACTGTGTTGGGCCCTGAAATATGGAGCCTTTAGACGAGAGGCCTTTTCTGGGTGAATTGCAACCTCATTTCTTTTCTGTGAATCTTTGCTTTGACTGACTTTCCTCTGAATGCAGTAAGGACCAGCCTCTTCCAAGATGCTGTGGCCCCTGTGCGGATGGCAAGATGTGCTGTTTGAGTCTGGACAGGAACCCTTGCAGGTTCTCATTAGTGGGCATTTCTTTTTCTTTTCTTTCTTTCTTTTTTTTTTTTTTTTTTTGAGACAGAGTTTCGGTCTTTCACCCAGGCTGGAGTGCAGTGGTGTGATCTTGGCTCACTGCAACCTCTGCCTTCTGGTTTCAAGTGATTCTCCTGCCTCAGCCTCCCAAGTAGCTGGGATTACAGATACCCAACACTACATCTGGCTAATTTTTGTATTTTTAGTAGAGATGGGGTTTCACCATGTTGGCCAGGCTGGTCTCGAACTCCTGACCTCGTGATCCGCCTGCCTCGGCCTCCCAAAGTGCTGGGATTACAGGCGTGAGCCACTGCGCCTGGCCATTAGTGGGCATTTCTGAAGCACCAGCTTGGTTCTGAAGCTTTACTGAGAAGCTTGCACCATGGTGCAGGGAGTTGCCAAGAAGAGTTAGGGAATCCTAGACCTGGAATTTAGAGTATTTACATATATTTTTGCTTAGGATTTGGAAGCTGATCTTGGTGTATTCATTTCCTATTGCTGCTGTTAACAAATTACCATACATTTAGTGGTTTAAACAACATAAATGTATTATTCTCATACTGTTCTGGAGGTTAGAAGTTCAAAATGGGTCTCACTGGCTAAAATCAAGGTGCTGACAGGCCTGAGTTCCTTCTATAGGCTCTAGGGAAGAATCTGTTTCCCTGCCTTTTCCAGCTTCTAGAGGTCACCCCCACCTTCATTCCTTGGCTTGTGGCCCTTTCCTCCATCTTCAAAGCCAGCAACCTTAAGCTGAGTCCTTCTCAGGCTGCCCTCTCTCTGATCTTCCTTCTGATTCCTTCTTCTGCTTTTAAGGACTCTTGTGCTTACCTTGGGTCCACCTGGATCATCCAAGATAATATCCCCATTTCGAGGCCATCTATTGATGATAACCTTAATTCCATCGGCAACCTTGATTTCCCTTTGCCCTGTAACCTCTCAGGTCCCAGGGATTAGGACATAGATATCTTTGGCAGGACATCCTGTCTACCACATTCTCTTTAAGTTTTTTTCTAGTTTCCTGGTTTCTTTTAATAACTTCTCAAATTATGCCCATGAAGTTGGTTAATAATGTCCCATCTCACTGGATAAACTGAAGCACTGAGGGATGCCCAAGGCCTGCTTAGGGCTAACCGAGGATACCAGTCAGGGTGAAATCTACTTACTCACTTCCAACCTGTTGAAGAATATTTTCAGTGGAAAACAACAAAATATAAGAAAGCATGTATAGTATAATTACAACCTCATACAAGCATATCCTGTGTATAGTCATGATGGAAAGACTGGAAGAAAATAGATGAAAAAGCTAATAATGGGAGTATTAGGGTGCTGGGCATAAGATTACAAATAGTTCTTTCTTCTCTCTCTTTTTTTTAAAAAAATAAAATCAAGTTTTCAGTGATATAGATTATATTTCTAAATAGAAAACATGTTAAAAATTAACTAATTTTCTGGCACCCACCCTCTTCTCATGCATATTTCCTTAGTTCTTCCCTAAAGTTATCCTAGACCTAACCACCCACTCAAAAGTCACTCTAAAATATAAAAGGAGACAGAAGGGAGCCAGGGAGGGAGTTTCTGGAACAGGAAAATAAACATGACAGCAGGAGGCTGGCTATGGATGGTTTCAGACTGTTCAGGCCTGCCTCGGCTTTGCCAATCAATCCCAGCTTCGGGTTTCTTCTGCAATGAGTAATTAGTGTGCACGGGGTGGCCTATTATCCACATTCCACCATGAGTGCTTCCTTTAACGAGGGACTTGCTCTGGCCAGTTGCCTTCCTGATGCATATGAGGTCTCTGAATGCAGAGGCATGAAGGGGACTCCTGTGTAACTGTCCCTTCCCCCGCACTGGCTGTCTTGTCCACCTGCTCTAGTGCTGGCCACTGAAGGTTTTCAGAGGATAGAAGGAGACGGTAGGGCTTGTGCTCCTGCCCAGCAGATATGGGGTGGCAGGGAGCCAGAGTCCCCAGGAAGGCAACAAATCCCTAGGTAGCCAGCTGCCATCATACCGCAGACGGTGGCCCAGCGTTTGTGTGCAGGACTCAGCAGAAGCGTGAAGAGAGAAACCCCCAAATCCCAGAACTGGCAGGCACAGCCCTCCACAATTTGGCCCCACCCACTTCCCCAGGTATATTTCCAGCAGGGAGCCTGGCTAGTGACCCTGACTTCCCCTCCCCTGCACCTTCTCCCCTAGAGGCCTCTGCTCACCTAAGCCTGGAAGGTCTCACCCTACTTATCTTTACAAGACTCAGCTCAAATTCTACCTTCTCCAAGAAGCCACTCTAGATTTTTCCCAGTAAGAAGCAGTCACACTCTCTGCCTTCTTTATTAGGAAATCATAATCTCACTCTCTTATGGACAGCCTTGTATCAAAATGTCACTGGGGCACAAATCCGCCTCTTTCACCAGATTGTGCACTCCTGTTGGGTAGAGGTTACAGCCCCCCCGCCCCCCTGGCCATATCCTTGTAACCAATATGTCATTAAACAATTTGTTGAGCATCTGCTATGTGTCAGGCACTGTTTTAGGCCCAGGGCATTTCCTAACTACTCAGACGTTGGCTCGATTGAATGGAAAAACCCAATAATGTCTGCATTTTACTGCTGACCACCTGTGCTGTGAGCTGCCTGCTCCAGCCAGAAGTCCTTCTCTCAGGAGGGGCACAGCTGGCATCTCCTAGCCCTCAGTCTGTCTTGCCGGAGTCAGTGTTCTCTGGCAAAGGCCAAATCTTAGAACACGGTGACTGATCATTGTCGTTGCACCTGTGCATGTGTGACTGGAGCCAGCCTTGGGGCTGCCAGGTGAGTGCAACTGGAGTAGAGGTCGGGGCAGGGTGGGAGGGAGAGGAGAGAAGCCACTTGCAGCTGTGCCTGGAAAGCATCCTCCATCCCCAGCGTGACTTTGATCAGCCTCATGCAAACACTGCTGCTCTCAGCCAGCCCTTTCTCTGCAGGTTTAATTTTTGGGATTCTGTGCAAATGATAACTCTCTCTCCTATCTATCTTTGGTGAGCATATGTTCCTGGATACAAGGCCATAAAGAAGAAAGTCGTGAAGTGGTCTGAATGTTCTCATTAATGCAGTGTTGTAACAAGGCTTGATCCCTGACCAAACCATTCAGCATCAAAGATTTGACCAGCCATATGTCATAAATGTAAAGGTACAACTAGGATTGCTAGCAGCAAAAATTAGGCTTCAGGTCCTACGAGAGCTCAATCTGCCTGGATTTGTAATCCTGTCTTGATGACTCACTAGCTGTGTGACCTTAGGGAAATTATTTGATTCACCTGTGCCTCAGTTTCTTTATCTGTCAAATAAGGATGACAAAAGTACATACTTTACATGCAAAAAAAAAAAAAAAATGAAATTGGACTCTTACCGTACACCATTTACAAAAGTTAATTCAAAATGGAGCAAAAACCTAAACATAAGAACTAAAACTGTAAAACTCTTAGAACTAAGTTTTCCCCTAGAGTTTACAACCATAGGGGAAAAGCTTCATGGCATTGAGTTTGGCAATGAGTTTTTGAATATGATATCAAAAGAACAGGCAAAAAAGAAAAAAATAGATAAGTTGGACTTCATAAAAATTAAAAACTTCTTTTTTTTTTTTTTAAAGACAGACTCTCGCCCTGTCACCCACGCTGGAGTACAGTGGCACGATCTTGGCTCACTGCAAACTCTGCCTCCCGGGTTCAAGCAATTCTCCTGCCTTAGCCTCCCTACTTTTGTGCATCAAAGGACACTATCAACCGAGTGAAAAGGCAGGCAACCCATGGAGTGGGAGAAAATATTTGTAAATTTGTATCTGGTAAGAGATTAATATCCAGAATATCTCTCTTTGAGAGAGAGAGACAGAGACAGGGTCTCAGTCTGTCACTCAGGCTGGAGTGCAGTGGTGTGATCATGTCTCACTGTAGCCTCGATCTCTTGGGCTCAAGTGATCCTCCTGCCTCAGCCTCCCAGAGTGTTGGGATTACAGGCATGAACCAATTATTCAGAATATCTAAGAACTCCTACAATTCAATGACAAAAAACCAAACAACCCACTTAAAAAATGGGCAAAAGACTTGAATAGATATTTCTTTAGAAAAGATATACAAATGGTCAACACGCACATAAAAAGATGCTCAATGTCATTTATCACTAGGTAAATGCAAATCAAACCCACAATGAGATTCCACTTGACACCCACTAGAATGGCTATTATAAAATAAAAGAAATTTTTTTTCAGGTCAGACAGGTAATGTGTTGATGTTGTAACGAGGTTCAGAGGGTGGCACATTCACACATGCATGTGAACACCCAATCATCATGCTTATGAACTACAAAAGGATCTGGTTATTATCAAATAAAAGTGTTTAAGGCCAGGCACAGTGGCTCATGCCTGTAATCCCAGCACTTTGGTAGGCTGAGGCAGGCAGATCACCTGAGGTTGGGAGTTCGAGACCAGCCTGACCAACATGGAGAAACCCCATCTCTACTAAAAATACAAAATTAGCTGGGTGTGGTGGTGCATGCCTGTAATCCCAGCTACTAGGGAGGCTGAGGCAGGAGAATCACTTGAACCTGGGAGGCAGAGGTTGTGGTGAGCTGAGATCGCGCCATTGCACTCCAGTCTGGGCAACAAGAGCGAAACTCCGTCAGCAAAAAAAAAAAAAAAAAAAAGTGTTTAAAAAGAAAACAGAAAGTAACAAGTGTTGATGAGGATATGGAGAAACTGGAACTCTTGTGCGCTGCTGGTGGGAATGTAGAATGGTGTAACTAACTGCTGTGGAAAATCCTATGGTAGTTCCTCAAAGAATTAAAAATAGAATTACTATATAATCCAAACAATTCCACTTCTGGGTATATACACAAAATAATTGAAAACAAGGACATGAACAGATATTTGTACATCCATGTTTATAGGGCATTGTTCACAACAGCCAAAATGTGGAAGCAACTTAAGTGTCTGTTGATGGAAGAATGGAAAAACAAGATGTGGTGTATACATACAAGGGACTATTACTCAGCTTTGCAAAAGAAGGAAATTCGGATACATGCTACAACATGAATTCATTCTTCTAATGAGTGAAGACATTATGCTAAGTGAAACAAGTTAGCCGCAAAGGATACAACTGTATGCTTTCACTTATATGAAGTTCTCAGAATAGTCAAATTCACAGAGACAGCAGAAATATGGTTGCAGGGGCTGGTGGCAGAGGGAAATGGGGAGTTACTGTTTCATGGACATGGAGTTCAGTTTAGCAAAATGACAAAACTCCTGGAAATGGATGACGGTAATGATTGTACAACGATGTGAATATACTTACTGCCAGCAAACTGTACATCTAAAATGGTTAAAATGGTAAATTTCATGTTATATATATTTTGCTACAATAAAAAAGGCACCTACCTTATTAACCTGTTGTGAGGATTAAGTGAGTTAATAAGTGTAAAGCACTTAGAATGGTACTGGTATAATACTAACTTCTACATAAGTGTTAGCCTTCTTTTTTTTTTTTTTTTTTTTGAGACGGAGTTTCGCTCTTGTTGCCCAGTTTGGAGTGCAATGGCATGATCTTGGCTCACCACAGCCTTTGCCTCCTGGGTTCAAGCAATTCTCCTGCCTTAGCCTCCCGAGTAGCAGGGATTACAGGTATGCACCACCACGCCTGGCTAATTTTTTTGTATTTTTAGTAGAGACGGGGTTTCTCCATGTTGGTCAGGCCGGTCTTGAACTTCTGACCTCAGGTGATCTGCCCACCTCAGCCTTCCAAAGTGTTGGTATTACAGGCGTGTGCCATCGTGCCCGGCCCCAGTCATTGTTATAAATATTCTATTCGTTATACAAGGGAACAAATGAATGAAGTACATAAAACCTAGAGAAACAGGAGTGTATTGGATCATATATATAGCTTATTATAGAAATGCTACTTATCATCCAAATTAATTTTAATAAAAATCTGATTTGCTTTCCTAGAATTACAAAGGGTTAGCTTAATGGATGTGTTGAAAGACTCAGATCCACTTTTTAAACATACTGTTAAAGCTGGGGAGATGCTTCTTTTTCTCTGGGGAATGTGGAGTTTTCAAAATCAAGCCATCTAGGGGTTAAACGTGGGGCTTTGGAATCCGTTGTTGGTCTCCAATTCTAGCTTCACCACTTAGGTTTGTAATTTTGAGCAAATTAGTTAATGTCAAGCCCCAGGCTTCCTTCCTATAAAACGGAGGTAATGCTAGCACCTAGCTCTTAGGCTTGTGCAGATTGAATGAGGTTATACAGGTAAAATGCCCTGTGAACTGAATTTTAAAACACATTATCTTAAATACATTATTTAATCAATGTCACATTGTTTGTATTTATCCCACCCCAAATTATGATTACTTAGGTTTTATAGCTATTTGATGTCTCAATAATGGGAAGCTGAATAAATTAAAGGCCTCAAGAAGAATGGTTTCAACTTTGGAAATGCTAAACAAGATTTCCTTCTGTTAAAAAACAACAACAACAAAAAACCAACCAAGCGACATATTTGTGTGTATCCAGAAGTCTAAGAATGCTGACCTCTGATTTCTTGACTTAACATTTATCTTTACCCGTAAGGAGTTGGGCCATCAAGAAAGTTCAAGGGTGGATGTATGCTGAGCTATAAACTCCAGACGGGTTGCCACATGTGTGCTGTCAGATCCAGGGAGTTGGAGGTGTTGTGAGATGCTTTAAACCTTGACTTGCACCTTTCTGCGACAGCCTGTATTCTTACAGGTCTGGGTGGGGCCTGAGTCATGCAGGTTTCTTGATTCACAGTCCAGCCAAGAACAGATCCTTCCGTGAGCAGCACTATTACTCTACCCCTTTTTCCATCCTCACTTTGGCTCTTTGACTTTGAGTGTAGTGTTTTAAACTCTTGAACTATCCTATTTGGACAAAGAAATACTCACCCTAATGGACAGATGGTGTGGTTATTGGTGGACTCAACTTGCAGCACTGTTTGCCATTCCATTTTCCTCCCCGAAGCCTCTCACCTTGATTTCCAGGGTCAACTGTCTACCTCTTTCAAAGCTATAGATTTTTATTTTATTTGTAAAATCCCGTAGTTTAAAAAATATATTTGGTAAAAAGAAATGTATCAGCCTCCTGAGTAGCTGGGATTACAGGCGTGCATCACCACTCCCAGCTAATTTTTTGTATTTTTAGTAGAAACGGGGTTTCACCATGTTAGCCAGGCTGGTCTCGAACTCCTGACCTCAGATGATCTACCTGCCTTGGCCTCCCAAAGTGCTGGGATTACAGGTGTGAGCCACCACACCCGGTCAATAATCACTTTTTTAAAAACAGATTTATATTAGAGAGGTGATGTTTTCTATGTGGCCTAGTCTCACATTCTGGTGCAGTGATTTACTTGGCTGTATAACTTTGAGTGAGTCACTCGAGTTCTCTGTGCTTCTATTTCCTCACCTTTAAAGTGGATAATAATAGTACTTATGCCCAGGATTATTAGAAAGCATAAATGAATTATACTTGGAAAGCACTTAGAATAGTGGCAAAAATAACACAACTACTCAAAAAAAGTTAATGAACACTGGTATTTTTATTATATGAATACATTTTTGTAATCTGCTTTAAAAAAATACATTCCAGGCCAGGCATGGTGGCTCACACCTGTAATCCCAGCACTTTGGGAGGCCAAGGTGGGTGGATTTCTTGAACCTAGGAGTTCGAGACCAGCTTGGGCAACAGAGCTAGACCCCATCTCTACAAAAATACAAAAAATTGGCCCGGCATGGTGGCATGAGCCAGTAGTCTCAGCTACTGGGGAGGCTGAGATGGGAGGACCACTTGAGCCCAGGAGTTTGAGGCCGCAGTGTGCTGTGATGGTGCCACTGCACTCCAGCCTGGGTAACAGAGGAAACCCTGTCTCAAAACAAAACAAAAGAAAAACATTGTGCAGATTTTCTCATGTTATTCATGACTAACACATGACTTCATTGCTTGACCCAGGTCATTACATGATTTACCAGAGTTCATTTGATCAATGTTCCATTGCTGGGCATTTACTGTTTTCAGTGTTTTGCCTAGTAATAAAGAACCCTGTAGTCAATGTTTTTCTGCATAGATCTTTGAACATACATCTGATTATGTCCTAGGGCCAGCTCCTAAAAGTGGAATGTTGAATCAAAAGGTATCAGCCCCTTTTAGGCTTTTGCCAAATTGCCCTCCAGAAATGTCATGTGAATTTGTGCTCCTAACATGTGAGACTGCTGTTTCCCTATAGCTGTCCTGGCACTGGGTATTATGATTTTAAAAGTTTCTTGCCAGGCTGTTGTTTTCATAGTCAGATGGTACTCTATTTTCCGAAGCTTCTGAGGTGTTCCTTTCCTTTTCTTTTCTTTTTAAATAATTTGTATTATTTTTATTTTGATAGAAACAGGGTCTCATTATGTTGCCCAGGCTGGTCTTGAACTCCTGGGCTCAAGCAATTCTCCTGCCTCTGTTTCCCAAAGTGCTGGATTACAGGTGTGAGGCACTGAGCCCAGTGTGTTCATTTTCTTTAATTCGAAGTCCCTTTTGAGTTGCTTCTCCTCCTCTTTTAATCTACTATGTCCGTTAATCTTAAACTCCAGCCCTGTACTCTTCCATACGTTTTCTTTTCTCTAATTTCTTCACACCATTTCCCTCTACTCATGTGGAGTTAGACTACATATTCTGTTTTGTACAGATATGAGCTATAAATTTAGAAGATGGATGCCACAGGAAGATAGCAACTTCTTTTTTTCATTGAGCCCAAATATAACCAAAAATGAAACTCACCCCAAACTGACTTATCTACTTTATAAACTATTAAGATCTCTGTTACCTGAAGTATTTAGCCTTATAGACAAGCATCTGAAGACGATGGAAGGTATTCTTACTCTGGGCAGTGAGTTAGCCTATATATCACTCAGTGTCCAACCAGGAAAATAGAAACTAAGTAAACACAGAAGGAATTTGATTTAGGGAATTGGTTGTACAGGTGATTGGAGACCTCAGAAGCCAAACAGCTGGGGGGGCAACATTGAGATCAGTAACATCAGGAAGCCAGCACCACACTTACGCTAGAAGGACAGAGGGAGGAGCTGGTGGGGTCACCTGGAGGAGCTGGGGGTCATAGTGGGCCTGTCTGTTGAGAGCTGTATCACAGAGGTAATGCAGATGCTTCTTTTCACTTGAGGCAGAGTGGGAAGGGAGAAATACTGTGGTCTTCCTCTTCTTCTCCCTCTCCAATCTCTTTCCAGCGTCTCCCATTGGCAAATTCAACTAGAAGCCAGTGGACACAGATGTTTGCAGAATTGTATATAGCCTGTGGTCAACCTGCCTGTGATGCAGAGCAGAGCAGGGGAAGGGAACAGAGGGAATCTGAGACAAACAGGCCATGACCAGCACAATGACCAGTGGACCACTGGAGTCCCTTCGAGTCCACAAACAACAGGGCAGAGTGCAAAGTATGCAGGCCCTGGTGAGGTAGGCAGTCCTGGATTTGAATTCTGGCCTTGTCATTTAGTAGCTCTCTGGCCTTGGGCAAATCACTTATCTACCCTGAGCTTTGGTTTCCTCATCTATACAAGGAGGCAAGAAAAACTATATCGCACAGGGTCTTTGTAGGGATTAAATAAAATAATATTTAGCTATAATGCAACATTATAGCATTCAACAATTGGTTTTCTTTTATTCAAGAATTTATTATTTTTAAGTTAAAGAGCATTGGGCATTCAGTCAGGATCATCAAGCTTCTCTATTTTGAAAGATGAAAAGAGGGCAGAGGAGTCTTTTCTTTTGGAAGCTCTGCCTGGCATGGGGGTAGGTGATAAATTGTCCAACAATGATTCTGGGAGATGATCTAAGAAACATTGAAAATATCATGCATGACCAAGTCATTAATTCCACAAACATTTGTGGGTACTCTTTCTGGAAATGATTTAGACATGGTCCCCATATTGGAAGAGATGTTAATCCATCAGGAATGACAGTCAAAGAAATAAATTTCAGTGCATGACGGTATGGGAATGTTTGCAGAGGAGGGAGGCATGAGCTATCTCTGCCTAGGCAAGTGGGAGAAGGCTTCAGTGAGGGGATGGTATTTAAGTTGTGTTTTGAAGGATGGGTGGGAGCTTGCCAGCTGTAGAGGTGTGTGCAAAAATGGAGAGTCATGAAAGGGCACAGGTGTTGGGGAATGATGAGCTAATCACATGGGTGGGGCCTTATGGCGTCCATGATGGAAGTGGTACAGGAACAGGTGGGAAATGTGGCTAGACATGGAGCAGAAAAGCCAATGTGTGAAAGGCCTGATAGAAGAAGCTAATGACTTTATTTTGTGGGGAATGAAAAGTCAGTAAACACTTTTAAATTAGGGAGTCACCCACCATTTCTAACCTAGAATTTTATAAAGTGACACATCTTCCCAGACTATCTTATGGCCTCAGCCAAAGGGCTGATGCATGCAATTATATAAAGCAGGGGCCAGATGCACATCTCACAAGACATTAGGAAGTATGAATCAGAAAAATGAACACAGGTGTTTTCCCTTAATATTGTATTCAGGATGGAAAAAGTCATTAACTTATCCTGCAGACGCTGAAGGGCTCAAGGTAAATATTTAAAATGTTCTCCCTCTCATTTCCACAGAGCCAAGAACATCAGAGGTGGGATGATGATGCTTGTGGCTATGAGACAGGATTTCAAGGATCCTGATGAAACGTCTGCTGGCCTGAATCTGTCTGAATGCTGAAAAGGACTTTGTGTTACTCTAACTGAAAGGAAAACATAAAATGATGATAATGTAGCCCTTTATGGTTTTCAGATCCCTTTCACATACATTATCTCATTTAAGCTTTGTGACAATGGTGTGCAGCAGATAGGGCTAAGAGTACAGTCAATCTCATTTTAGAGATGAAGAAATAGAGTTCTGAGAGTTTCATACCTTCCCCGGGTCCAAGAAATTATTCCCAAAGCTGCAACTGGGTTTCTAGACATGCTACCAGCACCTTCCCCAAACCCAAGGGAGCGTTCTGCCTACCTGCTGCCTTCCATATGCCAGGATGGCTTCTTTGAGGTCTTGAAGTGTGTGCAGTTCAAGATCCAGCTTCCTCCAGGGACCTCTGGGGCAGTAGGGGCCTTTTCTCCTCTCTTTGGGTGTCCATGCCGAAATGGCAAAACCTTCTGAGTACAGGATCAGGGCACCCTTTCTAGTACTGAAAGTTTTAGGGAGAAAGAGGCTCCAGGAGTGCTGACTGGCATTGTTCTTATCTTGAGGTTTGCTGACAGGAACATAGTCTTCTGGGGACCTCCAGTTCAAGTAATCCTGCAATGAGAAGCAGCCACTTTGACGGAGCCACTGTGGAAGACCTTTCTATAGCAAATACTGCTTGTGCAAAGCCTTCGGCATTTTTTTAGTTACTGATTTTCTCTGAACTGTTCACATGGTGTTATGGAACACAATTGCTCTTCTTAGCAACTGCCTTTTCTCTCCACATTTCAAAATTAGTAGAACCCAGGGCATGGTTCTATTTCACCCCATACAACTTTCAGGAGAGTCATGTATGGCTGGAGGATTAACTCAGCTTGTATGTAGGTTACAGGCCAGTTAAAGTTTCCTGGTATGCAAGTAAGTGGTCAGAATTATTAAGGGCAGCAGATAACTTTGAAATTAGACCTGGACTAGCTGGCAGTTTAAATAGGAGCATTCCAAGCCACCACCACTTCAGCTGTACGTGGGGAGAATTTCTATACATTCCAGATGCTATGTAACATTACCTAATTTGGCTATTTAGGGGCCTATAAAGCAGTTACATATCTTGTAGGTAAGAAAATGCCATTGGCCATACAGGTCCTTTGAAACTTTATATGCCGTTTAACACAGCAAAGGTCAAATATCATGACAAAGTACCATGACAATGGAAATCTCTGTATGACCCCCAAATTTGCAAAGTATCCCCAATAGGTTTCTTATCCCTGGCAGGATTCAAGTGAAATAAAAATCTAGTATAACAAGGGAATTTTGCCACCTCTTTAAAATCTTCTAAAATGAGGTGGGTTTTTTTTTGGCCTATATTAAATATGAGTCCTGTGGGTTGAATTCCAGAAAGTTCAAGGAAGCCATTGAAATGGCATGAACACACACAGCATTTCAACTGCAGAGCACGACTTCCAAAAACCAAACAACCATCAGTTTGCCTAGAACCCAGGTGGAAATTCTGGTCTTGCACCAAACCATCCAAATTCCAGACAATCTGGAATCTCCTTTGGTCCAAGCAAAGACAGCTACAAGGGGAAAGATGAGGGCCTCAGGGGCAATCTCGGTGTGTCAGGAAAATGATGTTATTTTCTTGAGTTTCATGAAGGAGGAAGGAAGATCTTCCAGTGACCCCGCCACCTCACTAACAACACAAACCAAGACACACATGGTTTACCTCCCAAGTGGAAACATAGAGCATTCCTCTCCCACCTCCAAAATGTGCCTTTCTTCAGCTGTGGGACTCACCTCTGGTTCAAAGTAGACTTCTAACTTCTGTTTGTCCTGGCCCAGCTTCCCGTGGCCCCGGCTCAGGAGGGAGAGCGTGAACATGTTTCCCTCTGACCACCCCTTCTCAAGGGCAGTCCATCTTGGTTTTGAAGGCTGAAATCTGGTCACACCTCAAGATTTCCAGAGCTCACAGCAAGCCCAAGAAGACCACAAACACAGGGCCTTTTATTAAATACATTTTTCCCTCTCGCAGCAGCTTCTTAGTAACAACCAGCCACACAGTTTAGACAGTGTGTGTCTTTGTGGAGAGAAAAAATAAACCGCACAGCCAGCCTCCTCAAGCCCTGGATTGTCTACTCTCTGGGCGACCTGTCTCTCCCCTTCTCCTGAGCTCTTGTTGTCCCTTGGTCCCGGTTGCTCTGTTACCAGCCGTGTGCATCTACAGATCTCGGCCACAGCACCATCCTTCTTGTCTGAGCGGAGGTTGTTTCCTGGTTGCTATGGCAGCACAGGGAAATGAAGTCCCTTAAACTAACCCAGGCAAGGCAGAGACGGGTGCCGGGTGCAGTGTGCATTCCCCGGGGATGGGGGTGGGGGTCAAATGGACACTGAAGGGACCAGGCTCAGGTTGCAAGTCCCAGTTGCATGGGGTGGGGGACTTGTTGGGGTACTTTTTCTGTTATTGTTCTCATCTTGTTTTTAGAGAGCGTCTTCCCCTCTCTCCTGATATGTGAGCCTGTCACTGTCAACTAACCATTAACAGAGCCAGGGTGTAATCTAGGTCACCTAAAACCACCTGTGACTTTTTCCTTGGCTGAGCTCCATCATCCCCTCAACTGGACACGAGACCTCATTATGGTAGTTGCTGCTTTGCCTGAGCGGGAGACACTGGGATTCTCTAGCTTCCTTTGCATACCTGGTTCTCAACTGGGCAAGCTATCCCCTGATGGGGGTGCTCTGGAAATGTGGGTGGGGGACATTTTGGTTGTTGCAATGATTGGGGGTCTTGCTGGCATTGATCAAGCAGAGGCCCCAGATGCTAAATGTTCTACATGGTGTGAAATTCCCACATAGTGATGAACTGTCCCACTAGAATGCCAGGAGCACCTGCTTTGAGAAGCACTGTGTAGCCTGGGATGCTTGGGTCTCTTTAACAGTGACATTGTGACGAGCACAGACAGGAGGGAAGAGGGTCAGGAAACAAAAAGACCCCTTTGCTGGGGATCTAGGAACCTGCTCAAGCCTGGAAAAGCAAGCTGCCTGTTAGCTGTCAGCTGAACTACCCTGGCAGTCTTGTGGGAGTGCCCACTGCTGGCCTATATGAAGAAGCACAACAGGCTACAAGCCCACTTACCTTTTTGATCTTCCTATGTGGCACTTTCCCCTCCCCCTCTGACCCCTCCACCCCCAACCAAGTTCAAGTCTCCTGAGAAAGAAATAGAGGTTCTGTTGTAAAATAAAATAGGGTTTATTAGGGGGAATCAAGACAGCGAATGAGTGAATGCAGAGGCTCCAAACAGAATTTAATCAAAACCACAATGAGATACCACTTCACACCTACTAAGATGGCTATTATTAAAAAACAAAAACAAAAACAGAAAATAACAAGTATTTGGTGAAGATACGGAGAAATTGAAAACCTTGTGCATTGCTGTTGGAAATGCAAAATGGCGCAGCCTCTGTAGGAAATGGTATGACAGTTTCTAAGAAAATTAAACAGAATTACCGTATCACCAGTAATTCCACTTCTGGGTCTGTATACCTAAAGGAGGTGAAAGCAGGGTCTCAAAGAGATATTTGTATACTCATATGCAGAGCAAAACTGTTTATAAGAGCCAAAAGGTGGAAGTAACTCAAGTGTCCATCGACAGATGAATGAATCAACAAAATGTAGCATATGCATACAATGCAGTATTATTCAGCCTTAAGAAGGAAGGAAATTCAGTTGGTCACCATGGCTCATGCCTGTAATCCCAGCACTTTGGGAGGCCGAGGTGGGCGGATCACCTGAGGTCAGGAGTTCGAAACCAGCCTGGCCAACTTGATGAAACCCCGTCTGTACTAAAAATAAAAATTTAGCCAGGTGTGGTGGCACACGCCTGTAGTCCCAGCTACTTGGGAGGCTGAGGCAGGAGAACCGCTTCAACCTGGGAAGCGGAGGTTGCAGTGAGCCGAGATCATGCCACTGTACTCCAGCCTGGGCAACAGAGTGAGACTCCATCTCAAAAAAAAAAAAAAAAAAAAAAAAGGAAGGAAATTCAGACATATGCTACAACACGCATGTACCTTGAAGACATTACACTAAACAAGATAAGCCAATCATGAAAGAACAAACATTGTATGATTTCTCTTATGTGAAGTACTTAGAGTGGTCTGATTCACAGAGACAGAAAGTTGAATGGTAATTGACAGGGGCTGTCAGGGAGAGGGGAATGGAACATCAGTGTATAGTGGGTACAGAGTTTCAGTATGAGAAGATGAAAAAGTTCTGAAGGTGGATTCACAACAATATGAATGTACTTAATGTCAATGAACTGTAAACTTAAAAATGTTAAAATGGTCCATTTGAGCCAGTGCAGTGGCACACACCTGTCATCCCAGCTACTCCGGAGGCTGAGGCAAGAAGATCCCTTGGGCCCGTGAGTTTGAGTTCAGCCTTAGTGACAATGTGAGATCTCATCTCTAAAACGAAAGTAAATTTATGTTACATATATTTTACTACAATTAAAATTTTTTTCCGGTTGGTTGTGGTGGCTCATGCCTGTAATCCCAGCACTTTGGGAGGCCAAGGCAGGTGGATCACTTGAGGTCAGGAGGAGAACAGCCTGCCCAACATGGTGAAACCTCGTCTCTACTAAAAACACAAAAATTAGCCAGGCATGGTGGTGTGCCTTAAGAAGGAATCCCAACTGTAATCCCAACTGCTTGGGAGGCTGAGGCATAAGAATTGCTTGGGGAGGTGGAGGTTGCAGTGAGCCGAGATGGCACACTCTAGCCCGGGCGACAGAGTGAGACTCCATCTCAAAACAAAAATAGAAACAAAAAAGAAAACAAAACTGCAGGTCATGTGGACAGAGATGCAAGGACAAAGGTCAGCTGGCCAAGGCCATGAAGGCTGCATATACCGTGCTGAAGCATTTTGAATTTTATTCTTCAGGTAGGTTTTTGTTGTTGTTGTTGTTTTTGTTTTGTTTTGTTTTTTAGAGGCAGGGTCTCACTACATTGCCCGGGATGGTCTCGAACTTCTGGGCTCAAGCGATCCTTCTGCCTCAGCTTCGCAAATAGAAACCACATGAAACAGAAAATAGATGCTGTTCAATGGCCACCTCCCAGCACATTCAGGAGTGTATCCCTTGTTCCAAAATGCTTGGAGTAAATGAATGCCACTCTGGAGAAGTGGCCTATGTGATACTGTCAGAACCTTTATCCCTCTTTAAAAGGAAGTGTAATCATGTTTTCTAGTATTTTATTCATCTTTAGGGGCAATCTATAAGGAGAGTCCTTAATGTTGCCCTTGTTACCTTGGGATTACAGGCGTGAGTCATTTGTACCCCCAGGTAGGTTTTATTAAAGCAGGGGGGTGATATTATTCCATCTGGGTTTTTAGAAAGATAACTCTGAGAAGCTTATAAAGGATGGATAGAAGGAGGAATCCTTATCTCATCAACCTCTGGGTGAACTTTCAAGACTTGCAACCCAGGCCAGTCTTCTCTTGGATATGAATGAACTTGTCAAATAGGTCAGGAAAAATCACCAGTTAAGTGGTCTTTGAGTAAGACAGAAGGGGAAACTCTATACCAGCTGCAAAGAAAGATAAATCTTGCCGTTTTGAAAGTGCCATTGCTCAAGAAAGAGAGAAAAGCAGCATAAGAGGAACTTAATGGAGGCCTTGGGACCTGAATGAGAACCACCATCGTTAGCCAAGGAATGGTTCCAAGTTTCTCCAGAGGAGATTCTTTCTCTGAACTCACCTGACTTTGAAATGTTAACTCATCCATACGCAGTGAACCAGGGCGCCAAGGAGTGCTCTTTCTGAGTCTAGGTTGAGTGAGCTTATCACCTAGGAAAACGCCTAGGAGTGTCCATCTGGCCCTCCCAAGGCTGTGGCAAGCCTTCCGGGTCTCTGTGGGGCAGCAGTAATCTGTAAGCAGCCAGACCACAGCCTAAAGCGGGCCTCTCCTAAACCATCGTGTTTACATCTATGCTGTTTAATATGGACAATGAACAGATCCACAGACCAATTAATAGTCATTTAAAAGCATTTACTCAGTCCCCACAACAGTTTATAGAAAGTACATTTAGAAAGCAATCCGGGTTATTGCTATTCTAAAGTGCTTGGGGATCCCAGATGAAAGGCCCTTGTAACTGGAAAGTATTTATAACTCAAGAAGAACCCCTCCACACCCATGTTATACAACACCAACACCATCTCCTGGCACGCCTGACCTGTCGGCCCATGCAGCAAGTCTGTTTGAATTACACTGTAACTTCTATAGGGTGGAGACCTTGTTTTTATGGTTTGTAAAACATCATGAATAACCATGGCACTCTGTAAATAAATAGAAACCACATGAAACAGAAAATAGATGCTGTTCAATGGCCACCTCCCCAGCACATTCAGGAATGTATCCCTTGTTCCAAAGTGCTTGGAGTAAATGAATGCCACTCTGGAGAGGCGGCCTATGTGATACTGTCAGAACCTTTATCCCTCTTTAAAAGGAAGTGTAATCGTGTTTTCTAGTATTTTATTCATCTTTAGGGGCACTCTACGAGGAGAGTCCTTGGTGTTGCTCTTGTTAATGAAAGAGTAAAGATCAGTGCACAGAGAGATGAAATGATTTGCATAAAGCCATAGAGCAAACCAGAGGTGAAATGGGACCTTGTCCAAATTTGGTTCCAATTTCAGCCTGTTGTTCTTCCTGTAATACTTCTGGAATAGAGTAGTAGCAGTTCTTCATAAGAAGCCCCATCATGGCTCTCAGAGAGCAGCTATGACTTTGGCCCCCGCTACCCGCTTCAGCCATGAAGTGGTGACTGGGCCCTGGACCTCTGGTCTGGCTGCCATGACTACTTCTAAGCACTCAGATCTCCCCAACCTCGCTTCTCTTAACTTCATTTTGTAAATCTAGTTGGAAGGAAGTCTAGAAAATAAAGTTTGCTGCTTTCTAGCTCTTGCACCAGAGGGAATGTAGAATAAAAGTTGATAGAGCCAACTACAGTTATCTACCATAAGCACCAAAGACAAGTTGTATGAAAAAGTCAAAACAAAAGATTTTTAAAAATATGGGCTGTGAGGCTGGGCACGGTGGCTCATGCATGTGATCACAACACTTTGGGAGGCCAAGGATGGCAGATCACTTGAGCTCAGGAGTTCAAGAGCAGTCTAGGCAACATGGCAAAATCCCTCTGTCTGTACCAAACATGTAAAAAATTAGCCAGTCTGTCTACAAAAAATAAAAAATTAGCTGGGTGTGGTGGTGCATGCCTGTAGTCCCAGCTACTCCAGAGGCTGAAGTGGGAAGATTGCTTGAGCGCAGAAGGTAGAGGCTGCAGTGAGCTGTGATCACACCACTGCACTCCAGTCTGGGAGACAGAGCAAGATCCTGTTTAAAAAAAAATTTAAAAGATGGGCCATGTACATGACAAGCAGCAACGCCTTACATTATTAAGGCTTTCAATTTGCTTGTGTTTTATGTCCCAACTAGACTTGAAGTCTTTGGAAGGTAGAGACTACATCTTACAATTCTTTTTTTTTAAGAGACAGGGTCTTGCTTTGTCACCCAGGCTGAATGCAGTGCTGCGATCATGGCTCACTACAGCCTTGACCTCTGGGGCTCAGGCAGTACTCCTACCTCAGCCCCCTGTACTGCTGGGACTACAGGCATACTCCACCATGCCTGGCTAATTTTTTATTTTTTGTAGAATGGGGTCTCACTATGTTGCCCTGTCTGGTCTCAAACTCCTAGATTCATGTGGTCCTCCTGACTCAGCCTCCCAAAGTTACATGTGTGAGCCACTGTGCCTGGCCAATATCTTAAAATTCTTAATACTCCCCATAGCATAGAACCCCTTGCATTATAGTAGCAGCTGATTGAATACTTGTCATTTTGCTTTTTAGCATGCCCAAAGAGATGTATAATTGTCTTTGAGCCAGTATGAAAAATATAGAAAAGAAGAGAATTGGGTCAAATCCTGTTTTAGTAGTTGGTAGTTTGCTATAGTACAAAGCTCAGACCCATAGGTTAAAGGTGCTGACCAACTCAAGGCTTAGTACACAGGCTGAAAGCACCCTAACAATCAGTGTAGAAGATAAAATCCTCTGAACTTGTCAGAAGAAGCACAGACCTGCTAAGGATAAGTTACTTGGCTTATTCAGAGACTATGGCTAATTTCTTATGTGGCCCAGGCCAGGTGTGAAAGAAGAAAATGCGAAAGGCAACAAAGAATACTCTGGAATCATAGCAAGAGAGAGAGTGTCAGCCTTGGATTTCTGCTTCCTTTCTCTCCTTAGCTATAAATTATGGCTGCATGGCCTGTCTAGTTCAGAGCGAAGGGACTAGGGATCTATTTATTTTAGATCTTTCTGAAGGGTTTGCTGTGGGAGTCTAAAATATTTAGTTATCCCTTTGCTCATGGCTTCACTTTATTAGTAGGAAAATTCACTGTAATTGCAAGCTTTTAAATTTACGGTGGAGAGATAGTGAGTTTGTAGAAGAAATAAAAGCCACACATTCTTGGTTCTTTCATAACATGGGGAAAATCAATCACCACCTGGCTGGCAGCTCAGTTACTTGGGGCAAAAATAACAAACTTCCATAGGAACCAACCTATGGAGGGTGACAGGAGCAGGGATGATTTTAATTCTAAAGGGAGGATCTTAGAGCAGATGTCATTCATTGATACTGCATGGATTCTGATAATTTAGCATTGTTGAACATTAGAGTAATAAAATGTAATAATAACATAGCAATGTTTGATCTATGTTGTTTGGTGGTGGGTAAATTTTTCTTTTGATTTTCATTAAATACTGTTACAATGATGTTTATGTAATTAGCAAATGAAATGATTTGTGTCAAGCACCGAGTCTTGTGCCAGGCACATAGTACATGCTCAATAAATAGAAAATATTGTTTTTTGTTTTTGTTTTTGTTTTTTTGAGATGGAATCTTGCTCTGTTGCCAGGCTGCAGTGCAGTGGCATGATCTCGGCTCACTGCAACCTCCGCTTCCCAGATTCAAGTGATTCTCCTGCCTCAGCCTCCCAAGTAGCTGGGACTATAGGCGCGTGCCACTACGCCCAGCTAATTTTTGTATTTTTAGTAGGGACAGGGCTTCAACATGTTGGCCAGGATTGTCTCTATCTCTTGACCTCGTGATCCACCCGCCTCGGCCTCCCAAAGTGCTGGGATTACAGGCATGAACCACCACACCCGGCTGAAAATATTGTTTAATGAATAATTCCATCTCACAATTCAGAATATACATGAATTGTCTCCCACTATTAGCACACACTAGTGAGGTTTGGTTTTATTTTAGAGATGGGGGTCACGCTGTGTTGCCCGGGCTGGTCTTGAATTCCTGGGCCCAAGTGATCCTCCCATCTCAGCTTCTCAAGTAGCTGGAGCTACAGATAAGTGCCACTGTGCCCAGCTCAGCAGTGAGGTTTTGCTGCACAAATGGATGCTCTGAAAGTCATTTCCTCACAACAGGAAATCTAATATATATAGATAGTAAGTCACTAGACTGCCTAACCAGACGCTTCTCTGTCAACTGGCTTCCAGCTCACCATTTTAACTCTATGATGAGAATAATTTTTATATTTTCTGATTATCACAGAGTGAAAATTGTGAACCCTGTGCTGATCATTTTAGATAAATGTTAATGTGATGTATAAAACATGTATCTTTGTAGGGACATACCAACACCCAAGGTATACACAAATTCTCTTCCCACTCTTTGCCCACACTGGTGAGATTTTGATGTTCAAATTGACGTCCCCATCCTTAGCCCCCAGAGGGGAGCAGCCAGGGAGCTGCAGCTGACAATCTGAGGAAGAGGAAGGGTGTCAGGGAGCCTGGGTGTGGGGAGAATCTTCCCCTCAAGACCCACATATTGCTAGAGTTCTCCTTGTGAACCAAGGAGCCCCTAGCCCACAGGTAACCTCACTGCCTGTTTTTCAACCTTTATAGTTTCCTTTGGAAAAGCATTCACATCTTCCTGAGAACTGAGATAAGATGCTAGTACCTTTGCAGAGATTGAATTAATCAAGCTGTGCAGGAATGGAACCCAGAGTGGATGCCTGGATTGGGGATTGATGGAAGAGGGAGAGGAAGAAGTGGGACAAGATGGAGGAGTCCTGGGAGGTAGGTCGGGAGGCCCATCTACAGCAGCTTTGCCTGTTCCCCATTTTCCCAGCCAGCAGCCTGTGTCCATACTCCTCCAGCCAACAATCTGAACATGAGGCATAGGCTGCCAATCTCCAGCTGGCCCTAGAAGGCTCTGAAGTATACATTTAAGGAAGAGGGGAAGCATTTCCTCCTTATCTCATAGAGCAGACCCACCTGGGGCAGCAAAGTCCCTTCTCCAAAGGCTAAGAGATCACATAAAACTCAACCACAAGTTAAGAGGAGTCATTAGTGTTCTAACATGTACGATCAGACATGAGCAGTGCCCTCTGCGGAGCGTCATCCTCCCCACCAACCCTTGCTTGTGCCCATCTCTTAGCCAATCCACTCTAAAGCAGGTGTCCAGAGGAGCTGTTAGTCAAGCAGGGAGAACAACTTTGAAATGGCACATTCCAGTGGGAGATACTGACAGAAGGGGTGGCTTGGCTTTTTCAGATTTTACCATAATCCTTCTCTTGACTCACTGTCTAGACATAGGTGCACAAAGGGTTAACAGGCCTTGTAGGACTCAGCTGCCAAGTACACTTAATGCTCAGTCCAGCACTCCTGGCTTGTATTCTTATGCTGCTGGAGTGGCCTGTTCATGGCATCTGGTTCCCTGGCAACAGCTTTCATTGGCTCATTCAAAGCCCTTTCTTCTTAAGAAAGCTCCTACTGAGACGCCCACCACCACTATGAATCACCATCTTAACTCTGTGTTTAGGATGCAGTTGGTATGAAAACAGCATTAGTAGATGAGGAAAAAGAAAGAAATGGCCAGGTTAAGTCCACCTGTCTTGCATGAACCTTGCACTGGTTTTCTACTGGGCCAGTGGGAAATTACCTGCTTTTCCACTGGGACAGAGGGAGAGGCTGGGCCAGAAAGTTTCCCAGAGCTGGAGTTCTTTGTTCGGCAGAGATCCATGAGCCTCTGTGATTCATGACTAGCTGTTTCCTGGGCTAATCTGTGATATAACTGTGGGCTCTGTGCTCTGACAAGGGGCGTTGCTGAGCTGAGGGAGTTCAGACAATGAAATCCATATTGTGGAAGGCTTGTTCCCAGCCAGCAACAAGCTGGGGAAAGGCATCTGCCTCCATCAGAACCTGAGGAGTCTGGCAGCTGCTCCACCCTTCCCCAAGACATCTCAGCAGCTCCAGAATTGCTCAGAATAGCAGTGAAAAGTAGCTCTTCAGGCAGCATTCGGAAAAAAGAAAAGTTGACTCGATTCTGTAACTCATAAAGATGGGAATTCTTAGGGGAATTCTTCAGTCTTACTGAGAACCACTTTGAGTTTTCTTGTTTTGTTTAGGGAATAAATAAAATGAGAAGCAACAAAGTGGAGTTAAAGAAGGCAAGCTATTCTCACTTTTGGTTCACCTGTGTCAGTCCATTTGACTCTGTCTTTTTAAAGCAAATTTCATCTCATGCACTCGTGCTCACTGAAATCTAAGTACATAGCATATTCAGGAAATAAAAGTGTTCAAAATTCACAGTAATATTTATTAAAAATGCTGGCTTTTGGCCTGGCCATCCGCTCTAGTATTTGTGCTGCTCTAACCTTCTGATTCCTCAAGAGAAAAGTTGCCAGGTGTAGTGGCTTATGCTTGCAATTGCAACACATTGGGAGGCTGAGGCAGGAGGATTGCTTGAGGCCAGAAGTTCAAGACCAGCTTGGGCAACATACCAAGACTGCCACCCCCATATCTACCAAAAAAATTAAAAAAAAAAAAAAAAGAAAACAGCTATCTTGGTCTTGGTGGTGAGATGTTATGAAAGAGTTGACAAGTCAAAGAAACAGGGTTTGTGACTGCTCTGCTTGAGAGTAAAAACTGCGGTGTGGAAGTGAGCACAGGTCCTTTCCTGCTGCTGTGTAGGCAGATGAATGTCTCTCTGCGTCTGATCCACTGGCTTGTCCACAGCTTAGCAGGATAAAGGCTCTTGGTGGTTCTATATCCACATGTTGTTAAAATATGTTATGAACAGCACTTACCAAAATAATGTATGTTTGAGAGCTATTTGGGAATCAGGCTGTGTGTCCCTTATTAAATGTGTAATGGGCAAGCCTTAATCTCGCTTAGCCTGAGCCTCAGTTTCCTCCACTGGAAAATGGGGATAATAGCACCTCTCATACGGAGGTGTTGCAAGGACTAAGAGAAATGAAGTATCTGTGCACCACCCCCATAGATTCTGATTGAATTGTTCTGGAATAGGGTCCTGGTACTGATAGGTTTTAGAAGCTCCACAGGTGATTCTGATGTTCAGCCAGCATTAAGAATCACAGATGCTGCATATGAAAGGCACTCTGTGGTTATTTATTTTTTAGGCTGAAGAATTCCTCAAATATTATGGATTCCTAGGGATGGAGATGAGAAGGAGATAATATTTACAGAAACAAAATTTCTTTATTGATTTGTCAGATTCTAGAGTTACCTAGACTGTAACAGAAGTATAGCCCAGCGCAGTGGACACATTCTCTCCCCTTTGAGACCTTTCCAGATGAGTCTTTTTTTTTTTTTAATTTTTAAGGAAAAGGGTTTTATTTGGGTCACAGTTCTGCAGGCTGTACATGAAGTGTGGCACCAGCAACTGCTTCTGGTGAGGGCCTCAGGAGGCTTACAATCATGGTGGAAGGTGAACGGGGAGCCGGCATGTCACATCGTGAGAGGGGGGCAAGAGAGGCCCTGATGGATCTTAGTCAAATAGTTTTTTCATTAGAAAAAAACCACATATGGCCAGGCGCAGTGACTCACGCCTGTAATCCCAGCACTTTGGGATGCCGAGGCGGGTGGATCACCTGAGGTTGGGAGTTCGAAACCAGCCTGACTAACATGGAGAAACCCCATCTCTACTAAAAATACAAAATTAGCCGGGTATGGTGGCACATGCCTGTAATCCCAGCTACTTGGGAGAGTGAGGCGGGAGAATCGCTTAAACCCGGGAGGTGGAGGTTGAGGTGAGCTGACATCGCGCCATTGCACTCCAGCCTGGGCAACAAGAGCGACACTCCATCTCAAAAAAAAAACAAAACCACACACACACACACACACACACACACACACACACACACAGAGAGAGAGAGAGAGAGAGACAGAGAGAGAGAGCACCTTCTACAAGAATGTTTTGGGGAGAGATTAAACAGTATAATAGGGATAAATAGATAAATAGTTCATGGCTGGTCTTAATAAAATAGTTTTTCATTAAACACACACACAACACACACACACACACACATATGTATATATATAGAGAGAGCACCTTTTACATGAATGTTCTGGGGGAGAGATTGAATAGTATTATAGGGGTAAATAGATAAATAGTCCCTAGCCTGAGGAAGCTCACAGCCTATTAAGGGAAAATAAGACATGCTACATTGGACCTATATGATCTCAGGCTTACCATGATTAAATAGTAATACCCCAAGTGGCCTTTGTCTGGGGGAAACTTGACTGTGTGACACAGGAGGATTCAAACCCTCTGAAGTGGGGGACTCATTTTCAGCTTGGACTCTAAGCAGGAAGTGCTTATTATCCTTCCCAATAAAGGAAAGCACACTTTGATGAAAGACCAAGAGGCTACTCAGGAGGCTGAGGCAGGAGGATCGCTTCAGCCCAGGAGTTCCAGGCCGCAGTAAGCTATGATTGTGCCACTGCACTCCAACTTGGGTGACGGAGCGAGAATGTCTCAAAAAAAAAAAAAAAAGACCCAGAGAATAAAGACAGAGAACCACACAACCATTTTCATTAGTTAGTAGAATGGATAGCAAGCATTTGTAGGGCATATTTTAGGGAAGAAAATCTTTTTTTTTTTTTTTTGAGATGGAGTCTCGCTTTGTTGCCCAAGGCTGGAGTGCAGTGGCGCGATCTCGGCTCACTGCAACCTCTGCCTCCCAGGTTCACGCCATTCTCCTGCCTCAGCCTCCCGAGTAGCTGGGATTACAGGCACCCACCACCACACCCAGCTACTTTTATTTTGTATTTTTAGTAAAGACGGGGATTCACCCTATTAGCCAGGATGGTCTCGATCTCCTGACCTTGTGATCCACCCTCCTCGGCTTCCCAAAGTGTTGATATTATAGGCGTGAGCCACCGTGCCCAGCAGGAAGAAAATGTTTTAAATACATCAATTGAAAGTTGAGTGGTACTTAAAGGATATATATATATACACACACACACACACACACACACATAAACATATATATAATACATAAACAATGTATGTATGTTTGTTTGTATGTATATATGTTTATGTGTGTATATATACACACATAAACAAAGATAGAACTTTTTGTGGTTAGTAACCAGGTGGGGTAGCCCAAAGCAATGTGGGACACTGGATCTAGAAATCCCAGAACCTTCAAAAAGATTTCAAATTAATCCTCAAACTATTCTTTTGACCACATTTTTGTGAGTTTTCATGAATTCTTTTTAAAAAATGTATAATTATGGATACATAATAGTTGTACATATTTATGAGATACATGTGATTTATTTTTATTTTTATTTTTATTTTCAGGACAGAATTGTGCTTTCACCAAGGCTGGCATGAAGTGGCATGATCACAGCTCACTGCAGCCTCGAACTCCTGGCCTCAAGTGATCCTCCCTCCTCGGCCTCCCAAAGCGCTGGGATTACAGGTGAGAGCCACCGTGTCCAGCCCACATGTGATATTTTGATATAAGAAAGCAATGTGTAATGATCAAATCAGAGTAATTGGTGTATCCATCACCTCAGTCATTTATCATTTCTTTGTATTAGGAACATTCTAATTCCTCTTTTAGTTATTTTGAAATATACAGAACATTATTGTTAACTATAGTACACTATTGTGCTACGGAACACTGGATTTTACTCCTTCTATCTAAGTGTATTTTTGTACCTATTAACCATCCTCTCCGTAACCCCCTCTCTTCACTACCATTTCCAGCCTCTAGTGGCCATTGTTCTATTCTCTATCTCCATGGGTTTGATTTCTTTTTTTTTTTTAGCTTCCACATATGAGTAAAAACATGTACCTGGCTTATTTCACTCAACATAATGTCCTTCAGTTCCATCCGGGTTGTTGCAAATAAGAGGATTTCATTCTTTATTATGGCTGAATATTATTCCATTGTGTCTATACACCATGTTTTAAAAGTCCATTCACCTGTTGACGGAAACAGGTTTGATTCCGTATCTTGGCTATTGTGAATAGTGCCGCAATAAACATGGCAGTATCTCTTCAATATACTGATTTGCTTTCATCTGGAAATATATCCAGCAGTGGAGTTGCTGGATCATATTGTAGTTTTATTTTTAGTTCTTTGAGAAATGTCTATACTGTTCTCCATAGTGGCTGTATTATTGTTAACCATATTTACATTCCCACTGACAGTATATGAGGGTTCCCCTTTCTCCACACCCTCATCAGCTTTTGTTATTGCCTGTCTTTTGGATAAAAGCCATTTTAACTGGGGTGGGATGATATCTCATTGTAGTTTTAATTTGCATTTCTCTGATAATTAGTGAAGTTGAGCATTTTTTTGTATCTCTGTTGGCCATTTGTATGTCTTCTTTTGAGAAATGTCTATTCAGATCTTTTGACCATTTTGATTGGATTATTAGATTTTTTCCTATAGAGTTGAGTTCTCTATATATTCTGGTTATTAATATCTTGTCAGATGGGTAGTTTGTGAATATTTTCTCCCATTCTGTGGGTTGTCTCTTCACTTTGTTGATTGTTTCCTTTGCTGTGCAGAAGCTTTTTTTTGAGATGGAGTCTCACTCTGTCGCCCAGGCTGGAGTACAATGGCTTGATTTCGTCTCACTGCACCCTCTGCCTGCTGGGTTCAAGCAATTCTCCTGCCTCAGCCTCCCAAGTAGCTGGGATTACAGGCACCTACCACCACGCCCAGCTAATTTTTGTATTTTTAGTAGAGACAGGGTTTCATGATGTTGGTCAGGCTGGTCTTGAACTCCTGACCTCAGGTGATCCACCCGCTTTGGCCTCCCAAAGTGCTGGGATTACAGGCGTGAGCCACCACACCTGTCCTGGAAGCTTTTTAGCTTGATGTGATTCCATTTGTTGATTTCTGCTTTGGTTGCCTGTGGTTTGAGGTCTTACTCAAGATATCTTTTCCCAGACCAAAGTCCTGGAGTCGTTCCCCAATGTTTTTTTCTAGTAGATTCATAGTCTTTAATCCATTTTGATTTGATTTTTGTATATGGTGATATATAGGGGTCTAGTTTCATTCCTCTGCATATGGATATCCAGTTTTCCCAGCACCATTTATTGAAGAGCATGTGGTTTCCCCAATGTATGTTCTTGGCACCTTTGCTGAAAATAAGTTGTTTATAAATGTGTGGATGTATTTCTGGGTTCTCTATTCGGTTGGTCTACATGTATGTTTTTATGTCAGTACCATGCTGTTTCAGTTACCATAGCTTTTTAGTATAATATGAAGTCAGGTAATGTGATGTCTGCAGCTTTGTTCTTTTTTCCTCAGAATTGCTTTGGCTATTCCATCTTTTATGGTTTCATATAAATTTTAGGATTTTTTTTTCTATTTCTGTGAAGAATGTCATTGATATTTTGATAGAGATTGCATTGAATCTGCAGTTTACTTTGAGTAGTATGGACATTTCTATTATTTATTTATTTTCTTAGAGCCAGGGTCTTGCTCTGTCACCCAGGCTGGAGTGCAGTGGCATGATCTTAGCTCACTGCAGCCTCCACCTCCTGGGCTCAAGCAACCCTCCCACCTCAGCCTCCCGAGTAGCTGGGACTACAGGCAACTGCAACTGTACCCAGCTAGTATGGACATTTTAAAATTATTGATTCTTCTAATCGATGAACATTGAATATTTTCCCATTTTTTGTGTGTCTTCTTTGATTTCTTTCATCAATGTTTTATAGTTTTTATTGTAGAGCTCTTTCACTCTTTAGTTAAGTTTATTCCTAGGTATCTTATTTGTAGCTATTGTGAATGGGACTACTTTTTAAATTTCTTTTTCAGATTGTTTGCTGTTGGCATATAGAAATGCTACTATTCTTGTATGTTGATTTTGTATCCTGCAATTTCACTGAACTTGTCAGCTGTAGTTATTTTTTGTGGAGTCTTTGGGTTTTTCTAAACATAAGATCGTATCTCCTGCAAACAAGGATAATTTGACTTCTTCTTGTCCAATCAGGATGTCCTTTATTTCTTTCTCTTGTCTGATTGCTCTGGCTGGATTTCACTAACTCTTTAGGGTGGAGAAAGAGATGTATTAGAGCTCCTTGTATATTCTTCAGAGTCACATTCCATACAAGAATATAGCATACGGATGGCAGCCAAGATTCCTATCATGTACCAAGTTCAATCAGTTGGTAGTGACTGCCTAGAAGACTTGATTGGGCATAATTCTGCAGACTCCTGGCTTAGCAAAGAAGAGCTCCATGGATGTTCAGTGATGTCTTCCATAGGCAAGGGAGGGAGAGTGAATTGTGTTACCTATACTGATCTTTGCCAACTCAATATTGTAAACTGTATGGAATTCTCTTTACAGGGTGTGGATTTAATCATTCTTAACAATTCCTTTTGGCATCAACCTAAAGCCAAAAGTTAAAGAACTATGCCACTGATTATTATACTAACTCTAGTTCCTCAATTCCAAGATGCCATGTATTTTAGGTACACTACTGATTTAATAACAGGTTTTAAGGGGGTAAAAACCACTATAATAAATATGAACACTAAAAATAATATTTATCCATATATTCTTTTTCAGCATCTCATTCAGTGTTTGATAATAAACCTCTTTCAGGTGTAGTCTGTGGATTCTTCTGAATCATCTGTAACCATTGGCAGTTGTGCATAGCATCATGGGAATCATCTGTAACCATTGGCAGTTGTGCATAGCATCATGGGAATCATCTGAAACTATTGGCAGTTGTGCATAGCATCATGGGAATCATCTGTAACCATTGGCAGTTGTGCATAGCATCATGGGAATCATCTGTAACCATTGGCAGTTGTGCATAGCATCATGGAGATTCTCTACTTTCCAATCGTGGGCTGGTGATGTTGACCTCCTTAGCAAATGTAGGCTAGGCAGTCTAATTTTTAGCCATATTGTGGAACACCAGGGTTTCATTTGTATTTCCTGTTTGGTTAAACTCATAGTTTTGTCCTTCCCTTAATTAAATTATTCTTTTCTATAGGGTAAAACCTTCTTCCCAAAGTCACCCAGAAGCTTCTGAAAGATGTTTGGAACCTGAGGGTGACTTTTCAATGAATGAGCCGATCACACCAAACTCCTGTAACTTTAAAAATTCTGCTATTTCTCCTGAGATATCTGTCAATTTTTATTGTATATAATTACAGTGCCCATAGTGTAGACTGGCAGTCCTTTTCCTGTGTCCTCTGAAGTGCTTGTCTGATGTTTCGCTGAAAGACATGAAAGTGTAGTCATGCCTTCAGCAATAAATATTTGCTTCACTTATTGTAAATATGCCTCGCTAAGTTCTCCCACAGGCAGACAGTAACAACTCCTTCTCAACTCACTCTCCTGCCAGCAGGTGGCAAATTTCTTTTGACATAAATTATAAGCTGCACTCCAATTTTAGAAATGTTAAAATGTGAGCAAATAAGAGTCTGAGAATAAAGGGAATAAAGCAGATATCTAAATGAGGTAAACTCTGAGGATTCAGATCAAGATTCCAGTGCCCAGAGTAAGAAGATGAGGTGAGCAGCCTCCACCCCCACCTCAGACCCATTCCAGAATAGTCTTCAAGGTTTCATTGTATCTGAGTGTGCTGCATATATACACACACAATATGAAGTAGAAAGTAATGCAAGATAGAAAGCATGAAGCTGTGTAAGAGAGGGACAAGAAAATACCTTGGGAATTCAGAGAGGGATAGAGCACTTCGGTTGGTATAAATCAGGACAGAGGAGTAGGTGGCTTTCAGGAGGATGTTGAAGAAACAGGTACTGAATGGGGCCGTGCGAAGAGAACAGCACCCCGTGGTGGCCATGAAAAGGCACCCCTCAGATCTCTAATTTTGAGGAGTGTAATTGATAGAGGGTTCTAGCTGCTATGCTCTGAGTTGATCACCACATTTTTCTGGAGGCTAAGGTTCTCACAGGCTGCTCCCAGCCAATGACTGCGTATGACAGATGCTATGGTAGCCAGGCTCCATTTTGGGAGATGCTGCAGATATGGGACTCTTCTGATGGGTGACTGGCTCAAGAACTCCCGATATCCTTGAGGAACTTTCTTAGAACTGCACAGCAGTCTGAGACACTTCCATCCAACCTTCCTTCCCTCTCTCCTATGCCCAAGGCGGACCTGTGCCCAGTCTCATGGTTCTCCTGGCTCCTTCCTCATCTTCCTTCACAGGTGTTTTCCTCAAGAAATCTCTTGCACACCTAATCCTGTCTTGGCATCCGCTTCTTGGAGGACCCAGACGGACACACAATACTTGTGGGGATGCCAAATCTACCGTTTTATCTGCTTTATTATTTCCCACCCTTTTCCCAATTACCACTTTTTTTTTAGAAGTTGGCATTATTGGATAGTTTCCAGAATAAGAGACATTTTAGGCAATAAGAAGTGCATATAGGAAAGTCTCATTTTTTTCTTTTTAGTCTAATTATTCTTTGAAGTTTTTTAAAAAATAGTGTATTTTATTAGTAGGGCCCTTTTGATTACAAATGACAGAAACTTAATGCAGGCCATATTAGAGAAAAAGGGTTAGTGATGATTGATGATGATGCTGATGATGACACTGAGTTGCATCTCAGGAACAGTAGGATCAGGGACCTGGGTGGCATTAGTGTTATTGCTGCTTCTTATTTCTGAGGCCCATAAGATGGCCATGGATGGCATCCAGACTCATCTGACAGCCTGGGGACCTAAAGAGAGACTGATTTCTTTTCATTTTTTTTTTTTAAACAGGGTCTCATTCTGTCACCCAGCTGGAATGCAGAGGAGCAATCAGACCTCACTGCAGCCTCAAACTCCTGGGCTCGAGTGATCCCCCTATCTCAGCCTCCTGGGTAGCTGGGACCAATGGTATGTGTGCCACCATGCTCAGCTAATTAAAAAAATTTTTTTTTGAGAGATAGGGTTTTACTACATTGTCCAGGCTGGTCTTGAACTCCTGGCCTCAAGCAATCCTCCCACCTCATCCTCCCAAAGGATGTGCTGGGAATACAGGTGTGAGCCACTGTGCCTAGCCTGACTTCTTTTCAATTCCAGTAATTTTCAGGGGAAGCCCAACTTGGTCTAGTTTGGATCAGCCACTTAACCTCACATCAACTGTAATCTGGGGGACTGCTCAGAGGAAGCAACTGTGATGATTTGTCCATGTTATACCAACATGGTAGGGTTCGTGGCTACCAGGTGCATTGTGGCTGGAGGAGGGAGGAAGGAAGGTTGCTAAGATGACCACTTCATATTTACACTACACAGAAGATGTCTACAGTGTCACTGCTGCACATCCATGTATAAACACCCAGACGCCACTCTTCTGCAGAGAGCTTGACAGCCTCTCAGCAAGAGACTGGAAGTGGGATGAGCTCATGCAGGGCACACAGCTCTTGGATTTGATTCGTATAGATTCTCAGGGCTTCATCAAGAGGCTTCAGCTGCATCAGGGTTTGCAACTGCAAAGTTACTAGAAACCCTCTTGTACTTGCCCCAAATAATCAGATTTGTGTGACTGTAGTTTCAGCCTATTAGTTCTCTGCCAGAAGGAACCTGCATGGTATAGATTTGGGGTTAGGAAACCTGAGTTCTTATCTTGGTTATGTTTTAACTAGCTATGTGCCACTTAGTCTCTCTGCATTGAAATTTCTCTTCAAATCTTCAACTGGGGAATTAGACAAATAAAGGTCATTCCCAGCTCAGAGATCCTACGACTCAATAATTGTCAGTTGTAAAGAATCTGTTGGGCATTTCTTAGGCTTACTGCTACATTCTTACTTGAAACTTATTTTCCTTCCCTCCCTTCCTTCCTTCCTTCTCTCCTTCCTTCCTTCTTTCTTCCTTTTTTCCCTGCATCTCTCCCTTCCTTCTTTCTCTTTTCCCTCTCTTTCTCTCCTTTCTTCCCTTCTTTCCCCCTAACAAACAGATATTGAACAAGTGGTATATGCCAGGCACTGTGCTATGATTTGGACATAAAATAGAAACAAAACCCAGTTCCAGCTCTCAGAAAGCACAGAATCCACTGGGGTAGCAGACATATAAACGGATCATTAAAATATTACATGATAACGCTTGGTCAGTTTTTTCTTGCACCAATCATGAGTTTTTTCTTTCCTGTAATTATGTATTGGCATTTCTGCAGAAAGTGGCATCTTGTAGTTCTTGAAAGATGCAATTTTTTGTATCTTTGATGTATATTGGATGCAATTAGTTTTGATTGTCACAGCCATCCTATCAAGAAAACTCAAACAATTTTTGAAGCTCGTGCATTCATTCATTTAACAAATTTTTTTTGAGCATCTAATATGTGCCAGGCTCTGTGCTGGGGGCCTGGATGGGGTGACAGACAATAAACAAACAAAGAAAAAAGGTATATAAGTTGTAGTAAGTTCCAAAAAGGAATTGAATAGGGAACTTAGCCGAAGAATGATGGAGATGGAGAGGTACCTAATTAAATAGTGGAGTCAGTGGAATCTTCTCTGAGATGGGAACATTTCAGCTTAAACCATAGAGAGAGAAAGCCTGCTGGGCTATGCGCGTGGAGTGGGTAGGAATAGCATTCCCAGATTGAGGCCCGAGGTAAGAGAGTGCTTGGCTCACCACCTGAAAGATGGCCAGTGTGACTTGGGGACACCAGCAAGGAGGAAGAAGGTAAGGGGTGAAGGTGGGAGTGGGTAGAGGCCAGATCAGGTGGGGCCTGTATGTCAGTGTAAGGGGTTCTCCATGGGGGGCCCTCACAAGTTCTGAAGCAGCACAGTTGATTGGATTTGCGCTTTTGAAAGGTGGCTCTCAGGCTGGGCATGGTGGCTCTCGCCCGTAATCCCAGCACTTTGGGAGGCCAAGGCAGGTGGATCACTTGAGGTCCAGAGTTTGACACCAGCCTGGCCAACATGGTGAAAACCTGTCTCTACTAAAAATTAGCCAGGTGTGGTGGTGCATGCCTGTAATCTCAGCTACTCAGGAGGCTGAGGCAGAAGAATCGCTTGAACCTGGGAGGCGGAGGTTGCAGTGAGCTGAGATTGTGCCATTGCACTCCAGCCTGGGCGACAAGAGCAAAACTCCGTTAAAAAAAAAAAGAAAGAAAAAAAAGAAAAGAAAAAAAAATGTGTGGAGAGAAGAAGCTTTTCACCTGTTCTGGCTCAGCCTGGCCCCACATCCTTCGCCTCAAGGGAACCTGTGGGCCAGATGGAGACATGGGGTTGCTTTTGTTTTCTATTCTGGCCAATGGCTCTCCATTTCCTGGAAAGGTAAGACCGAAATAGAAAAAAAGAAGAAGATGGGATAAAAATGCTTGATCTCTTCCAGAGAGAGCTATAGGAAATAGAGACTGATTTAGAGAGTAAAACATCATATGACCTCATGCGCAGGACGACTGGCTGCCACTGCTGTCCCTGCCTGCCTTGGCCAAGCCATGGGGATGGCAGGAAGAGTGCAGCCAGGTACTCTGGGATGGCAGTGAGCTGACTGGATTTTGGAGTCCGACGGGTTTAGGTTGAAATCCTGGCTAAATTTACCCTATGATCCTGAACTGGTTACTTAACCTCTTTGAACCTCATTTTCCCTATCTGTAATATTGGAATAATACCATTAACTTTGCAAGGTTGTTGTAAGGATGAACTGAGGTAATACGTGCCATGGATGTGCTGAACAAATGGTAGTTGTTATGAGAGAGACAGAGTGAGAAAGCAAAAGAGAGAGAGAGAGAGAGTTGGTATCAGTTAGGCTGTCAGAATCAAACCAGTCTTTGAAATCTCCACTTCCTCTTTCAGGACCCCCAGTCTCTACCTTCCTTCTCTCCTAAAACTCCCTATAAGGAAAATGTCAATTTGTCAGGGCAGAGAGTAGTGAGGAACTTTGAAACATGCCTCTGCTTACAAGTGGGTTATGGATTATTTTTATTTTGTACCTTATTAAATTTCTAGGGAGTATATTCATTTTTTGCAGGCAACTGGCAACACTGCTTTTGGGAATTTGGGAGCACTGGAAGGAGAAATCTCTTTCACTCCCCTCCTGCCTTCATCGCGGCCTCTCTCGGGCTGACTTAATATCAGAATGTTAGGGCAGTTTCTGAATCATTGTTGGCTCTCGTAGCCACAGCCTTCGGCACCCTTAGTGCTTTGGACATGGGGAAGGATGGATTTTGGAAACACCCTCTGTTATCCTGATGGGCCAGCCAAGTGCCGGGCTCCTTACCCAGCCCCTGGCACTGCTGTGGAGGCTGCTGCCTGGTGAGGCTGCCTTTGAAAGCTGGTGTTTTGTTACAAACTCAAACCCAAAGGCTGAATTGGGTTGCAATGGAAAGTAGATTCCAAAGCTTCTCCTGGAATGTGAACTTTTCCTGGAAACTTTCCATGTTGCCTCTTAGCAGCAGGCATCAACGTATTCACACCAGGAGTCAATTAAAGAAACCCAAATTATTGCCGTTCCAATAAACAATGATCTCTCTTCCTTTTCAAATAAACTTGTTAGGATGGCCTAAAAGCCAGGTCTAATTACATGATCAGATAGCATAAATCTGATTATAGGCTTTTGTCTACTTTAATTTTCTCTTGCAATCAGAGCTATTTCTAGTAAATGTTAAATGTGTACTTAAACAATTTCAGTGTATACCTTTTCTAAAACCTACTGGGGGTTCTCTTTCATTCATCCTTACTCCTTTTTGATAAGGCATGAATGTTCCTAGGACACAGTATTTGGAGAGGAAAAAAAGATTTTGAAACAGCACACCTTCATAATTGAGCCTGTGATATAAATACATGTATCCTGCGTACAAACACATAGATCACATATCATAGGTTAGAGTGGAGGTCATTTAAGGTGGTTCTGAGTAGCCATTAAATGTTTGATCCACAGGAGGAAGAAGGAGAGGAAGTAAAATGGTAAGAATATTAGCAGTGGATCGTAACTATGCCTTTCAAACTTGTCTGAAGACAAACTTGTCTTCCAAGTGCAATCATTCTTACCAGCGATCCCTTCTTGCTCCTTCCTTACCCCTCCTTCCCCAATATAGAAGACAATATCCTCTTCCCAAGGTGCATCTTTGCCCATCCAAAAGTATCAAGATCTGCTGTCTGAATGGTTTAAATACTCATCTTATAGGTAACAGGTGTATGTTATTCACCTTTACTTAGCATTATGCCTGGTACATAATAGGTGATCAATAGGTGCTTATGGAAAGAAGGAAGGGAGGAAGGGAGGGAGGGAGGGAGGAAGGGAGAGAGGGAGGGAGGAAGGAAGGAAGGAAGGAAGGGGGAGAGAAGATTCTCATACACAACACAGTTAAAACTCAACAATCTCTTTGAAAGATCATTCTTCTGATTGAAAAGTATGACTGTTGAAATTTGGTAGTATGACTGAATGCAGAGCTGGCTAATATCATATGTCAGATAGCCTTAGTGTGCATGAGAAGTGGGTAATTATGGGTGAATTCCTTTTCCTTTGTAGTGGGATTCCTTAAGGGTCTTTGTTAAGATTCTATGTCATCTTTGTGTTGATGAGAATTATTGTGGTTATTTTATGTTTCTCTCAGTTTACTATATCCTCCTTGTCAATTCTGATGAAGCAAAAAAAGCTGCCTTGAGATTTTTAGAAAAAATTCTTGTGGAAGTTGAGCAATTACTTTTTTTTTTTTTCCTTTTTTGGCGGGGGAAGGAGAGGAAATGTTAGTTTAAGGCATTTCAGTTTGATGGCAATTTACTAATTGTAGAAATTACTCTTTTCTTTTTATTTTTAATAAGTTCTGAAACCAATATCCCTGAAACCAGTGGTATCATTATTTTCTTCTTTTTTCAAATTGGCCATGAACAGCAGAAATAAAGGGGAAATCCTATGTAATAATTCCTAAGAGGTAATAAATAAATCACAACCACCAAACATGAAATAAGATTTATTTTCCTGTTGATATATTTGAATAATTCGCATTGAAGTTAACGCACACAGTAAAGGAAGATTCCCTGAAGATTTTCTGAAGATTGTTCAATATGTACGCACAAAGAGATTTGGGACTCACTGTTAGCAAAGGATGAGGCCTTTCATCAAATGTAGTCAAATGATCTGTTTGCACTGCTTAAGGGGATGTGATAGGGTTCACTTATCAAAGTTCCCAACACCAGCCAGCAGCAGACCTCCCACACTCCTGCCTTGGAGAAAAACCCAATTTGGCCAAACAGTAGATAAGGAAGAGGACTCACCACTGTGGCTGGGTCACTGCTGGCCCAGCCAAAGTTTGATAATGTCTAATAATATCTTGTGTTTACATAGGAACCTTTTCTTGGGGGCAAAGTGCTTTACCAGCATTATCTCATTAGCCTGTCCTCTGACCCTAAAAGCATCTATAGTTTACTGGGGTTGGGAGTGAGTAGAAGAGTGAACAAAAGGAACTGAATGATGGCAAAGCTGGATTTGGAATTTGGGTCTCTGCATTTCTGGGCCAGGTTACTCTCCTACAGTCCATCACCATTCTCAGGCCTTTATGTTTTCAGTGTGTTCAAAGAAAAGGTGAAAAATCCTAAATATTCTACCTGTGTCTTTTAATTCAGGAGTTCTTAATCTTGGTTAAATGGGTTTTGTGGGAGTGGGAGTGGGTTAGGAGGACATTGTCTAAAATCTTCTGTGTGTATGACTATACTTGTATTTTTCTGGGGACTGAGCTCATAGTTTCCATCAGATTTTCTTTTCTCTTTCCTTCCTTCCTTCCTTCCTTCCTTCCTTCCTCCCTCCCTCCCTCCCTCCCTCCCTCCTCCCTTCCCCTTCACCTTTCCCTTCCCTTCCCTTCCCTTCTCCTTCCTTCCTTCTTTCCTTCCTTCCTCCCTCCCTCCCTCTCTCTCTTTCTCTCTTTCCTTCTTTTCTTTCTTCTCTCTCTTTCTCTTTCTTCTCTCTCTTTCTCTCTTTCTTTCTCTTTCTTTCTTTCCTTCTCTCTCTCTTTCCTCCCTTCCTTCCTACCTTCCTTCCTTCCTTCCTTCTTTCTTTCTCAGGGTCTGGCTCTGTCATCCAGGCTGGGGTGCAGTGGCACCATCATAGCTCACCGCAGCCTCGAACTCCTGGGGTCAAGCCATCCTCCAGCCTCAGCTGAGTAGCTGGGAGTATAAGTCATATTCCTAAGGGTGTTAATGCTTTATTTAGCTCCAAATAATTTCCCACAGGTGATCTGTTCATTTATTCTTTTATTTATTTATCCAACAAACATTCACTGAGTGTATTACCTTTGTAGGGCAGCTGTAACAAACTACCACAAACTGGGTGGCTTAAAATAATGGACCTTTATCCTCTCACCGTTCTAGAGGCTAGAAGTCTGAAATCCAGGCAGCAACAGGGCCATGCTCTCTCTAAAGGCTCTAGAGGAGGAACTTTCTTTGCCTCTTCCTAGCTTCCAGTGGTTGCTGGCAATCCCAGGTGTTCCTTGGCTTTGTAGACACATCCCTCCCATCTCTGCCTCTGTCACATGGTGCTCTCCCTGTGTCTCTCTCTGCATCTCTTCTCCTCCTCTTTTTTATTTTTATATTTATTTATTTATTTATTTATTGAGACAGAGTCTCACTCTGTCGCCCAGGCTGGAGTGCATTAGCATGATCTCGGCTCACTGCAACCTCCCCCCGGGTTCAAGCGATTCTCCCACTTCAGCTTCCTGAGTAGCTGGGATTACAGGCGTGTGTCACCACGTCTGGCTAATTTTTATATTTTTAGTAGAGACGGAGTTACATCATGTTGGCCAGGCTGGTCTCGAACTCCTGACCTCCAGTGATCCACATGCCTCGGCCTCCCAAAGTGCTGGGATTCCAGGTGTGAGCCACCGCGCCTGGCCTCTCTTCCTCTTCCCATAAGGATAATAGTAATATTGAATTAAGGGCCCACTCTAGGCCAGTATGGCCTCATCTTACCTAAAGAAATCTGCGATGACCCATTTCCAAATAAGGTCACATTCTGAGGTTCTAGAAGGACATGAATTTTGGGGGGACACTAAGCCAGCACACTGAGCATCTGCTATGCACTGGATATTGTGTTGGGCACTAGAAATTGAATAGAAGAAAATCGCTGCTTTTTAGGTACTAATAATACTTAATCTTTTTTGATTTGCTTTTTTTTTCTTCTTTCAGTCCTGTAGTGCCCCCTTTTTTTGAGGATTCCTTTAGTTGTCCTAGAGTGATCAGGAGTAGAGGAAGTCCAGGCCTTCGCTCTGATTTCCTTCTGGACTCGCATTCCAGCCCCTTTCCGGTAGGAGCAAAGATGGCTGGAGTGCGTCCAATAAGGGGCTTGTTAGCTTTCAATGGTCATAATAGCCACAAATTCTCTCTTTCATCAAAAAATGAATTCTTGTGACACATGAGTGTGCAGGGCAACCATAACAGATCAACACGGCCAGAATATTCTCTGCAGAGCGGGAATAGTGGGAGATAAGGCTGGAGAGCCAGGCAGAGATCAAGGAAGGCTTTGCAGGCCATGCTTAGGGGTTTTAAACAAGGAAGAGACATTGTCATCGTTGCATTTGCCATAATTCCCTCTAGCACAGGGTGTGGAGGAATTGGAGGAGGGACCAAAATGGAGGCAGGGAGGCCAGTTAAGGCGCCATTAGAGTGATCAAAGCAACAGGTACTGGTCGTGGGGAGGAAGCAGAATCTATGGTGGTTGGCTGATTGTAAGGATTGAGGGAGAGGACACAGCCGAGGATAAGTTGCAGATTCCAGCAGAGTAAAATGTATAATACCAGCTGTTAGATCTCAACCCAATTACCTTGTCCCAGTAGTCCACGATGCTTCTTAAACACCAAGAACCTGCAGAACTGCAGGGGACGGCCATGGAGCATGCCAGTCCTTGACAACATCAGGAAGAGCGTGGCTGTCTTTTTCCATGTAATCTGCCCTCTGTCCCCTGAGGCAAGTCCTGTAGAAGGAACTACAATAACTGGCTGGCTGTTAGAGAGATGCCTGCCCCACCTTCTTCTTCCAACAGTGCGGATGAGGAGGCTTTTAAACATCCATGTTGTCCTACCCAGGATGCCCCAGGGAGGGAAAGGGACATCTCAGACTATAGGGTGGAGGACCCTAGTTTGGCTCTGGGACATTCTTGTGTCCTTGGCTTGCTTAGCACCATGAACCCAAGAGCTGAGCTGAAGATATTTCCCCAAACTGGAATGACAATGATGACTTTTTTTCATGCTTGGAGGGAGCCATTAATGTGTCTTTTACAAGCAACTCCCAACCTCCTTAGGGAATCTGTGGTTATCTCTCAACTCTCTCATTTTCAAGGGGAGTTTGGAGCCTGAGCACAGGGGGAGCACTGCGGAGCATATGCAGGGAGTTGCCTGGACTTCGCTGCCGACCTCCAGAGGCCTCTTGCCCAGGGGTGCTCTTATCAGGCTTCTCTGCCTTTTATACCTAAGAACACAAGGAGATGAGCTAAGTCCAAGCCCCCTGTGGCTCCATCAGTCTATCAGCCCAACAGGTGGCCATGATCCTCCTGTGGAACCCTGCCACGTGGGGTGAGGTCATTAAATGTAGATCATGGAAAAGCAGGGCCTAATTTTCTGCTAACGAGTAACACATGACTGGGATAGATGTACTTGAATCACAGGAAAAGCTAATCGCAGTTTTAGCAATATTTCAAAGAAACGGGGTTGATTCTGTGGATATCAACAGTTTAGTAGTCAGGGCTGGAAAAAAATTCAGTGAGCGAGAGAAGCAGCACGCATACGAGTTGAGGGGTCTTGGGCAAATTACTTAACCTCTTGGTGTCTCAGCTTTCCCTATCTTTAAAATGGGGATAATAGTATGTGTCTCAGAGAGCTGTTGAAAGAATCGCATGAGATAAGATGTATAGAGTGCTTAGTACACTCTACATGTGTGCCTGGCACATCAAAACTCATGCATGTTACTGCTTATTATAACTCAGGTGCAGGGAGTGAGAGTAATGATGGAAAGTCAATTCATGGTTGTCAAAAGAATGATTGAATAAAGGTGTCAGTGGCTCAGGAACAGGGCTGTGTTCAGAATTCTCTCTTGCTATCTTGCCCTCTCTTTCCTGAGTTTTCCCTTTGATCTTTTTTTTTTTTTAATGCATTCCATCTCTGTGTTTCCTTTTTCTTGGTTGAGAGTGACAGGTAAGAAAGATCTCTAGGTTAAAAGAAGTGTCCCCAAGATCTCTAGGTTAAAAGAAGCATCCCCAAGGAAAATGAGGCTAGCTCCATTGTAATTTTTCTTAAAGGCTGATCCTACGCAAAAGGCTATATCTGGGTCCTTCATTTTTAAAACCAAATAGCCAGCATTAAGAGACATATTAATGTTTACTCCTACCCATGCAGTAACTGTCTTGGAGGTAGAACCTGTTGAGTCTTTCTATGCCTATTCAGAGATATCCAAACCTAATGTTCTCACTACTAGAAATTGTGTTTTATAATTTAAATAATAAAAAGCAATTTAGATAGCATTCTGATTGGACAGTAGAGATTGCATTTAGATTTTTTTCAGTAGTCACCTCAACAGCTCAGATTTTAGTAATCCTGAGAGACAAATGCAGAGCAGTTTTAAATATATAATAGTGGTAGTTTGCACTGAAAGAGGACTTAGTTATCTGAAATAAACATTTTGTACAACTTGTAGACCAAAAACCACTTGGTGAATGGAGGAATTGTATGTTGCCTTCCTGTCATCAGAGATGAACTAACGGAATTTCCTTGCTGTTTCATTTAACTCCTAGTGAAATAGATTCCCACCTCAAACGAAACATGAATTCACTTTTGTAGAGGGAGTGCTCCTAATGGAGTCTGAATGAAGGACTCGAAAAGTTTAATTTTTAGCCTTCTTTTTTGTTAGCCACTTGTGCTGACGGCAAGAGGAAACTTCTTTGTGCTTGAGAGGATGGTATGGTTGGAAACAGTTGTTCTCATTTTCTGGGTCTTCTGACTTTATCAAGCCGTTTGGCCTTTGAAGAATGTGCAAGAGGGACTGGCAGATGCCTGCTATGCTGGAAGCTGGGAGTACTGGTGGCAAATTAATAAGGCATTGATATTTTTTCCTAAAGAAAGTGTGTTATTTTCTAATTTAACTCCTTGGAATTGTAAGTACAAATGGTGATCAAAATGACAATAAATCATCCTTAGAATGGATTCTTTTCTGCTAAAAATTAAATAATCTCCTTTCAGACTGGTATGTGTCTTTGTGTAAGGGTGTCAGATGCCATCCATTTGACATCCATGTCAGCCTTCATGGAACAAGACCCAGAAGGTAACAATGAGAAATGTAGCATTTCAATGTCAATCATGAGAGAGAGAGAATGTGTAAGAAATAGTCTTTTAATAATGGACAAAATGAAAAAGATCTTATCTGAACATTTAGATTTGCCCTCATCATCTGCTCCCCTTTAGAGCAGCAAAATCCAGCTTGAACAACCCCCCCACCATCCCCCTTTATTTGAAATAGTACACACACACATACATGCACACACACGCACATATACCACACATACCACACACCACCACCATCCCCCCCTTTCATCTTTTTTATGCATGCTTGATTTTCTGTGAGAATGTAGAATTTGTAAGCAATCTAGAGCTCACCTAGGCCCTGGATAAACTAAAGAATGGACTCCAGCCCTCCATGATATCTAACTAACATCAGGCTTTAACTAGCAGATTAGTAGACAGTTGTACTGGGCAAAGACTTCGCTTTCTTTTTACCAATTTCTTCTATGAAGTCCCCGATGACTGGAACTTTCCCTTTGTTGGAAATTCAGTTTTCTTGCTGGCAAATATTGTAAGCCCCCAGAACCACAAATCCAGAAGGGGGTGGTACCGTGGAATGGGGGTGCAAGATATTATTTTACCTTGACATTCAGCACCAGAAGAAAGACAATGACCCACTTCTTTCTCTGCAGATGCCCTGAATTTGTTGTTGTTGAAACTTGTGAAATTATTTCATGTGTTTTTTTCTTTTTTAAGGATAACAATAACAGAAAGAGTGTTGTCTTCAGAGTTTACACTTCCTGGGGTCAGGGTGGAAGGACAGAGGGATTTAACTACATTCTCTGCAACTGTTTTCACTCTTGCCCAAGAATGGTTTCCCAAGAGCACTTCAATGGGAAGCAGACCTAAAATATTCCCCAGTGTACCTCCTTAAGGCCCAGTTAAATTCTGTGCCTCAGTTGCCCTGTTAAACTGGGGATAATTAAAAGGGATTTAGGGTAGGATACTTGCACAACTCTCTCTTGAGCTCATGTCCGACTCTAACAGTCCGTATGACTTCACAAGTTCGTATTGAAAGCCTGTAAGATGAAAATAATAATTTCCATCTCACAATGTATGGATTAAATGAGTTAATATAAGTGCTTAACACAGAACATAGTTGACACATTAAGTGACAGCTATCAATGTCGCCATTTCATTATGATGATATTGATAGGACATATACGATAAGAATCACGTGAATGTTTTTGTGATTCTTCACACAGGCCTTCAGGAAGGGGGTTTCCGTGGTGCTGGGGTTTGTCTTCCTCATTTTCCCACTCACTGACTCACTGTTAGCAGAAAGACAGCCTGTCCTGTTCTGCAAGAAGGATAAGTTTTCTCACTAAGCCCCTGTCCCACCCTCCTTGAGCCTGCCCTGTTCTTCAGGGCTGGAATGGGCAGGGAAGGGGCCTGTGGCAGTGGAGGAGGCCTCTTAGGGACTCGGACACCAACTCCTGAGGGGCTAGACGTGGTGTCTGGGAAGCACCTTCCCAAGCTCCCTCTTGCTGCCAGGCCCTAGGACCCCAATGTAGAAACTTAGGCAGGACAAGACTGGGGAGCATCTGGCACTTCAGAATGTAAACAGCATTTACAAGCCTTCTGCATCTCACCAAGAAAAAAATAAATACATTCTGGGGACTAACACTGAAAATCCCCTCCTCGATTCCATTCTGTCCTGATGTAAGTTATTTTCCTCCTTTTTGAATGGTTCTGGATTAAATTGAGAATAATAATAGAGAATGGCAGGCATTAAAACCTTGGTAAATATTTGTGGCATGGTGATTAGGGGCACAGACTGGAGCCAATTTTGCGGCTCTCCAGCTTGCCTTTTAGAGCCTGAGTTCCCTTACAAGTCAAATGGGGAATAATTATACTTATCTCCTAGGGATATTGTGAAGAGTAAATGAGATAATTATATAAGAATAATAATGTTGATGTTTATTGATCACTTATTAGATGCCAAGTACTATGGTTTAGGCTTCGTGTGAGCTATCTTGACCACTATACCATATTGTACTCAAGACTTAGCATACAGGTAATGCTCAATAAATGTTAGCAATTATAAAGACAATGATCATTATTATCAACAAAGTACAAACAGCTAATCTTTATTGTCCTTGGTGACATGTTTGTACCACCCTGCTTCCCTTGACAAAGCTGGTCCCCATACCCCACCCCTCCCTTGCCCCTCTCAGGTTCCTTTAGACCATACCACATCTTCAAAACCTACGGCTGTGGGGGAAAGATGACTAAATTCAGAGTCACTGGGTGACCTGGGTGGATCCTTCATTGTGGCTTGGCCTGTTATAATTTACTTGTGACACGGCACAAGCTACTTTTAGACTCACGGTGCTGGTTTCCCCATCTTTACAACGTGATCAAGATGCTGCTATTTATTCATTAGTACTGTAGGAACCTGGGGACAAAGACACTTCTGAAATGAAAAGCACAGTGTTTTTTGGCCCACTGTCCTCATCCCCCTCCAGAAGCTAGTGTGGGAAATAAGCGAGGTGTGCTGTTTGTGGGTTGATGCACTGGCTGAGACTGGAGAGAGTGAGTCCCAGCAGCCACTGTGCTAAACACACAGGGCTAGCACAGCACCTGGCATGTGGTAGGTCCTCAAGAAACCATCTGTTGGAGGTGAAGATAATTCATGATTTTAGCTAAGGATGTGTTCCCTATGTCTGCTGCAAAAAGCTGCTATGACCAGCTGCCACCCCCAACCCTCCCTCCAGAGACTCCAGGCCTGGAAACTGGAACCAAATGCTGTATGCCATTTGTTTTTTTCCTTTGGAAATTGAAAAATGTCATCGGTGCTAGGTTATGCCGCATATGCTTTCATTGCTGGTACCATATTTCCTAGTCTCTGTCCCACCATACTCTCCCTGGCATGCTTTTCCTTTTAATTCAATTAGCCTCTAGATTCTGCAAGGCCAAGCTGAAGTTTGGGGATCAGATTTTCTAAGGGTAAGTAGTATTAGGTTAGATGATTCAAACAACTTGTCTTTATTCATGGCCTAGATAGAACTTTATCTATCTCCTCACTCCTCCCCACTTTTTCCCTGCCTCCCAAATTTCCTTTCTTGCTCGTTAGATGCACATCTCTTGGAGACCACTTCTTACACTCTAAGCTGAATCTGATGCCAGGGCCCACCAGCATAAAGAGCTTTACAGGTGGAAAGCATTAAAAGAAGCTTAACGACCAAAAAGAGGTGGGCTTCTGCTCCCTAAATGGTCCTTACAAAGTAAAGTAAACCCTCAGCTAAGGTACATCTGAATTCCTCACAATAGCTTCAACTTTTTTTTTTTGAGATGGAGTCTTGTTCTCCTGACCAGACTGGAGTACAGTTGCGTGATCTCGGCTCATCGCAATCTCCGCTTTCCAGGTTCAAGTGATTCTGTGTCTCAGCCTCAATTTCAGTAGCTGGGATTATAGGCATGCACCACCATGCCTGGGGTTTCACCATGTCTGCCAGGCTGGTCTTGAACTCCTGACCTCAGGTGATCTGCCCACCTTGGCCTCCCGAAGTGCTGGGATTACAGGCGTGAGCCACCATGCCCGGCCTTCTTCATCTTTAAAAGAGAAATTATTGCCATTTCAGGGTTGTAATAATTGTGAGAGTCAAGCTAAATAGTGAATGTGAAAAGAGCTTTTAAAAACAGTAAATGCCACCAAATGTCAGGTAATATTATTCCAAACAGCATTTGTGCTTCTACACTGACATGTGCCAGGTTCTATCCAGCATTAAAGTTCTTTGCTTATTCTTCCTTGGGGGACACCCTCCTTACTCCAACTATGTTGACAGTTACTTCAGGTGGACTTTGTCTTACTTTGATCTGCGTCCCTCCAGTCCTTTTCCTAGTACCTTCAGTGTAGTGGCTGCTTGATCAGTACTTGTTGAACTGGGTCCCTTATAATAAACAACTATTGTCTTGGTCAAACTTCCTTTTTTCCTTCTACTACAAATCCACAAATTGAGAAAATTCCAAGTGACTAGATCTTTTTTTTTTTTTTTAAAGAACCAAAGAGAGTAAGAGACACAATGTGTGTTTACTAAAGAGCTGGCATTTTAATCGTACCCTTTTTAACTAGTTTACTTTAGCATGAAATGTAAAGAACACAGATTCAGATGTAAGAAATGTCACACAGTGAGGAGAAGTGAAGAACCAAGTTTTATGAATTCGGTTTAATGCCACTGAGGGGGGTAAATCAGAGAAAAATAGAACAGATTTATGAATTGCTTATTTCAGTCCACATTGGTGTGGGTTTGGACCCTTCTAGGATTTCCTGGAGCCCCGTAGGCTGTTATTCACCCTTCACGTATGCATATATAAAAATATACCATCTATAAATAGCCACCTGCCTTTTCAGTGAAATTAAAGATGGGAGAGTTAGAAGAGATTTTCCCAGTATAATTACAGGGCTCAAACCTACAGCTGTTATACTACTAGAGTTCTACCCAGATGATTTCTAATATCATTATTTTATTTTAGGCACATTTTAAAATTCTCTCTCTGTATTTTAATGGTAAGATGTTGTCCAGACTTTTATTTTATTTTTTTCTTGCCAAGATTTCTCACATACCTACTTAAAAAGAATAGGTGTTGCATGGGGTTGTTGTACAGAGTAGTTTTGTTTTATAAACTGCAGAAAATTTTCACAAGTGTTTCTACTCCTTATCTGGGGATTAACACCAAACTCCTGCCAATGTTTTTCTTAAATGCTACACATGCTCTTTCACAAACACTCTCCCTCACATATTTTCTGCAGAGATGTGCCTCCTTAAGAAAAATCCCTGCGCTTCTAAAATTCCTAGGTATGAATTGACTGCATAAGAACACAGCACAATGTGAAGGGAATTAAACTGAACACTTTTATCTTTGCTTACCAAAAAAAAAAAAAAAAAAAAAGCAGGTAGCAATGTATTCATCTGCCGTCTTTGTTCCCTTACTAAAGACCAACACTCTTCAATCTTTGAGAGCCCTGAAAGACAAGGCAGTGCTGATGAAACGAAGGGGACACACTCAGAGGAGCAGCCACTGGGCTTTCCCTGTAGAAGGGTCTAAGTGCCTTCAGCAGTTAATTTGCAAGGAAAAAACCCCGTTGGGAGCCTTCCACCTACTCTAAAAGCAAACATTCTTAACAGGCGGTATTAGTGTGGTGTTAAGAGAGGCATGCTTTAACCTAAAAGGTGTCATTTTATGAACAAAAACTGGGTAAACCTTCAGAGACTTACAATCACTGTTTTCCCTTCCTTGATGCCAAAATCTTCACAGGTTAAGATGACCTCACATACCCATTGTGATGCTCAAAACCCGGGAGGATCTTAAAGAAAAGCTGCTTTGCACGAACTGTATACATGCGGCTTCCTGCTCCTGCGAGAACTGTCACTGGTTTTCATTTCATGCGTTTGAAAAACACACGAGCCATGTGTGTGAGCCTGTTAATTAAAACAAAAACAGAACTGTTTCTGTTGTACTTTAGAACTACAGAAACTTTGAGGCCAAGCGGGGCAAGAGAAACAGCAGCACCCAGTCTGCTCCTGAGTCCCCACGGCTGCCAGGGAATGAAGCCACTGTACTAGAAAAAGCCAGGAAATAGGCACCGGAATTAAAGAAGAGAGGTGAATGGAAAGAAAAAAAATTCTAGTAAGGCTCAGAATTGGATGTATTAAAGTGCCTTTTCCATTCCCGAGGGACTCTTTCATATCAAAGTTTCTGGCTAGTGAAGGCTTCCCTGTCTAATCTGATTCCAAAGTTAGCCTCTTCTCAAGAGGAAAGAATAGCTTCAGTGGCTTCAGAGGCCATCCCAGGGTCAGGCATGGAGTCTATTGCTGCCGGAGCTGCTGAGTCATTGCCACCTTGGGAGCTGCTTGACCTCTGCTTGGTTTACCTAGAAGGTAGAGGGAAGCCTTCAGCTGAGAACACTCCACAAGCAAGGCTTCTAATCTCGAAGTATCCACTGACTTTCCCTAGCACCTGAACCCAAAGCATTTAAGGATTACCAATCTACATAAGTTACATTAGAATACCAAAACACTGATCAGTTTAAAAAAAAAAACAAAAAACCAAACACCCAAAAACTCACTGTATTCTTCACAAGGGAAACACTACCAAAAAAAGCAGCAAATATAAACACTATCTTCTAGTCCCTTTTGAATATGGATTTCATCTCCTAAGGGCAGTAAAAACATAGATCAGACAGCACTTCTCTAAAAGAGATGCTTATTCAATACCTTCAATAGTCATCCAAAGCAGGATGTAAAAAGGCTTAGGGGTATGTAGTGGGGTGGTGTGGAGGAAGGCAGGAAGCAGCAACAACAGGAAAAAAAAAATTAAATGACAGTCAAGGCATTCATTATACTCTATCTTAAAGGCGGGAGCAAAAAAGACCTCAATAATATACACCATTCTCTTTGAGGGACACACCCAATGTTGTCCCTCCATACTATTTTCCCATACTTTCCTTCTTTCTCTTCTTTGGTTTAATATTACAGGAATAGTAAACTAAATAAATGTTCATTTTGTATTTAAAAAAATTTATTTGTGATCTGTACATGTGATAAAGTGGGGTAGACCTTTAAAGCCAACAAAACAAAAATCCAAAGTAAAAATGTATAAATACAATATATATTTTCTTACAAAAATGGGAGATTTACAAAATATACATACTGTACTTATCTCTATTTTACAAATTTCACATGCACTTAAAAGATACAGCACAAAAGATGCCAAAACCTGTGTTGGAGTTTTAAAAATCTGACAGATGAGATAGTTTTGAAGGTTGAAGAAACACAAGATCGATTTTAACTTTAATGTAAAAAGCAGTTCCACTCAAGTGAACATTACATATATAAAGTAACTTGTACACTTTACAGTACCCTCTATGATTGGCATTTAAAAACTGTTCTGAGAAACAGGATAGTGTTGCAAGATTGGAGGGTAGTGTCAAAGGTGGGATAAAGGTTAGCTCCCATGATTCTCTGCTAAGCTTTACCCCATCATGCAAAAGAATCCGAGTTCTATTACAGAAAAAAAGTACATGATTTAAGATTAATAAATTTAAGTCTTCCAGCACATTTCAAAGAACTCCAGAATCACTTTGAAGTTTACCTTCTTTTAATGACTTTCTTTAAAGATGGGGCCCATGGTTCAAACCTTCCTCTTCGTTCACTATGGTATCTGCTGATCGCCTCCCAACCCAACCACACAGAGACAGGGTCAGCATATGGATGATGTTTAATAAACAGATTGATGGAACCAAGAAAACAGGACAAAATGGCTCTTTGCTTTTTTTTTTTAATTAACTTTCCTTTATTATGAGGCTGAAGACATTATGTTTTTTTACCTCAAAGGATCCAAATGGGAGAAAAAAATAGAAAAGAAACCTAAATATAGGCTTATAGCAAGAAAAAGTAAATGAAGGGAGAGATTTCCCTGAATATTTTAACATAGTCTGTTGGATCATGTGTTCCGAATTAAATTTATTTAAAACAGACAACAAAACCTCTTACATTTCCTTTAGCGAAGTCAGAACCTCTGGCTTAACGGTGTGTGACAGCACACTGCTCTTCACTTTTCCTTAAAAAGGAATGTTTATCTCAACCAAATTAACAACCAACGGGAAACCTCAGATTTGCGCTGCTTTGCCTATAAAAGTTGCTTTCGTCACAGTTATGCCTTTCCACAGGGAGACACTTTTGTTTCCTCTTTTGTCTCTTACAACAAAGACAAGGGGAAAAATGCATTCCTGTTTTGAAAAGCAACAAGTCATCACTTCTTTTCAGGGTATTAGACCAAATAAAACACCCGTCTTTCTGCCTCCTGCCTTCCCCAGAAAATGAAAAAGTAGCAAAAATACCTACTCCACGTCTCCTTGGCCTTATCTCAAAATGTTATCATCATTTCTTTTGCATCCTCACATTAGGATTCTAGCAGGCAGGCCTCCCAAGACTTCCAAATGCTTATTTTACAAGACCTGAAAGCAGTACGGGAGGAAAAACAGGCGGGAGGGGGCAGGGGAGGAGAGACCGTAATGTCTGACCCTGGAAATTAACCCATCTGGGCTCCAGTTTGGCCCCAGTGAAAAGAGATTATGGTTTGACCACTGCTTGACAAGCACACCGCAGGAGGCCCTCCCTCTTTCCAACAAAGCAGCCACCGCAGACAGGGCTGTACCTTTCCCGGGGCCTCACAGGGGTCTGGACAGGCCACTCGCCCTGCAGCAGGGGGATCGCTCACAGTCCCCGTTCAGCCTCGGAGCCGGGAGAAACTCACAGCAGTCTCTGCTGGTCTCAACCTTCTATTAGGCACAAGCTGGCCCGTACCTTTGACGATTCACATCGCCGTTATCATCATCTTCCTGCAAGTCTTTGCCTGAAATCTTTTCATCCAAACCGCTTTCCACCCAGGTCTTCTTTTCCAAATCACCCCTCGCCCCAAATCTGCAAAGAACTTCTCACTTCCAGGTCACTTCTCAGTAGAGGGGGAGAAAGTTACAGAAACAGGCCCCCACCCAGCAGTTCTTTTCCCTACCGTGCCTCTCCTCTTGCAAGAGGGCTGGGGTGGGAAAGGTGGGGAGGGGCCGGGGCTCATACCGCAGTCTCCCCCTTGCTGCTGTGGCTAAGTCTGTGGTAGAAGCGGCGCCACGACTGCAGGGTCTTGCCCGACCAGATCCAGAAGCCAGTGGTGATGCCGACGATCATGGTCATCAGGTACTTGATCATGAAGACGGTGAAGTCGGGGCTCATGGGCGGGAAGTGGCCGGGCGGGCAGGGCACGGCATAGCTCTTGCACGTCTGCAGGAGCCAGGTGCGCTCCCAGTGCTCGCGGAAGGCCTGCTCGTAGAAGTAGCAGGCCAGGACGATGGTGGCGGGCACTGTGTAGAGCACGCTGAAGACGCCGATGCGCACCATGAGCTTCTCCAGCTTCTCGGTCTTGGTGCCGTCGTGTTTCATGATGGTGCGGATACGGAAGAGGGACACGAAGCCGGCCAGCAAGAAGGACGTGCCTATGAAGAGGTAGACGAACAGAGGCGCCAGCACGAAGCCCCGCAGCGCGTCCACACTGGAGAGGCCAACGTAGCACACCCCGCTCAGCAGGTCCCCGTCTACCTGGCCCATGGCCAGGATAGTGATGGTCTTGACGGCGGGCACGGCCCACGCGGCCAGGTGGAAGTACTGCGAGTTGGCCTCGATGGCCTCGTGGCCCCACTTCATGCCGGCCGCCAGGAACCAAGTGAGAGACAGAATGACCCACCAGATGGAGCTGGCCATGCCGAAGAAGTAGAGCACCATGAAGAGGATGGTGCAGCCCTCCTTCTTGGTGCCCTGCGCCACCGTGCGGTAGCCATCGTCCGAGAAGCGCTCCACGCACACGGCGCGGTCCTCTAGAAGGAAGCCGGCCACGTGCGCCACGGCCACCATGAAGTAGCAGCCCGACAGGAAGATGATGGGCCGCTCTGGGTAGCTGAAGCGCCGCATGTCCACCAGGTAGGTGAGAACGGTAAAGAGCGTCGAGGCGCAGCACAGCACGGACCACACGCCCACCCAGAGGCGGGCGAAGCGCCTCTCCTCCTCCTTAAAGTACATCAGGCCGTTGGCACGGCCCGGTTCGCACGGGGCGCCACAATCGCGCTCACCCAGGAAGCGGTAGCCCAGGTACGGGGGCACCTTGAGCTGACGGGGGCATGAGAAGGGGAAGGCGGGACGCCCCCTGCCATCTGAGGCCCCCGGGGGCAGCGCGGTGAAGGGCAGGTCCGGCAGGTAGGGCGCGGTAGGGTAGGCAGTGGGGCCGCCGCCTGGGCCCCCGGAGCCGTCCGACGTGTTCTGGCCCACGCAGATCTCGCCCGCACCGTGCACCGGGAAGTTCTCGCAGCGCAGCCGCTCGGGC